>NC_000002.12:61402473-61705503 GCF_000001405.40 Homo sapiens
TAGAAGTAGTGCAGTAGAGTAAGACCCGGATTCTAGGACTCTTCTCAGCAATATGCCCAATCAAATCTTTTAACCTCTGTAGGCCAGTTGCTTCTTCTATAAAATAAAAGTGTTGAGTAGGTTTCTAAAGACACAGCTATCAAAATACTAACACATGAGTTTTGAATCTTGTCCTCCTAAGAATTTTGGCTAAGTTGTGCCTCTTTAAAAAATATTAACGAAAAATCAAAATCAAAGGCTTAAGAAAGGATAGCACAGCAGCACAAAGAAAAGACTAGATGGACAATTTCCTCAAAGAAAAGTGGGATAAAAATCTCTAGTAAGCTGTATTACATTTCATAATAATTTGTTTGCTTTAAAATAATTGTGTGTATATACATACAAAATTTATACATATATATAATTTTATAACATGTATGCTACCAAGTCTTTGATCTAAGACCATTTGAAACAGTTGACCCTTACCGCATTTAATTAAATGGCCACTGGGATAGAAACTAGAAATTTTAGAGCACTTGTAACAGATCATTATTAAGATAATAGAAACCTCGGAAACAACTATTACGAAAAGAAAATTAAAGAGGCACATATCTAATATATTAATAGAATTTGGTATAAGGAGGTAACTCCTTTATTATCTCTATGGGTATTTTTTGTCAGAATTTTCCTCGAAGACCTCAAAAAACCACTGCTTTCAACCAAGTAGTAACATAAAATACTCACGAATAATAATAACAAAGTACTTTAAAACAAAGTACAGGAGTGTAACTATGCCTACATTTAGAGATTACCATTTTTGAAAACAGGAAAGAAAAAACACTGATGAGCAAGTTTATTTTAGAAGCAGCAGACTCAGTATTACTTATATAGTTCTATATCATTAAGAAATTTTTAATTGGAAAAAATTTCTGTGAATTTCACATATCTAAGTCCCTAACGAAACTATTTTCAGCATCTTTCAGTTACCAAGTTAAGATATTAAAGCACTATGTAGATGGTGTTTATGTAGATTAAATATTTCAAGTTTGCCTGATGGGACTTTCTTTTGTTGAAAAAAGATTACTTTTTCAGAATATTTAATATATTTTATATCATGTAAGAGATTATTTAAGTTTCTATACTGGAAGATCACAGGCTAAGATTTTTAGAAAACAGAGCACAATCTGCTTTTAAACACTCTTTCTCCCCCACCCAGAGCAGGAGTGAGTGAAAGTTTATCAAAAAGCTTTAGAGGCTGGGCGCAGCGGCTCACGCCTGTAATCCCAGCACTTTGGGAGGCAGAAGCGGGCGGATCACAAGGCCAGGAGATCGAGACCATCCTGGCTAACAGGGTGAAGCCCCATCTCTACTAAAAAATACAAAGAAAAAAATTAGCCGGGCATGGTGGCGGGCACCTGTACTCCCAGCTACTCAGGAGGCTGAGGCAGGAGAATGACGTGAACCCGGGAGGCGGAGCTTGCAGTGAGCCGAGATCACACCACTGCACTCCAGCCTGGGCGACAGATCAAGACTCTATCTCAAAAAAAAAAAAAAAAAAAAAAAAAAGCTTTAGAACAGTAAGGAAAGAAGGACAGAAAGTACAACTTGGAAGAGGGCCAAGTAGGTGACTTGTGTGCCTGATTTAAAATATTCTTACGAAGAATTCTAACAGGGAAAATATCTGCCCTCAAGCTATGTTTTCAAATAAGTCTCCATTCGACATGAAAATATCCCAGTAAAGGACTATTATTTCCCAGATGAAGAAAGAGAGGTATAAAGGTTACAGAACAAATAAGCTAGAGAAAAGAGACAGATAAAAAACAAACAAAAAAAATGTCATAGATTCTCTAATGGCCATAATTCTTCATATTCCAGGATGCACAGGAAACAATGTATAAGATATAAAATGAAATTTTACCTCTCCTCCCCCCAGCAATGGAGTCTACTTCACTACCCCTTTGAATCTGGGCTGCCCTTGTGAACCGCTTCAAGTAACAGAAAGCAGCACAATAGAATATGGCAGAATTATACTGTGACATTTCAAAGGCTGTATCATAAGAAGTCTTACAGCTCCTACTTTTGCCTTCCTGGAGCACTGCTAAGACTACTATTTAAGGAAGCCAATCTACCCTAGTGGAAAATAAGCCATGTGGAGAAAATACAAGGAGCCCCAGATAACAGCCACTACCAACTGCCACACACACAAGTGCGACCCAGACCTTACCCATCCAGTTCTCAAAGTAAATTCACCTGCATAACTCAGCCTACACAAAACTAGCTAAGGAACTGCCTGTGAGAATCATGAGGAATAATAAACCACTGTTAAGTCATTAATATATTACCACATAATTGTCTCAATTCCCACTATGCCTAGAAATCAATCATATTATCTGAGTTAAGTCTAAGATAGGTTACTACATACTTAGAAATGCTTGCAAAAACATCACTAATAGAGTCAAGCATCTTAACTTACAAAAGAAAATACTATTACTTAGCCAGGGGTGGTGGCTCACGTCTGTAATCCCAGCACTTTGGGAGGCCGAGGTGGGCAGATCATGAGGTCAGGAGATCGAGACCATCCTGGCTAACACGGTGAAACCCCGTCTCTACTAAAGAAAATTCTTTTTAAACTTAGCCAGGTGTGGTGGCAGGCACCTGTAATCCCAACTACTTGGGAGGCTGAGGCAAGAGAATGGCATGAACCCAGGAGGCGGAGCTTGCAGTGAACCGAGATCACACCACTGCATTCCAGCCTGGGCAACAGAGAGAGACTCCATCTCAAAAAAAAAAAAAAAAAAAAAAAAAGAAAGAAAGAAAGAAAGAAAAGGAAATACTATTATTTGAAACTACTAATCACAGATAATTTGCTAAGCTTTTTTTTCTTGATAAAAGCAAATTCTGATCTGTAGACTGTTTCTAAGAATGAAATTTAAAATTCCATGTGTTTCTTTTCCCTCAACTATTATTTATTAAGAGTCATAAAATAAGCATAGATCTATAGCAGTAAAATGTTTAGATCACTACCAGATTAATTTCTGAGTTCAATGTATAGATCTTTCCTTGATAGGATGAACTATGCCGAGCAAATTTTCAGCACAAACTGCTGAAGAAATGCTCTGGAGAAACATTAAATAATTCTGGTGACAATAATGATTTTCCGCCAGCAGAAAACTGTCTTCATATTTATCAGTAAGAAACAGACTGCGAAGTTAAGACTTGGTATTACTTAAAATTCACACCACCTATTTTACATACCTCAATAGTAGGGTGAGTATTATGCTTGTAAGCAGTATATAAGGGAAACTGAATTTGAAAAATTTTTGCCACACATAGTAAGAGTTTTTCCTTCTCATCTGTACTCCATAAACTAAAAGGATCAGAACTCTTTGAAGATTCCTCCTCAGTCAGATTACAAATTCTTGTAGAGTTTGATTTTTTTTCTATTGATTTTTGTCTTTCTGTACTTCCTTCATTACACTCTCTATCTATATTCAGTGGTTCTTCTGCTTGATTACTCTCATCTTGCCACGTGGAATCTATGTTAATGGTAGTACAATGTTTACAAAGCTGGTCCCGGAGCACTTGAACTTGGGCAATCACTAAGTTAATAAGTGCACACACTACTTGATTAAAAATCTCCAAATGCTTATATTCCTTGAAGCAGCATAGACATTGCCTATAAGAGAAAAAAAATTGAATAAATTAGTAATAAAGCAGCAGCTGTATTTTTTAATAATATAAAAAAACAAGTAAGCAAATACTAAGTTATTTCTAGACTTGTTTTTATTTTTTCCTTCCTGCTGGGGTACACCTTAATAACATAAAGATAGCATCGCAACAACAACTGATATTTTAGTTAGTGTAAAGTCATCATGTTAGGTTTACAGCTATTATCTTCAGTTTTACGTATGGATTTGTCTGTCCTTCTACACATGGAACTATTTAAAAACAAGAATTGTGACATTTTGTTTCTCCAGTGTCAAGTACTCAATATATGTTTAGCAAGTTATTAGGAAACTTATAACAAAATATCTTATTAGTAAAGCCAGCTGGTTATTTAATATAAGGAATTTTGTTGTCAACTAATAAAACAGCCACATTTTTAGATTAATGTCCTTGAAGGCTACTTGGGAGGGGTGCTCTGACGCTATCTGGCAAATCAAAAGTGTTTAGGAACAACACACACACACTCTCTCTTTCTCTCTCTCTCTCCCCCCCAAGCTCCTGTAAAAAAAAATATATGTGTATTTAAAAAAAAAAAAAAAATATTGGCCAGGCGCAGTGGCTCACGCCTGTAATCCCAGCACGTTGGGAGGCTGAGGCAGGTGGATCATTTGAGGTCAGGAGTTCGAAACCAGCCTGACCAACATGGTGAAACCCTGTCTCTACTAAAAATGCAAAAAAAAAAATAGCTGGGTATGGTGGTGGGCACCTGTAATCCCAGCTACTTGGGAGGCTGAGGTAGGAGAATCACTTGAACCCGGGAGGCGGAGGCTGTAGTGAGCCAAGATTACACCACTGCACTCCAGCCTGGGCAACAAGACCAAAACGCAGTCTCAAAAAAAAAGTATTACAAACAAATCCAGTTCTCCTTAGACATGTTCAGTTAGTAGCACAATGCCTGGCATATGTAGATAATTAAAAGGATCTCAGCCAGGTGCAGTGGTTCACACCTGTAATCCCAACACTTTGGGAGACCAAGGTGGGAGGATCGCTTAAGTCCAGGAGCTCAAGACAACCCAGGGCAACATAATGAGGCCCATCTCTACAAAAACATAAAAATTAAAGAATCAGCTAGGCATCGTGGCTTGTGCCTGTAGTCCCAGCTATTCGAGAGGCTTGAGCCCAGGAGGCTGAGACAGCAGTGAACCCTGATCATGCCTGAGTGACAGAGCAAAACCATGTCTCAAAAAAAGGCAGGGAACGGTCTGGTGAATCAATAGGCAATTAATACATACGCAAGTACCTGGTTCTAATAATACTTGTACCAGATGACAGCTAAGCAACTATAATTTATAATCTGCACCCAGTAATAGCATCAGATCAAAACAACTATATTGTAGTCCAAATAGATCACCAATGCCCTGTATGATCATGTGGAAATAATCTTATTTCTCCAAGTGTGAATTTGAAGTACAGCCACAAATTACTTGATATTCTTCTGTGTAGACGGAACTCACTTCTAGTGAATAGAAAGTGGTGGAAGTGACAATGTGTGACATCTGAGACTAGGTCATAAAAGACATTGTCACTTCTGCCTTGCTCTTTTTTGGATCACTTACTCTAGAGGAAGCCACCTATCACTGAAAAACACTCAAGCAGCCTAAAGAGGAGACCACATGAGAAAGTACCAAGACCTCTCATTAACAACCAGCACTGAGGCTGGGTGTGGTGGCTCATGCCTGTAATCCCAGCACTTTGGGAGGCCGAGGTGCATGGATCACCTGAATTCAGGATTTCGAGATCAGCCTGGTCAACATGGTGAAACCCCATCTCTACTAAAAATACAAAAATTAGCCAGGCGTGGTGGTGGGCACCTGTAATCCCAGCTACTTGGGATGCTAAGGCAGGAGAATCACTTGAACCGGGGAAACAAAGATTGCAGTGAGCCGAGATCATGCCACTGCACTGCAGCCTGGGTGACAAAGCAAGATTCTGTCACAAAAAAATAAAAAATAAATAAAATAAACAACCAGCACTAACTTGGTCACTATCTAAAGCAAGCCAACTTGGAAGTATATCCTCCAGCCCCACATGAGCTTTTTACATGACTATGACCTGGCCAACACCTTGACTAAAACATTATAGGAAACCCGACCCAGAACCAAACAGCTAAAGGACTCCCAAATTCCTGTCCCATTGAAACTTTGAGGATAATAAATGTTTACTGCTGTTTTAAGATATAGTACTACTTTTGGAGTATTTTTGTCACACAGAAATATATAATTATAAATATATATAAATAATGCATCACATCTTTTTTATCTGTGGCAAAATGAAAGGGTTTTAATTTTTACCTCCAAGGCCTCCTCCAGCTTTACAATTCTATAGTATCACAACTCCCACAAGAAGAAAAATAAACACATTTCTCCTACAATTCTTCTGATTAACAGCTTTTTCCTTTGATGTTTAGGAAAAATCAGGTTTAAAGTAAGAGGTCAGGCTGGGTGTGGTGGCTCACACCTGTCATCACAGCACTTTGGGAGGCTGAGGCAAGCAGATCACTTAAGGTCAGGGGTTTGACACCAGCCTGGCCAACATGGTGAAACCTCTTCTCTACTAAAAATAAAAAATTAGACGGGCTTGGTGGTCTACCTGTAATCCCAGATACTGAGGAGGCTGAGGCAGGAGAGTCACTTGAACTTGGGAGGCGGAGGTTGCAGTGAGCCGAGATCACGCCCCCTGCACTCCAGCCTGGGAGACAGAGTGAGACACTCCCTCTCAAAAAAACAAACAAAAACAAAGTGAGGTCATAAACTTGAGTGTCGGGGGGTGCGCTGTCTCAGCCTGTAATCCCACCACTTTGGGAGGCCAAAGTGGGCAGATGACTAGAGGCCAGGAGTTCAAGACCAGCCTGACCAATACAGCAAAACCTCGTCTCTATTAAAAATACAAAAATTAGCTGGGCATGGTGGCACACACCTGTAATCCCACCTACTCAGGAGGCTGAGGCACAAGAATTGCTTGAACTCGGGAGGTGGAAGGTGCAGTCAGCCAAGATTGCACCACTGCACTCTAGCCTCGGTGATAGAGGGAGACTGTCTCAAAAAACATAAAAAACTTAGAAAAATCAGGTTCAAAGTAAGAGGTCAGGCCGGGTGTGGTGGCTCACGCCTGTAATCCCAGCACTTTGGGAGGCTGAGGCAGGCAGATCATTTACTAAAAATGGAATCTGAAAACCCAGAAAACGAACTTGAAGTCAGATTTGGATGAAGAAAGCCAAAGATTCAGCCAAACTTACTTTTAAAATAAGTGTTAGGGCCGGACACGGTGGCTCATGTCTGTAACCCCAGCACTTTGGGAGGCCAAGGCAGGTGGATCACTTGAGGTCAGGAGTTCGAGACCAGCCTGGCCAACATCGTGAAACCCCATCTCTACTAAAAATACAAAAATTAGCCAGCCATGGTGGCGGGTGCCTGTAATTCCAGCTACTCAGGAGGCAGAGACAGGAGAATTGTTTGAACCCAGGAAGCAGAGGTTGCAGTGAGCCAAGACTGCGCCACTGCACTCCAGCCTGGGCGACAGATCAAGACTCCATCTCAAAAAGTAAATAAATAAATAAAATAAGTGTTAGAAAATGAGCATTAAACTGCTTGATAATGGACCTAAGAAACTGATGATCTTCAAAGACAAAAATTATGTGAACAAAGTAACAGAAGAAACTGGGTCTGGGTCCTTCCAGATCCAAAATACACAAGTTCAAAAAGGGCTGTGAGTCTAACAGGGGAACACACACGTACACAAATATATGTATTTTTTAAATAATTGTATATTACATAAATAATACTTTTTATTCTATTACATTCAATTCTGAGAAGTCTAGGTATATGAATTCTCAATACGGCGTTTCCCTCTGTGTATCAATGGTTCCCAACCTTTTTGGCAACAGGGACCTGTTTTGTGGAAGACAATTTCTCCAAGGACCCAGAGGACTTTGGGATGATTCAAACACATTACATCTATTGTGCACGTTATAGTATCACACTGTAATATATAATGAAATAATTCTACAACTCACCATAATGTAGAATTAGTGGGAGCCCTGAGCTTGTTTTCCTACAACTAGACGGTACCATCTGGGGGTGATAGGAGACAGCGATAGATCATCAAGCATTATATTCTCATGAAAAGTGTGCAACCTAGATCCCTCACATGCACAGTTCACAACATGATTCATGCTCCTGTGAGAATCTGATGCTGCCACTGATCTGACAGGAGGTGGAGTTCAGGTGGTAATGTGAGCAATGGGGAATGGCTGTAAATACAGATGAAACTTCACTCACTCATCTGCCCTTCAGCTCCTGCTGTGTGGCCTGGTTCCTAATTGGGTACCAGTCTGTGGCCCAGGGGCTGGGGACCCTTGCTGTACATTGCATCCATAATGCAAGGCGGAAAAGGTGTTTTAAATAAAAATATCACTTTCAGTCAAAACCAGCTTGAATTTTTTTTAGCTACAAGCTTCACCAAAACCAGCTTGATTTTACACATAAACTTTACTTGTTCTCTATTCGAAATCCTACTACAAATATACTAAAGAACACTCTAGAAAAACAGAAATAATGAAACAGAAGATGACAGCTATCAACATATTTTGAGTGACAGAAAAGGGAAAAATAGTAAGTAATTCAGAGTGAAGGAAATAAACTTCCAACTAGCTATGAAATGGATTTACAAAGAAAAAGAAAAATCAACCCCACAGAACACTGGAAAGGCTCAGGACTTAAGAACATAAGATATCTCTAAAGGCAGGGATGAAGCCTGAGGCAGAAAATAAGACGACTAATGAAAGGTACAATTAAAACCTGCAGGTTCCCATCCTAAAAAAAACAAAATATTATTCCTGTATCACCCATGAAAACAAGTTTTTTCTATACATAATGAACAAGATAAACTCAGGAACACCAGATACCAAAGAAGGCAAGTGTGATCAAGAAAATGAAAGCAACTCATGCCTGTAATCCCAGCACTTTGGGGGGCAGAGGCAGGAGGATCGCTTAAGCCCAGGAATTCAAGACTGGTCTAGGCAACATAGTGAGACCTCGTCTCAAAAAAAAACAAAGTTAGGCAGGCAAGGTGCCATACGCCCGTAATCCCAGCTACACAGGAGGCAAAGATAAGAGGATTGCTTGACTCTAGGAGGTCAAGGTTGCAGTGAGCTAGACTATGCCACTGTACTCCAGCCCAGGTGACAGATCAAGATCCTGTCTCAAAAAAAAAAAAAAGAAAAAAAAACTGAAAGCAAGATAAGTGAAATATATGACTTAAATGGTAAACCTCCTCAAGTACCCTTCCTATCTGGTAACCCAACCACCAGACTAACATATCTCAAAGCGAAAGATTGAAATATACTTCTTTTAAATGTCTTTTTATAGCTCTTACCAAGTTTATTTCTTTCACTCCGAGTTACTATTTGTCCCTTTTCTGTCATCCAAACTATGCTGATAGCTGTCATCTTTTGTCCCATGATTTCTGTCCTTCTAGAGTGTTCTTAGTTTAGTGTATTTGTGGTGGGGTTTGGAATAGAAAAAGCCCGTTTAGCCCCAACAAGAAAGCCTACTCACCATTTAACCATCATACAGTAGTGGCCAACATCTGAGATGCCCTGACCACAGAGGCCTTCAAATTCACTTTTTAGTACCCCTCTTATTACCATGAAAGGATAACAATAATAAGATATGCGAGAAAAATTTTATCTGCCTTTGGATCATTGAAGGCAGATAAAAACAAACAGTAAGGGCGGGCGTGGTGGCTCATGCCTGTAAATCCCAGCACTTTGGGAGGCTGAGGCGGGTGGATCACCTGAGGTCAGAAGTTTGAGATCAGCCTGACCAACATGGAGAAACCCCGTCTCCACTAAAAATACAAAATCAGTTGGGCCTGGTGGCACATGCCTATAATCCCAGATACTTGGGAGGCTGAGGCAGGAGAACCACTTGAACCCAGGAGGCAGAGGCTGCAGTGAGCCGAGATCATGCCACTGCACTCCAGCCTGGGCAACAAGAGCGAAACTCCATCTCAAAAAAAAAAAAAAAAAAGAAAAGGAAGAAAAGAAAGAAACAGAAAGAAAAGAAAAGAAAAAAGAAATTTAGAGGAAACAGACAAAATACAAAAAGGAAAAAAAGATTTTAGCTGTAATTTATATCCTGAGAGATATAAAATATTACGTTACTGAAATAAGAATGAAATGTTATGAAAATATAAATTCAGATTACACAACAGGGCATTTTTTGGCCAGGGAGCCAAAATAACAATAACAAAATTCAGAGCACTGTAATGTATGCAAATACATATCATATACCTTTTGTATATATATCATTTACAGTTTAAAAACCAATTAAAATTATAGCAATTTGTAAAATTCAACAAAAGGTCCACAAAAGGGAAAAATGAAATCTCCCACAAAATAGAAAAAAATATTAATAATGGAGAGAAAAGGCCTGGTGCAGTGGCTCACACCTGTAATCCCAGCACTTTAGTAGGCTAAGGTGGGATGACTGCTTGAACCCAGGAGTTCAAGACCAACCTGGGCAACATCGCGAGACCTCCTTTCTACAATAAAAAAATATATTAGCTGAGCATAGTGGCACATGCCTGTGGTCCCAGCTACTTGGGAGGCAGAGGTGGGAGAATCACTTGAGCCCAGGAAGTCGAGGCCGCAGTGAGCCATCATAACGCCACTGCACTCCAACCTTAGCAACACAGCAATCCCATCTCAAAAAAAAAAAAAAAAAAGAGAGAATATGAAAAGGAAGTAATCAAGAAGGGTACAATATCTGACTAACATAGTTCCAAGAAGTGAGAGCAATAAATATGGAGGTAAGGAAATTATGAAATAAAATTTTCACAACCAAAAGGCCCACCAAAACAGACAAAATTTCTGAAGCTGAGGAGGGATAAAGATTCTAAAAGCTTTCAGGGAGAGTAATTAAGAGTATCAAGGAGGCCGGGCGCGGTGGCTCATGCCTGTAATCCCAGCACTTTGGAAGGCTGAGGCGGGCAGATCAGGAGGTCAGGAGATTGAGACCATCCTGGCCAACACGGTGAAACCCTGACTCTACTAAAAATACAAAAATTAGCTGGGTGTGGTGGCATGTGCCTGTAGCTCCAGATACTCAGGAGGCTGAGGCAGAATTGCCTGAACCTGGAAGGCGGAGGCTGCAGTGAGCCAAGATCGCGCCATTGCACTCCATCCTGGCAATACAGTGAGACTCAGTCTCAAAAAAATTAAAATAAAAAAATAAAAAAACAAAAGAGGCCGAGTGAGTGGCTCACGCCTGTAATCCTAGCACTTTGGGAGGCCAAGGCGGGTGGACTGCCTGAGCTCAGGAGCTCGAGACCAGCCTGGGCAACATGGGGAAACCCCGTCTCTACTAGATACTCAGGAGGCTGAGGCAGGAGAATTGCCTGAACCTGGAAGGCAGAGGCTGCAGTGAGCCACGATCACGCCATTGCACTCCATCCTGGCAATACAGTGAGACTCAGTCTCAAAAAAATTAAAAAAATAAAAAATAAAAAAACAAAAGAGGCCGAGTGAGTGGCTCACGCCTGTAATCCTAGCACTTTGGGAGGCCAAGGCGGGTGGATTGCCTGAGCTCAGGAGCTCGAGCCCAGCCTGGGCAACATGGGGAAACCCCGTCTCTACTAGATACTCAGGAGGCTGAGGCAGGAGAATTGCCTGAACCTGGAAGGCGGAGGCTGCAGTGAGCCAAGATCGCGCCATTGCACTCCATCCTGGCGATACAGTGAGACTCAGTCTCAAAAAAATTAAAAAAATTAAAAAAATTAAAAATAAAAAAACAAAAGAGGCCGAGTGAGTGGCTCACACCTGTAATCCTAGCACTTTGGGAGGCCAAGGCGGGTGGACTGCCTGAGCTCAGGAGCTCGAGACCAGCCTGGGCAACATGGGGAAACCCTGTCTCTACTAAAATACAAAAGAAATTAGCCGGGCAGCGTGCACCTGTAGTCCCAGCTACTCGGGAGGCTGAGGCAGGAGAACTGCTTGGACCCAGGAGGCAGAGGATGCCGAGATCATGCCACTGCACTCCAGCCTGGGCTACAGAGGGAGACTCCATCTCTATAAAATAAATAAATAAATAACTTTAAAAAAAAAAAGAGTATGAAGGAAAAGCACAAAAATAACAAGGGCTACTGCTTCTCCAAAGCAATACTGGAACCTAGAATACAACTGATCAATACTTCTGAAATTCTGCAAGCAATTTTCCAATTCTGTATCCAATAAGATCTATCAATAAGTATAAGGGTAGGATAGACATTTCAGGCCTGGAAGGTCTAATACACATTTATCTCCCCTTGTATCCTCTCTCAGAAAAGATGTCCTCTACAACAAGGAAGTGAGCTAAAAAGATGACAAAATGGAATCCAGGAAACTTGGAGATCCAAGATAGGAGATGTTACCAGTGGAGGCGCCCAGGTTCTTGGCGCTTTGAACAAAGAATAGGACAAAAGCACAAACAAAGCGAGGAAAGAATAAAACAACAAAAGCAGAGATTTACTGAAAATGAAAGTATATTCCACAGGGTGGGAACAGTCAGAGCAAGGGAGTCAAGGACCCAGTTACAGAATTTTCTGGGGTTTAAATACCCTCTAGAGGTTTCCTATTGGTTACTTGGTATACACCCTACCTAAATGAAGTAGTGGCCCATGATCAGTCTGAAGTTACAAAGTTACACCCTATGCAAACATCTGATTGGTTATGGAAAGTGGGACCAGTCAGAGGCTGAAGTTACAAAGTTATACTCCTATGCAGATGAAGACTTGGACTGCCACCGGCATGATTAGTTGCAGGAGGGGACCAATTAGAGGTAATTTCAATTTTTCACCTGCCACACAAAAATGTGTGGGGAGGTTGCAAAGCGGGGTAGCCTCCGGTCCTTTTGTTACTCAGGGCGTGGAATCTTAGGGTTTTCCTTTTAATTCTAGGAAGTCAGCGTGAATTGGCCTTAGGTTCCCTGCCTCCAGACCCTAAGGTTCTCCTGCCTCAGAGACAAGCAAAATGAATTATAAGGATGAGATCTGAAGAGAAGGTAGTAACTCTAGAAAGTAATCAATACTCTAGGGTTATGACCAGGGGTGGGGGGATAAAAGATCACCTAATGATGCATAGTTTATGAGCGTTTGAGAGAATTAAGTGATCCACACATAGAAAATTAACTGAATGAAAAGACAGTACACCAAGAAAGAGAGAACATGCAAGATATAAAATGAACTAGAGAACTTTTTTGGCTCATTGCTGAGCAACATTTTTATTTTTAGAACTACCCTAAGAATTGATGTAACTATACTGAGAGAACTGGGGAGGGTAAAAGAATGAAATCCTTATATATCATAACTGGAAGTTCATAGGTTACACCTAAAATTGATAGATGAAGCAACAGCAATATAAGAAGAGTGTTTCAGAATACTGTATAGAGGTTAATATCAAAACCAACATCTCAAAAAGCTGACAACAGAAAGGAGGGTGAGGAGACAGGGGACACAGGGACTTTATTATAGGCATTTCCCTGCCAATTAATTTTTTTAAACTCTGTATTACTTATGTTGGTACACCAATATCATACATATCCTCCCACCATCTGAGCTTCTCTTATTTTCTTCTCAGTTTTACCGTTATTTCCAGCCTGACAAAATTATCTAAGTAGAATTATATGCTGCCCACCTAAATAAAATGCACTTATGTTTTTAAAATGCAATGATAAAAATTTCTAAATGCCTCATATAAAGTATGTAGCTTTAATTTTAAAAGTAATACTAAGTAAACATTCATGAGGAATCTACATGTCAAAATAAAATTCTTTCCAGGTTAGGTTTTAGAATTCCATCTAGCAACAAATATTCCAGTGGGTCCAATATCATTTCCCTAGCCCAATTCTGCTGAAAGAATGAAAGGACTATTACTCCACAGTATTCAACCTCACCAAAAATTGTTTTATGTATGAGCTAATTTATGAAAAGAACTACTTTAAACACTGGTCAATATCAACAGTCCATTGGTCCAACAAATTTCTTGATGCCAAAATAAAAGGCAGAGCCTTAAAGAGTGAACCACATACATTTAACCTATTTAAAAGCAACGGCTTCTAAAACTATTCTAAAAAACAAAATTTATTAAAACAATGAAAAAATAAAAGTAAAAGCTTCAAACATTAAGCACAAATGACAAATATAAAAGATACTACTTTTAGCCTGGAAACCTGACAGAGAACCTCACCCTGGCTGGCGTCCAGAGTTCTTATATAGAAGAAATTCCTGAAATAAAGTTAAAAAGTTGATAGGTAGGAGACAGCAAAGAGCTTTAAATACCTGTTAAGGAACGTGGAATTTCCAAGATATAAACCTAACTCAGTTTTGTAATAAGCTTAAAACAAGCAAAGAAAAAGAAAAAAAATCAACACTTAACAACATGAAGAATTATGCTCTGTGGTATCGGTGCTTGTCATACATGATATTCCTTTGCAGATCCGTATATTCCCTTTCCCTAATTTAGTCTTGAATTTATTCTCCTATTCCTTTCTCTTCCCATTTTCTGAGTTAGTTTTCCTCCTATTCTATTCCCAATCATTAAATTAATAAAATGATGATAATCTGGTAAACAAACATGTGTTATTAACCTCCCTAATCTTTTTTTTTTTGGGGGGGGGGACAGGAAGTAGAATGTATTGGTATTAAGAGGGGGCAGCACAGTGGAAGCCCTCATGAGTGCAGGGCCAGCCACTTGTCCAGAGGGCCATGAATGGCGACATACTTGACCCCACAGCCATCTGGGATGAGCCGCTTCTCAGCCACCATATCTTCAAATTCATCGGCATTGAACTTGGTGAAGCCCCACTTCTTCCAGATGTGGATCTTCTGGCAGCCGGGGAACTTGAACTTGGCCCTGAGCAGGACCTCAATCACATGCGCCTTGTTCTGCAGCTTGGTATGGATGGACATAACTTGGCCAATGTGAACCCTGGCCACAGTGCCCTGGGGCTTTCCAAAGGCACCTCACATGCCTGTTTGGACCCTACACTGGGGTAGTGCAAGGTCAGAAACACGAACATACATCTGAAAGGCCTGTCTCCAAGGTCCCTTAGAGCAACCTATACAACAAACAGGCCGCATACACTACCAAGGAAGCTGCTGTTTACAGCCATTGCACACTGGACCCCCATAAGGAAAGGAATTCAGTCAGCTTAATTGGCTGCAGGACCTCCGTAATCTTACAGCCAAAGTTGTGACAGCTATATGACTGTTAAACAGCACTTAAAAATGATGACACAGATAATACTTGATCACACAGAGACTGACCATAGTTAACTGTACCTGAGAAATCAGACCATGAAGTATAATTTTTGTAAAATTTAAAACTGTACTGTTCTCAGTCTCACACCATGGATATACAAAAGAAGTTGTAAGCTGTCGCTCTGAATGGTGGCATGTTTTTGTTTTTAACTTCAATTCTCTGTAGTTTCTCAAAGTTGTTTTTTTTTCCCTACAATGACTGTATCATTTAAATAAGAAAAAATATATATATAAAATACTAAAATCTTTTTTTTTTTCTTTTTTTCTTTTCTTTTTTTTTTTTTTTTTAGACAAAGTCTTGCTCTATCCCCAGGCTGGAGTACAGTGGCGTGATCTCAGCTCACTGCAACCTCTGCCTCCCGGGTTCAAATGATTCTCCTTCCTCAGGCTCCCGAGTAGCTGGGGTTACACATGAGCACCCCACGCCTGGCTAATTTTTGTATTTTTAGTAGAGACAGGGTTTCACCGTGTTGACCAGGCTGGTCTCAAACTCCTGAACTCAAGTGATCCACCTCCCTGGGCCTCCCAAAGTGCTGGGATTACAGGCATGAGCCATTACCCTGGGCCTAAAATCTTTATAATGCTTATAAATATTAAATTCTTGTTAACATACTTTTTTTTTTTTAAGATGGAGTCTCACTCTATTCCAGGCTGGAATGCAGTGGCACAAATCTCAGCTCACTGCAACCTCCGCCTCCCAGGTTCAAACAATTCTGATGCCTCAGCCTCCCGAGTAGCTGGGATTACTGGTACACACCACCACGCCTGGCTAATTTTTGTATTTTTAGTAGAGATGGGGTTTCACCATGTTGGTCAGGCTGGTCTCGAACTCCTGACCTCAGGTGATCCACCCACGTTGGCCTCTCAAAGTGCTGGGATTACATGCATGAGCAACCACGCTTGGCCTACCATACTATTTTTGAAGTAAACATTCTCCATTACCTATACTGTAGATAATACACTACAAAAACAATTTATGACCACTAATAATCTTACGAAAGCTTTTTCCCTCTAGGAAACTTATAAATAACATGTTGTATGAAATATCATGAGTTTATCTCCACGCTAAGGTTCACTTATGGACTCACTTGGTCCACGGGCCCCAAGTTAAGAATGCATTTTGCAGATTATCCATGCTTTATTAGTACCTGTTTATCCGCTAATTAGAACGACAATCTTAATCTAGGCCACAATATTTTCTGAAGCTCAAGAAAATAATTTAGGGGAGGAAGAGAGGAAGATGGAAATAGACAAATTTTCACTACAAGGCACTGTGATCTAACTATTTTTACCTGTTCTCCCTTCTATCAGCACAATTAAGAGTATGCACAATTAAGAGTATAACATTCCACTTTTATTACTACGAGCTAACAACTGTTCATACTTACTGACAGGTGAACAAAATTACAAATTATTCAATGTTCTCCAGCTTAGCTTTCATACTTTAGCTTACATCTTTTAATTTATATTTCATTTTCCAAAACAAATTTTAACAATTTTAATTAAAATATGTGTTTATTAAGTCCTTTTAGCAAATACAGTGCTAAGCACTTTGTTTTCTTACAATCTCATTAAGACAGTAGTAGCTTTATTATTATTCTATTTCCACCAATGAGGAAATGAGAGTTTACAGAACTTAACTCATTTGTCATCATCACTCGTTCACAGGTGATGAAGCAGGACTAGAATCCATGTCTATCTAGATCCAAGGCCACTTTTTTTTTTTAAATAGAGATGGGGTCTCGCCCTGTAGCCCAGGCTGGTCTCGAACTCCTAGGCTCAAGTGATCCTCCACCTCAGCCTCTCAAAAGTGAGAGGCATGAGCCACCACACCCGGCCAGGCCACACTCTTCTTAACCACTACATTCTAGGGCAACATGAGATAAACCACAGGCTCTCGGTGGTTTGGAGGCAAACACTTTGATATTCTGATGAGACCTAAGAATTACTGCCTAAAACTGCACATATGAAAATCTCCTTTATAATTTCATTCCCATCCACAGACTCTTGGTTAAAAATTCTTAATACAGGGATTAAAAATAAGCTAGAATACAAGTGTATTAGGAATGGGAACATATAACTCCCACCCCATCTCTACCAATAACTAGTGATGAGATTTTAGGAGAATGATTTTGTTTCTCTGGATTTCATTTTATTCAGTGGCAAACTTATAGATCCTGAAATCAGAAGTGTAGATTTTTTTCCTAGTATAACATGTTGCCACCTAGCTGTAGTTACAATAATTAAAACTCAAGATTATGACTCAGACACAACATTTCTCAGCAAATCATTGTGGACTATTAAAGTTCATCTTCAATCATAAACATATTAGTATTATGCAATATTCATCTAGTCCATCCCTAATGCAACAGCAACCACTCCTAAACTTACTGAAATTCAGTGAGACTCAGAAAAGAAATGTCAATAATGATGGTACAGAATGTTTACATAAATAAAATCTACAAAGTCTTTTGCAACAAGTATATCTGCCAACTCTACTGAGAGAGGAAAAAAGGATATTACCATAGAGCAAATGTTATTTGAAGTTAAACTACTCAGCTAAACTCTATGTTCAGCTAGACTGTATACCTCAGAACATTCATTTATGTATCACTGCATTTAACATGTTCATTGGCTACTGCACACAATGCTTCAAACATTCTTACCCATAAAATTTTTTAGAAGGACTAAGTTTAAGTTAAAGTAATTTTTATTTTCATTGGTTTATTCAAGGGAAAAAAATTATTAGCAAAGACTAGTTAAAATCACATTGAGGAACAGGAATCCTTTTTATAAACTTTGATTATATTAACATGTTTTCCTAAAATTTTATTTCCTATAGTCTCAATATATGTATTATTTAGAAATTGGTCTAATACACATAATTATAGAAACGGAACAGATATTAAGTGGCTTAAAAGTATCCCCTACCACAATGACTTTTCTTTTTTAAGGATTAAGATTGTTACAAGCCTTTAGCTATACCATAAAAATTATTTAATCTCTCAAAATAGTTACTTTTCAGAATTTCTGTGACTCTCATATCCCTAAATAAGCAGGGGTCAAAGAAAGAAACTGATATTTATGCCCATGTTTTAAAAACAGAATCATGATCGACCTCATGAGTAAAGATTTAATAAATATTGACAAACTGTCATTTAGTAACTAATGGTATCTAACCCAACACCCTAAAAAGAAAATGTGACAATAAAAATCGCAACTTATAACACAACTCACAAAAATTAGTCTTCGAAATACCTAAAGATGCATACCTCTGTGTCCAGGAATTGATATAAGTAAATATTTTGAGAGTATGTTCCTTTCTGAGCTGCAGTCCATCACCACCTTCTACATCTGATACTGAAATAAAAAAGAAATTTTAAAATTATGAATAATGCTAAACCAGTATTAAAGCCAACAGTTCAAAATAAAGCCAAGAGCTACAAATGCAAACATTTCAGATAATCATTCTTTTGCTTCCAAAGAAAATAAGTCTACTTTTAATTAATAACTCATATGGACTTAAGAACAGATTTTTGACAGATGTAAGGGGTGGGGGGGGCAGTGAGACTTTGCCACTTATTCTGGGATTATCTCTCATCTCCAAAACCAGCCTTCCGTTGTGATGCTGAGGCTGGGACCATGCAATCTACATTTTTCATTTCCAGCTGTCTTCCTGTTAAGATCTTGTTCTCCAGTGCCTATAGGGTACTAGAAGAAGAAGGCAGGAGGAGAGACCAAAGACTTGTCAGCTTGCTATATCTGAAAGCAGCAGCACTGATTCCAGCCTCCAGCTTAGTATTCCAAGAACCAGTCTCATGGTACTCCTCTCAGAGGTATCAGCAGTAGCCACAGAGCATACCTTCCTTGAAGTCACAGCTTCCTTCACACGGCGTTCCTCTTTTGATATGAGGAAGCTTGAGAACATTCAGTTCTCATTAAAAGACCATTTCCCAAAATAATAAAAATTGAACATAACCATTCTTATAATTCCATCATTTTAATGGCTTTTACCTTCTTTGGCTGGTCCACACAGCTTTACAAAGTAGAAAACATAAGGGTCTTTGAAGCCACTAAACCAATTATTATGTATGTACAAGAAAGCATTTTTGAGGCTTATCAGCTTTCTTACTGTTTCTTTATATATTGCTAGTGTCTTCTCTTTAATCCCAAGAAATCTTGCCTGGATCACTGTATCACATTAACGTGAGGAGGGGAAATCCCCTATGAAGCAGTAATATGTCCTACTATACCAGTAAGTTTCCTGTACCAAATATATATGAGGTTAGTTTACATTTAAAACACACACACACACACACACACACGCGCGCGCGCGCACCTTCTACTTAATCAGACTACATACACAATGTTGAGACTTACAGCACACTTCCTCAACTCAGCTCCAGAAATGCTGGTAAGCTGAACTAGGAGGTTGGAAGATTCCTCTCTGGTAATACTGATTAACCAAAAAGGGGTTTAAAAAAAAATTACCTTGGTCAAGGAGAAAAGGAAACGGCGTAAGGCCAAAATACATGTAAAACAGTCACAAGGTAGTAACACCTACACCCAAGACCAGGCTTTTGGGACCTAGATCACATCTGAGGCCCTGGAAGCCGAAGACACTACTGACCATCAGGGAGAAGACCTGGGCAACAAAGCTTAGCAACTAGGACAGAATAAGATATAGTTGGGGCCTAAGATGAAGCAACCACTAAAAACAACCTCTTGCATTGTATGATTTCAACAAGGTGAAGAAGGGATCACAGTACGCCATGCCAGTTTTCCTTCCCCAGCCATAACAGTGCCTAAAAACAGAGGGAAGAGTGGCTACAACCATCATATCCTACTCTAACAAAAAACACACACGGCACACATTCTGAAAAAAAGTTTGTGTGGCCAGAAAACCATCCTCACCAGAGGCCCGCCTGACAGCCTAGCTGCTAACCAACAAAAACTTTCCAACTCATTCCATCCAACCCAGAACCAGAAAGGCAAGTGAAGGACATTTCATCAGAGTAGAGTTCTCCAAACACACAGCTATCATCATACTCAAAGGTGAAAGCCCAAAAGCTTTTCCTCTAAGATTAGGACCAAGATAAGGTGGTCACTTTCACAATTTCTATTCAACACAGTATTAGAAATTCTAGTCAGAGCAATTCAATGAGGAAGAAAATGGAAAGAAATCAAGTCACTTCTGTCCACAGATAACATGAACCAACAGAAAACCCTAAGGATTACACAAGAAGAACTGTTAGAACTAACAGCCGGTAATCCCAGCACTTTGGAAGGCCAAGGCGGGCAGATCACTTGAGCTTAGGAGGTCAAGACCAGCCTGAGCAGCATAGTGAAACCCCATCTCTACGAAAAATATAAACAATTAGCCAGGCATGGTGGTGCACACCTCTGGTCCCAGCTACTGAGGAGGCTGAGGTGGAAGGATCACTCGAACCTGGAAGGTTAAGGCTGAAGTGAGCCGAAAAAAATCAGTGGCTTCCATTAAACTGCAGTTTGCATTTCAGCATTCCAACCTGGGTAACAGAGTGAGACCCCCTCTCAAAAACAAACAAACAAAAAATAAGTGAATTCAACAAAGTTACAGGATACAAATTCAAAACACAAAAATCAGATATACTTTTGTCTTTTTAAATTTTTGGTTTTTTGAGACAGTCTCACTCTTTTGCCCAGGCTGGAGTGCAGTGGCACAATCTTGGCTCACTGCAACCTCTGCCTCCCAGGTTCAAGCGATTCTCCTGCCTCAGCCTCCTGAGTAGCTGGGATTACAGGTGCCCACCATCACGCCTGGCTAGTTTTTGTATTTTGTAGAGAGGGAGTTTCACCATGATGGCCAGGCTGCTCTCGAACTCCTGATCATAAGTGATATGCCCGCCTCAGCCTCCCAAAGTGCTGGGATTACAGGTCAGATGCATTTCTAATACACTAACAATGAACAATTTAAAAAGGAAATATTAAAAAAAATCCATTTGCATCAGCATCAAAAAGAAAAATGAAACAAGGAGGAAAAGACTTGTTAACAATGAAAACTACAAAATGTTGCTAAAAGGAATTAAAGAAGATGTAAATAAATGGGAAGAAATCCCACATTCACTGGTTGGAAGACATTATATTGTTAAATATCGACACCACCCAAATTGATTTATGAATTAAAAGCAATCACTATCAAAATCCCCAGTGAGGCCCAACAGCTCACACCTCCGATCCTAGTGCTTTGGTAGGTTGAGGCAGGAAGACTGCTTGAGGCCAGGAATTCAAGACCAGCCTGGGCAACACAGCAAGGTACCATCTCTAAAAATATGTATATTTTTAAAAATTAGCCAGGCACGGTGGCACATGCCTATAGTTCTAGCTACTCAGGACACTAAGGATAACGTGGGAGAATGGCTTGAGTCCAGAAGTTCAACGCTATAGTGAGATATGATCATGCCACTGACTCCAGCATGAGTAACAGGGCAAGATCCTGTCTCTTAAAAAACAAACAACAAAATAAATAAAATAAATGTTCACAAGTTATGTGGAACTGGAACCATTGTGTACTCTTGCTGGGAATATAAAATGTTACAGCTGCTGTGGAAAACAGTATGACAGTTCCTTGAAAAATCAGAAACACAATTACCATATGATCCAGCAATCCCACTCGTGAGCATATATACTGAAATGAATTGAAAGCACCATCTCCAAGAGATCTTTGCTCTCTTGGACCTCTACTATACGGTGTATAAATATCCCATTGCTCCTAGGCTACAAACCTGTATGGCATGTAACTGTACTGAATACTCTAGGCAACCATAATACAATGTAAGTATTTGCATATCTAAACATATTTAAGTATAGAAAAGGTACAGTAAAAATTATAACCTTACGACCACTGTCCTACACTAGGTCCATCATTGACCAAAACATCGTTACTCGGTGCATGACTGTACTTGTACAATTCAACTGGTATGAGGTATTTAAAGTAGCCAAATTCACAGAAACAAAGGAGAAGGGTGGTTGCCCAGAAATGCGTTTCAGTTTTGTCACATGAAAAAGTTGTAGAGATTTGTTGCACGAGAATGTTAACATTTCTAACACTACTCAACTATATACATAAAAAATGATCAAGAAAAGAAATGTTTCGCTCATGTCTGTAATCCCAACACTTTGCGAGGCCAAGGCAAGAGGATCACTTGAGCCCAAGAGTTCAACACCAGCCCAGGCAACATGGCGAGACCCCCTCTCTATTTAAGAAAAAAAGACCAACAGTAAATTTTATGTTCTATATTTTTTTTTACCACAATTAAAAATTTTTGCAATTATTTTTTAAAGGAGTTCAGGAAATCCAAACTGTAGTTTAATGGAAGCCACTGAATTTTTTTTGAGAGGGAGTCTCACTCTGTCCGCCAGGGTAGAGTGCAATGGTGCAATATCGGCTCACTGCAACCTCCGCCTCCCAGGTTCAAGTGATTCTCCTGCTGAGTAGCTGGAATTACAGGCATGTACCACCACGCCCGGCTAATTTTTGTATTTTTAGTAGAGACAGGGTTTCACCACGTTGGCCAGGCTGGTCTCAAACTCCTGACCTCATGATCCACCTGCCTTGGCCTCCTGGGATTACAGGTGTGGCCCACTGCGCCCAGCTGCCACTGATTTTTTAGACTGAAAACAGGTGGGAGGCAGAGCAAGCATAGAAGGCTCCACTGATCATGCCCATGCCCCCGCCAACAAGGATACCAAATTAAGATCTACATAGAAAAAACACCTTCATAAAAAACAAAAATCAGGTGAGTACTCATAGTACCTGGTTTTAACTGAAACACCTTCATAAAAAACAAAAATCAGGTGAGTACTCATAGTACCTGGTTTTAACTGCGTATCACTGAAGGGAGAAACAACAGTCCTCAATTAGCAACTACGCACACTTCCTGTTCCCCCAGCCAGCAGCAAAAGGCCTGGTGCCTAGAGCCTCTCGGTGCTGAGGGAGGGACAACACAGCAACTGCAAGCCACTGAACTCAGTGCTGTCCTGTGAGAGCAGAAAAGAAAACCAGATCAAACCCAGGTGACTCCCACCCAGGGAGGGAGCATTTAAACCAGCCCTAAAGCGGAGGGCAACTGCCGATCCCAGGAGTCCCAACTTGAGTTCCCACCAGCCTCACCATGGAGGGCTACAGCACTCCATGTTTCCAAGTAAACTTTTTGGCAGTCTGAGCCGTAAGGACTACAACTCTTAACCGATTCTTAGTAATGAATGAACTGGGCACCAAGACAGTAGAGGTGGTGGGAAGGGGGACAGGAAGCAGGGAATGAGACATACTGAGACACCAGGCGGGGCAGCCAATGGAGTGCTGGCATCACCCCTTCCCCTCGACAGGCTGCACAGCTCAGGGCTCCAAGAAAGATGCCTTCCTTCTGTTTGAGGAGAGAAGGAAGAGTGGGGGGGACTCTCTTGCATCTTGGATACCAGCTCAGCCACAGCAAGACAGGGCACCGCTCAGAGTCATGAGGTCCCCTGTTCAGGGCCCTAACTCCCAGACATTTCTACACACACCCTGGGCCAGAAGACAGGAGCTGACAGCATTCATCACCTAACTGAGGAGCCCTTGGGCCCTGAATAACCAGTAGCGATATCCAAGTACTACATTGAGGGCCTCAGTTGAGCCTCTGAGACTTGCTGGCTTCAGTGAGATTCAGCACATTACCAGCTGTGGTGGCTATGGGGCAAAACTCCTACTTGAGAAAAGCTGAGGGAAAGAGTAAAGAGAACTTTGTCTTACAGCTTAGGTACCAGCACAAACACAGCAGGGTAGAGCACCAGTTGATTCTTGGGTGTCCCTAATTCTAAGACCTGACTCTTAAATGGCATTTCTGGACCTGCCCTGGGCCACAGGGGAGCCCACTGCCCTGAAGGGTGAGTCCCAGGTAACAGAGCGTTCATGACAAGCTGACTTCAGAGACACTGGGCCTTAGAGAAACATCGGTGAGTCTGGCAGTACCCCTTGTGGCCTGGGGGTGGCGGTGGCTACGAGGTGAGGTGGAAATGGGAAAAAGAGTGAGAAGTACCAGTCCTGTGGTTTGAATGCCAGCTCAGCCACAATACAAAAAGTATTGCTCTAGTATCTTAACTCCCAGACAACACTTCTGGACCCACCTGGGGTCTAGAGATCTTGCTGCCCTGAAGGAAGGATGCAGGTCTGGCTGGCTTTGCCAACTGCTGATTGCACAGCACCAGGGCCTTCAGCAAACATGGGAGGTAGCCAGAGTGCAGTTACAGCAGGCCTTGGGTGAGACCCAGCATAGTCCTAATTTCAAGACTGACCCAGCACAGTCATGGTGGCCACAGGGGTGCTTGTGTCACTCACTCCAACCCCAGCTTTAGGTGGCTCAGGACAGCGAGACCGTGTGTTTGGGAGAAAGTAAGGAAAGAGAACAAGAGTCTCCACCTGGTAATCCACAAATTATCCAGATCTTGTCCAAATCCATCAAGGTGGTACCTGTATGAGTCTGCAAGAACCACAGAATTACTGGGCTTGGGGTACCCCTAAAGCAGATACAGCTTAGATCACAATACCCAAGTTTTTTTCTTTTTGACATGGAGTTGCCCAGGCTGGAGTGCAGTGGCACGATCTCGGCTTACTGCAAGCTCTGCCTCCCAGGTTCACACCATTCTCCTGCCTCAGCCTCCCGAGTAGCTGGGACTACAGGTGCCCGCCACCACGCCCGGCTAATTTTTTTGTATTTTTAGTAGAGACAGGGTTTCACCATGTTAGCCAGGATAGTCTCGATCTCCTGACCTCGTGATCCACCCGCCTTGGCCTCCCAAAGTGCTGGGATTACAGGCATGAGCCACCGTGCCCGGCCCCAAGTTCTTTCAAATATCTAGAAAGCCTTCCCAAGAAGGACAGCTTCAAATAAGGCCAGACAGTGAAGACTACAATAAATACCTAACTCTTCAATGCCACTCAAGAACATCTACTAGCATCAACGCCATCCAGGAAAACATGACCTCACCAAATGAACTAAATAAGGCATCAGGGACCAATCCTGGAGAAACAGAGATATGTGACCTTTCAGATAAGGAATTCAAAATAGCCGTGTTGAGGAAACTCAAAGAAATTCAAGATAACACAGAAGGAATACAGAATTCTATCAGATAACTTTAACAAAGATTAAAACATGTAAGAAGACTCCAGCAGAAATTCTGGAGCTGAAAAACGCAATTGGCATACTAAAGAATGTATTAGTCTTTTGCAGCAGAATTGATGGCAGAGAAGTAAGAATTAGTGAGTTCAAACACAGACTATTTGAAAACACCCAAGTCAGGAGAAAAAAGAAAACGGAATTTCTAAAAATGAAGCATGCCTACGGGATCTAGAAAATAGCCTCAAAAGGGCAAATCTAAAGAGTTTTTGGTGGCCAGGCACAGTGGCTCACACCTGTAATCCCAGCACTTTGGATGGCTGAGGGAGGCAGATCACCTGAAGTCAGGAGTTTGAGACCAGCCTGGCCAACATGGTGAAACCCCGTCTCTACTAAAAACACAAAAAAACTAGCCGGGCATGGTGGCGTGTGCCTGTAGTCCCAGCTACTTGGGAGGCTGAGGCAGAAGAATCGCTTGAACCCGGGAGGCAGGGGTTGCAGTGAACCAAGATTGCGCCACTGCCCTCCAGCCTGAGCAACAAGAGCAAAACTCCGTCACAAAAAAAAAAAAAAAACTTCCAAATCTTAAACAAAGGCAAAAATGTTATTTCTGAGTATGAGTTTCTAATGATTCTCAAAAAAAAAAAAAAAAAGTGATCACCTTTGCAAATGTTAAATCAGTCATTGAAAACTGGTTAACAAAGGGAGAAATCAGCCATTCATCCTGACTTTCACGTAGAAATAGCAAATAAAAGTAATGAAACAGGTAATAAAAGCAAGTTTCTCCTGATACAGATAGTCCACCTAATCAAAGAAAAAAGTGACAGGATTAGTTTTGTAGCTGTTAATGTAATAAAAGCCTTAGGCAATGGCTGCTTGCTAACTATGACATTAAGTGGCACTCCAACCAACCCCATGGAAGAACACAACACAACCTATAAAACAGTCTTGCCAAGAAATTTAACCTGAATCTGATCAAGCCTCTAGATCTAGCAATAAAAGTATGGAAATACAAAAGACAAAGCATAATAATTACACAAGGATAAAATCTGCAAAATCCAGATGGGAAATCGTATGCACTAAGCAAGCCACGGAACGAGCAGTTTCTGCAACAAATAAAAAGAAAGAGGGGAACCTAGAAATTACAACAGACTTAGGAAAAAAATTAGCTATGCCGATTCAGAGGTAACTCCTAGGAAGTGAGGTTTGAAAATAAAGAGAGAAAAGAATTATGTATTGAAACAGTAACAATAACCAACAGAGATATCAATGGCTACAAACTACAGGGCAGCCAGAATTCACAGAATTAGTCCACACAGGTAGCCAACAAACAAAACACAAAGAGCAAAACAAAATAATAACTTTACTCACACTAGAAACAAACCAAATTTCCATTAGAGTGGATTGAGTTTAAAAATAAAAAAAATAAAATAAATAAAAAGGATGCGCTTTGGGAAGAAAAGGAGGGAGGATTGCTTAAGGCTAGGAGTTCTAGACCAGCCTGGGCAACAGTACAAGACACTATCTCTACTAAACAAATTTTAAAATTAGCTAGGTTTGGCCAGGCACAGTGGCTCACGCCTGTAATCCCAGCACTTTGGGAGGCCGAGGCAGGCGGATCACGAGGTCAGGAGATCGAGACCATCCTGGCTAACAAGGTGAAACCCCGTCTCTACTAAAAATACAAAAATTAAGCCAGGCATGGTGGTGGGCACCTGTAGTCCCAGCTACTTGGGAGGCTGAGGCAGGAGAATGGCA
The DNA here is from genome assembly GCF_000001405.40 of Homo sapiens. NCBI lineage: Eukaryota > Metazoa > Chordata > Mammalia > Primates > Hominidae > Homo > Homo sapiens. The sequence goes on from NC_000002.12 coordinate 61,429,365, forward strand.
TGAACCCAGGAGGCAGACCTTGCAGTGAGCCAAGATTGCACCACTGCACTCCAGCCTGGGCAACAGAGCGAGACTCCGTCTCAAAAAATAAAATAAGATAAAATAAAATAAAATTAGCTGGGTGTGGTAGCATGCACCTGTAGTCCTAGCTACCCAGGAGGCTGAGGTGAATGAGTTGCTTAAGCACAGGCAGTCGAGGTTGCAGTGAGCTATAATGGCACCACATGACAGGTAACAGGGCAAGACTACCTCAAAAAAAAAAAGTTATCATATATATGCCAACATACGGAATTCTATTCAGCAATAAAAAGAAACCGACTACTGATGCACCAACAAGCAACATGGATGACTTCTAACCGTATGCTAAGTAAAAAGAATACCAACCAGATGTAAGTAGTACATAAAGTTTATTTCTAGCTGGACACAGTGGCTCCTGCCTATAATCCCAGCACTTTGGGAGGCCGAGGCGGGCAGATCACCTGAGGTCAGGAGTTCGAGACCAGTCTGGCCAACATGGTGACACCCTGTCTCCACTAAAATTTTGTATTTGTAAAAGTACAAAAATTAGGCTGGGCGCGGTGGCTCACGCCTGTAATCCCAGCACTTTGGGAGGCCGAGGCGGGTGGATCACGAGGTCAGGAGATCGAGACCATCCTGGCTAACACGGTGAAACCCCCCGTCTCTACTAAAAATACAAAAAATTAGCCGCGCGTGGTGGTGGGCACCTGTAGTCCCAGCTACTCGAGAGGCTGAGGCAGGAGAATGGCGTGGACCCGAGAGGCGGAACTTTCAGTGAGCCAAGATCGTGCCACTGCACTCCCGCCTGGGCGACAGAGCGAGTCTTCGTCACAAAAAAAAAAAAAAAAGAAAAGAAAAAAAAAATACAAAAATTAGCCAGGCGTGCTGGCACATGCCCATAATCCCAGCTACTCAGTAGGCTGAGGCAGGAGAATCACTTGAACCCAGGAGGCAGAGGTTGCAATGAGCCAGGATCGTGCCATTGCACTCCGGCCTGGGTGGCAGAGCAAGACTGTCTCAAAAAATAATAATAATAAAATACATTTAAAAATAAAGCTTAGGTGACAAAGCACATCAGCAGTTACGACAATGCAGAGTTGGTGGTGGGGCTGATTACAAACAGGAATGAGGAATAACTGGGTGATGGAAATGTTCAATTGTGGTTCTTATATGAGTGTATACATTTGTCAAAATGAATAAACACATACCCTTACAATAGACTAACCTTATTGTATGTAAATTATATAACAATTTAGTTAATTTTTAAAATCAGCAATTCTAATAGGTCTCATGTGAATCTTGATTCAAATTGTGAAGGAAAAGGTAGAATTTTTTAAAACTGAGAATATAAGGGAAATTGAATGCTATTTCGTATTAAGAAATTACTCTTGGGAGACCGAGGCAAGAGATCCCTTGAGGCCAGGAGTTCAAGACCACCCTGGGCAACCCCTTCGCTACAAAAAATAAAATAATTAACTGGGCATGGTAGTGCAAGCCTGTAATCTCAGCTACTTGGGAGGCTGAGAAGAGAGGATCACTTGAGCCTGGGAGTTTGAGGCTCATAGTGAGCTATGATCGTGCGCCCCTGCACTGAAGCCTGGGCAACAAGACCCCTATTCTTTAAAAAAAGAAAAATAGAAAAGAAATGAAACGAAATGAAATGAAACGAAAACTAAAGAAATTTACACAACTAGACACTGGAAAGGTTAGAGAAGAGGAATGTAGGGAGAGATTGGTTAATGAACAGAGAATTATACCTAGCCAGGAGGAATACATTCTAGTGTTTTATAGTACTGCAGGATGACTATTTTTTTGTTTTTGTTGTTCTTTGGAGCTTTATCAGGTTTTTGTTTGTTTAGAGAAGAGATTTAGCTCTGTCACTCAGGCTGGAATGCAGTGGCACAATCACAGCTTACTGCAGCCTGGACCTCCTGGGCTCAAACAATCCACTTGCCTCAGCCTCCCAAGTAGCTGAGACTACAGGTGCATTTCACCACACTCAACTAATTATTAATTAAACTTTTTGTAGAGATGGAGTCTTGCTGTGTTGCCCACACTGGTCACTAACTCCTGGCCTCAAGTGATCCTTCTGCCTCAGCCACCCAAAGCACTGGGATTACAGACATGAGTCACTGATCCTGGCTTTAGGATTACTATAGTTAATAATCTGACATTTTAGCTAGCAGAGGCTGGCCGGGCGTGGTGGCTCACACCTGTAATCCCAGCACTCTGGGAGGCCAAGTGGGTGGAATACCTGAGGTTAGGAGTTCGAGACCAGCCTGGCCAATCTGGTGAAACCCCATCTCTACTAAAATTCAAAAACTTAGCCGGGCATGGTGTTAGGCGCCTGTAATCCCAGCTACTTGAGACCCGCGGCAGGAGAATCACTTGAACCCGGGAGGCGGAGGTTGCAGTGAGCTGAAATCGCACCACTGCATTCCAGCCTGGGCAACAAGAGCAAGACTCCATCTCAAAAAAATAAATAAATAAAAGATAAATAAATAGCAGAGAGGATTTTGAATGTTCCCAACACAAAGAATGATAAATGCTTGAGATAACAATAATTACCCCAATTTGATCATTACACATCATATAAAGGTATTGAAATAGCATGCTGTACCCTATAAATATGTATAAGAATTACGTATGAATTTAAAATAACAAAAAACAGACCATGGCCAGGGGTAGCAGCTCACGCCTGTAATCACAGCACTTTGGGAGGCCAAGGCAAGATTTGCTTGGGCCCAGGTGTTTGAGACCAGCCTGGGCAACTTAGACAGAACCCACCGTTTTTCAATTAAAAAAAAAAAATGGAATGTAGTGACATTTTCCTGTAATCCTAGCACTTTGAGTGGCCAAGGTGGGCAGATGGCTTGAATTCAGGCGTTCAAGACCAGCCTGGATAACATGGCAAAACCCCATCTCTACAAAAAAAAGACAAAAATTAGCTGGGCATAATATCCCGTACCTACAGTCTTAGCTACTCAGGAAGCTGAGGTGGGCAGACAGCTTGAGCCCCAGGAGGTCAAGGCTGCAGTGAACCAGGAGCATGCCACTGCACTCCAGCCTGGGTGACAGAGTGAGACCCTGTCTCATAAATACGTAAACAAACAAAGCTGGACACAGTGGTGTGTGTCTCTAGTTCCAACTATTCAGGAGGCTGAGGTGAGAGGACTGTTTGAGCTCAAGAGTTCTAGGCCAGCCTGGGCAACACAGCAAGACCCCATCTTTAAAATTTTTAAATGCTAAATGGTTATTTTAATATATTTAAATATATACAGATAATATATAACACCTGGATTTACTTCAAGCTAATCCAGTGGGTGGGAGAGAGACAATGGATAAGGTAAGGTGAAAAAAAAAACTACCCATGAGTTGGTAAATGTTGACTGGGTGATGGGTACATAAGTGTTCACTGCCCATAAACTTTCCCATTTCTGCACATGACTCTAGATATCTAAAACTTTCTACAATGACCAGAGAACCAAAAACCAAGACCACATACCACATAGCCAGAAACAAGGGTGAAAATAAGAGAACAATAAAACAGAAGATTAAGATATTAGTTACAATAGGTAATACATTCAAGATATTAGATAAGCTGAAGAATTCCAGCAAAGTTATGAAGAATATTAAAAAAAGAATCAGGGAGACTGACTAAAGACACCTAGCATTCATCCTACACACAAGAAAGGACAAAGGTTAACAAATAAACAGCTAAGATCTGACAGGTGTGTCAGAGAGACCATCTGAGTGCAGTTGGGGAATGGAGACACACCTGTTGGTGACAAAGTCCAGGAAGGCAGTATGGAAGCATCCAGCCTCTGCAGCCCCATCTCCCCTCACCCAGATGGGATTTGCCTGCAGTCAGCAGGGACTTCCTGATGCAGGGAAAAAGTAAGCAGAAGATCCCTCACCAGCACTCCCATTACCACCACAAACACCTACACTCCTTACAAGTGGCGAATCGGCCAGGTGCGGTGGCTCATGCCTGTAATCCCAGCACTTTGAGGAGCTGAGGCAGGCGGATCACTTGAGGTCATGAGTTCAAGACCACCCTGGCCAAGAAGGTGAAACCCCATCTCTACTAAAAATATAAAAATTAGCCGGGCGTGGTGGTGGGTGCCTGTAATCCCAACTACTGAGGAGGCTGAGGCAGGAGAATCACTTGAACCCAGGAGGCAGAGGTTGCAGTGAACCAAGATCGTGCCACTGCACTCCAGCCTGGGCAACAGAGTAAGACTCCATCTCAAAAACTATAAATAAAATAAAAAGGAGAATCCCACAGTCCTTGCAAGCCCTGAGCCCAATTTAGACAACTGCTGGAAATCCATACAGCTGCACTGCCCAAATTAGGAGCACAAGGAATGTGCTCCCCAACCCCCACCTACCCCCAGTGAAACAAGCTGTGGCAGTGCAACACCATCTTGAAACCAGAGCCACCTCTGGAGTGCACCCTCTGGGGGCCAGTAGCCACTGCACCTCTGCAGCACTTCAGCTCCATCTTCATTACACCAAGGCCACACAGGTGAATGAATGCCACAACTATAGCTGCAACTTTGGTCCCGCACAGCAGGGAAAACCAACTCCCACAACCAGACCACACTTCAAGCCAAAGGAACAGTCTGACAGTCCCATCCAGGACAAACCTGCCCATAAGCCAACCAAGCCACTATAAGCTCTCTCCAAAGTAGTGGAGGCCCGCAAGCCAAAGAGCATGTGATACACCCCAAGGTTAGTGAAGCAGCCATGCACCCTTACTCAGTGCCTAAGAAAAAGGCTCCTAGCACCTCTGCCCCATGTAGACATGCTTCTGGCCTCCCGAACAGCCCTGCGCCCCCAATAAGGGCCTCAGAAACATTACCACAGGTCGTCCCTGATGGGCATCCCCCCAGGCCAGCCAGGCAGCCAAGAGCCCACATCCCAGTCCTAAGAAACAGCCCAATGGGCAACACCTGACAGACACATCTAGGCTGGCTGAGCAGTTGTGCACCTGTGTCCTAGACCTGAGAAACCATGGGCCACTCCTGCCAGGCACAACACCAAGCCAATTGAGCAACCACATGCCTGTGCTCCTGGCCAGAGTAACAGTCCTGTGGCTTCAACCCCAGCAAGCCAGACCCCAAGTTGGCCAACTCACCATATGCATACATGTGTCCCTGACTTGAGAAACAGCCCAATGAGCCAACCCCCCTGGCAAAGCTGCACCACACACTTCCTCATCCTAGGCTGCTGAGAAACTCTCAAATGTCACTAGTACAGATTACAGATGAAGAAACTACATTACTGTGTCCACACAGAACCAAGGCCAACACACTCCACTGATCTAAGATCCACTTATATAAATTAAGTCTTTCCCTATAAAATTTACTCCATAAAATTGAAAGGGGGGGGGTTCCAACAATGTGTAGAAACAATGTAGAGAAATCAACAGAGAAAAAAGAAACATGACATCTTCAAAGGCAAACAGTATAATTCTCCTGTAATAGACCCCAATCATAAAGAAATATATAAAATGCCAGAAAAAGAACTCAAAATAACGATCTTAAGGAAACTCAGGAGGTACAAGGGAATACAGGTAAGAACTTTAATGAAATAAGGAAAATAATTCATGATTTTAATGAGAAATTCAACAAAGAGGCCAAGCACAGCACCTCACACCTATAATCTCAGCACTTTGGGAGGCCAAGGCAGGTGGATTGCTTAAGGCCAGGAATTCAAAACCAGCCTGGGCAACGTGGTGAGACCCCATCTCTACAAAAAAATATAAAAATTAGCTGGACATGGTGGTGAATGCTTATAGTCCCAGCTACTCAGAGGCTGAGGTGGGAGAATCACCTGAGTCCAGGAAGTCAAGGCTGCAATAAGCTTTAATTGCGCCACTGTATTCTATCTAGCCTGGGCAACAGAGTGAGACCTTGTTTCAAAAAAAAAAAAAAAAAAAAAAGAACTCTAAAAGCAGCAAAAGAAAAGCATCAAGTCACAAATAAAAGTATCTCCACCAGACTAACAGATTTCTCAGCAGAATCCTTACAGGCAAGGAGTGAATGGGATTAACAGAGTTAAAGTACTAAAAAAAAAACAAAAAAACAGCTTATCAAGATTATACCCAGCAAAGCTGTCCTGCAGAAACGCAGGAGAAATAAACCTTCACAAACAAAGAAAAACTGAGGAAATACTCATCAGTAGATTGCCTTATAAGAAATGCTCAAGAATTTCATATATGGAAGAGCAAGCAAGGAACAAAGGATATATAATGTAGTAACTAAAAAACAATCAATAAAATGGCAGGAGTAAGTCCTCACCTATCAATAATACCTTGAGCACAAATGATTTAAATTCCCCCATTTAAAAGTTATACACTGGCCATGCGCAGTGGCTCATGCCTGTAATCCCAGCACTTTGGGAGGCCACGACGGGCAGATCACTTGAGGTCAGGAGTTCGAGACCAGCCTGGCCAATATAGTAAAACCTCATCTCTACTAAAATACAAAAATGAGCCGGGCATGGTGGAGTGCGCCTGTAATCCCAGCTACTCAGGAGGCTTAGGCAGGAGAATCGCTTGAACCTGGGAGGCGGAGGCTGCAGTAAACCAAGATCACCCCATTGCACTCCAGCTTGGGTGACAAAGTGAGACACCATCTCAAAAAATATATATAAAAAATAGAAGTTATAGACTGAACAACAACAAAAAAATTCAACAATATGCTGTCAACAAGATACTAACTTCATCTTTAAAGTCACCCACAGAGCCTGGCCAACATGACAAAACCATGTCTGTACTAAAAATACAAAAAAATTGGCTGGGCACAGTGGCTCATGCTGTAATCTCAGCTACTTGGGAATTTGAGGCAAAAGAATCGCTTGAACCTGGGAGGAAGAGGTTGCAGTGAGTCAAGATTGTGCCAGCCTGTGCAACAGAGCACAACTCTGTCCCAACAAAATAAAGACACACATAGACTAAAAGTGAAAGGACGGGAAAAGACATTCCATGTAAACAGAAACCAAAAGTGAGCTGGGGTAGCTTTACATATATCAGACAAAACAGACTTCAAGCCAAAAGTTGTAAAAGGAGACAAAGAAGGACACTATATAATAAAGGCATCAATTCAGTAAGGGGATATAAGAATTGTAAATACACACGCAACCAACACCAGAGGACCCAGATATACAACATAATTAGATCTAACGGGAGAGACAGACCTCAACATAATAATAGTTGGGGACTTCAACAGCACTGGACAGATCATCTAGACAGAATATAACAAAGAAACATAGTTTTCAACTGCATCATAGACCAAATAAAACCAACAGCTATTTACAGAACATTTCACCTAATAGCAGCAGAATACACATTTTTATAGCAGCACATGAAACATTCTCCAGAATTGACCATATTTTAGGACATAAAACAAGTCTCAACCAAATTTTAAAATAACTGAAAAAATCATGTCAGCTATCTTCTCAGACCACAATGGAATAAAAATAGAAATCAATACAAGAGAAATGCTGGAAACTATACCAATACATGGAAATTAAACAACATGCTCCTGAATGACCACTGGGTCAATGAAGGTATTAAGATGGAAATAAAATAATGTCTTGAAACAAATGAAAATGCAAATACAACACGTCAAAGCCTGTGGGATACAGCAAAAGCGGTGCACTGCTAAGAGGGAAGTTTATAGTAATAAATGCCTATGCCAAGAAACTGGAAAGATTTCAAACAACCAATGATGCATCTCAAGGAACCAAAAAGAACAAAACCAAAATTAGACAACGAAGATCAATAAAGATCAGAGCTGAAATAAACAAAATTGAGACTAAAACAAATTACAGGAGATCAAAGATCAGAAAAAAGCTGGTCATTTGAAAAGATAAACAAAATCAACAAACCTTTAGCTAGACTAAGGAAAAAAGAGACAAGACCCAAATAAAAGAAATCAGAAACAAAAAAGGAGACATCATAACGGATACCACAGAAGTACAAAGGATCATTAGAGACTGCTGACCAACTACGCAGCAATAAATTTAAAAACCTAGAGGAAATGAACAAATTCCTGAACACATACAATCTACTAAGATTGAACCAATAAGAAATAAAAAACCTGCCAGGCACGGTGGCTCATGCCTGTAATCCCAGCACTTTGGCAGGCTGAGGTAGGCAGATCACGAGGTCAGGAGTTCAAGACCAGCCTGGCCAATATGGTGAAACCCCGTCTCTAATAAAAATACAAAAAATTAGCCAGGCATGGTGGCAGGCACCTGCAGTCCCAGCTAGTCGGGAGGCTGAGGCAGGAGAATGGCTTGAACACGGGAGGCGGAGCTTGCAGTGAGCCCAGATTGTACCACTGCACTCCAGCCTGGGCAACAGAGCGAGACTCCGTCTCAAAAATAAATAAATAAATAAATAAATAAATAAATAAATAAATAAAAAACCTGAACAGACCAAAAACAAGTAATGAGATTGAATCAGTAACAAAAAGTCTCCCAAGGAAAGTGCAGGACTGATGGGTTCACTGCTGAAATCTACCAAATATTTACAGAAGAATGAATACCAATTCTTCTCAAGGTATTCCAAAAAATTGAAGCAAAGTTAATTCTTCTGAACTCACTCTACAAGGCCAGTATAACCCTGATACCAAAACCAGAAAAGGAAAAACAAACAAAAAAGAAAACTACATGCCAGTGTCCTTGATAAACATAGACACAAAAATTCTGAACAGAATTCTGGCAAACCAAATCCAACAACACATCAAAATGTAATAACCATGATGAACTGGGATTCAACCCAGGAATACAAGGATAATTTAACATACGCAAATCAATGGATGTCATACATCTTAGCAATAGAATGAAGGACAAAAACCATAGGATCATCTCAATAGAATCGGAAAAAGCATTTGATAAAATTCAACATCCATTCGTGATTAAAAAAAAAACTCTAGGCCAGGCGTGGTGGCTCAACGCCTGTAATCCCAGCACTTTGGGAGGCCAAGGCAGGCGGATCACTTGAGGTCAGGAGTTCGAGACCAGCCTGGCCAACATGGTGAAACCCCGTTTCTACCAAAACTACAAAAATTAGCCACAAGCTGTAATCCTAGCTACTCGGGAGGCTGAGGCAGGAGAACTGCTTGAACCTGGGAGGCAGAGGTTGCAGTGAACCAAGATCACGCCACTGCACTCCAGCCTGGGCGACAAGAGTGAGACTCCATCTCAAAAACAAAACAAAAACAAAAACAAAAAAAAAACACTCTCAATAAATTAGGTATAAAAGGAAAGTACACCAACATAATAAAGGCCATATATGACAAACCCACAGCTATCATCTTACTCAACAAGAGAAAGATAAAAGCTTTTCCTCCAGTAACTGTACCTGGACAAGGATCTCACTCTCACTGCTCTTACCCAACATACTACTGCAAGTCCTAGCCAGAACAAGACAAAGTAGTTCTGGGCATCCAAATTGGAAATGAAGAAGTCAAACTGTCCCTGTGTTTGCAGCTGCAGATGACATGACCTTATATATAGTAAAACCTATGCTCCACTAAAAACACACACCTCAGAGCTAAAAAATTCAGTAAAGTTGCAGGATACAAAATCACTATTTAAAAAAAATCAGTGATGTTTCCATATACAAACAATACACTACCTGAAAAGAAATCAAGAAGGCAATTTCATTTACAATAGCTAGGAAAAAAGTCTAACAGGAATAAATTTAACAAAGGAAGTGAAAGACCTAAAAACAGCTGGGCATGGTGGCTCACGCCTGTAATCCCAACACTTTGGGAGGCTGAGTTGGGACGATTACTTGAGCTCAGCAGTTCGAAACCAGCCTGGGTAACAGGGCAAAACCGTGTCTCTACAAAAAATTAGCCAGGTTATGTGCCCCCTCCTCCTGCTGTGCCTCAGCTGTGTAGAGCCACTTGACCCTCATGCCCTGTGCTGGCAAGAACACTCAGGTATGTGCACAGCTCTGATGTCACCCCTCCAGCCTGGCCCTGGCTCCCTCCACGAGGATCTGCTTGCAGCACTCACACTTGGCACCATTCTGTCCGGCCATCCTGTCTCCCCTGCTGTATGTGAGCACTGGGAGGGAAGGGGCCGTTTCCATTTCTTGGAAGGCCCAGTGCCCAGCACCATCCAGCTGTGTGCTGAGCAGGCAGTCAGTGAGCACCCACAGTCAGCCCTCACCACAAGCAGCTGTGGGTACTCAGGTTAGGATATCTGACGGGGACTCCTGTGTGCTCCAAGAAGGCAGCATGGCAGCCCCCGTGGAGCACAAGTGGCCCACACCTGACCTTGGCATGTTTCTAAGAGAACAGACTTGCTGACCTGTGACCCTTGCCTGTGTCTCACCGCAGGGAGGCAGGAGGCTGTGGGCAAAGGGTGGGCCTGGAGACCTGCTCAGCCATACCCTGTCACTATGTGGGTCACACACAGCTGGGTGGAGACCTCATGATGTGTGGCCCAGAGAGGTGTCTGGGTGTGGATTCTGTGGATGGCTGCACTGTGCCATTAGGACAGGGACTGCTGCTGGGCCAACAGGGTACAGGGAGCGGAGGATGTGGGAGGACAGGGGCATCCTAGCCTAGTGCAGGGACCACAGGAGGGGCAGTGTGAGCTCCCCAAGACAAGCTGCAAGGCCCTGGGCATCAGGCTGTTGCTTTGCAACCTTCTCCTCCCCGGTTCTGAGGGCTCACTGAGGCACCTGCCTGAGTGCTACACAGAAAGCCAGCAGCATGGCCGTCCCTCCCGAGCACTCATCTAGGGCATCAGGGTGGGCTGCTTGAGTCCTGTGGGGTTGCGGACATCAGCCTCTTCCTCCTGGCCTCCAAACACCACCACTCTGCCATCCCACACCTCAATTTCTCAAATTCCCTGAGGTCAAAGGGAAGTTGCAAGGGCTGCCATCCCTGCCTCCCTGGTGGTCCTGCTGGAGGATGTGCCCAGACAGGACATCAGGAGGAAGCAGGTCAATGGCTGCTGTATGAAATGTCATGGCAGCTGTGCCCAGCTGCAAACAGTGATTGCGGCTTCCTGTTCCTCCATGGAAGGAACTTGCTCTGCTGCAGAGGGAATTTCTCTTCATGCCTTTTCCCCTCCATTCTTCTTGAAAAAGTTGCCCTTTTTAAATTTTTTTTTTTTTTTTGAGATGGAGTTTTGCTCTTCTCGTCCAGGCTGGAATGCAGTGGCACAATCTCCGCTCACTGCAACCTCCTCCTCCTGGGTTCAAGCCATTCTCCTGCCTCAGCCTACCAAGTAGCTGGGATTAAAGGCGCCCACCACCATACCCGGCTACTTTTTGTATTTTTAGTAGAGATGGGGTTTCGCCATGTTGGCCAGGCTGGTCTCAAACTCCTGACCTCAGGCAATCCGCCTGCCTTGGCCTCCCAAAGTGCTGGGATTACAGGCGTAAGGCACCACACCCGGCCTACTTTTTTAATTTAAAAAAAAAAAAAATTTCGGGTGCAGTGGCTCACGCCTGTAATCTCAGCACTATGGGAGGCCGAGACGGGTGGATCATGAGGTCAGGAGATCGAGACCATCCTGGCTAACACGGTGAAACCCCGTCTCTACTAAAAATACAAAAAAATTAGCTGGGCGTGATGGCAGGTGCCTGTAGTCCCAGCTACTCGGGAGGCTGAGGCAGGAGAATGGCATGAAACTGGGAGGCGGAGCTTGCAGTGAGCTGAGATCGCGCCACTGCACTCCAGCCTGGACAACTGAGTGAGAGCCGCCTCAAAAAAAAAAAAAAATTTTTTTTTTTTTTTGGACTCAGAGTCTTGCTCTGTGGCCCAGGCTAGAGTGTACTTGCGATCATAGCTCACTGTAGCCTCAAACTCCTAGGCTCAAGTGATCCTCCTGCCTCGGCCTCCCAAAGCACTGGGACCACACATGGGTCCCACCACACCCAGGCTCTGCCCTTTGGAATTAAAGTCACCCAGGCAGGTTAAACCTCTTATACTTTCTGCGCCCCACCTCCCAGCCCCTGTAATGAGAAAGGCAGTAAATTTTGGAGCTTTATGGAGTCCCTGCCCTTCCTGAAAAGGTGGCTGCAGAGAGACTAGAGCTGGTTGGGGGAAGAGATGTCAGGAGGCCTCCTCTGGAGCCCAGGGCCACACAGCTCCCAAAGCCCCAGTCTCCCTCTCTGGGGCTAGAGGTGCCCCTGTGTCCCTGTAACTTCTGCTCGGCCACTCGGCTGCCCAGCCTAGGGCTGCTCCTGCCACCACTCAACAGGCACAGAAATGCGTAAGTGCCAAAAAAAAAAATTAACCAGGCATCTTGATGCATGCCTGTAGTCCCAGATACTTGAGAGGGTGAGGTGGGAGAATCAACTGTGCTCAGGTCAAGGCTGCAGTGAGCTGTGATGGTACCACTGAACTACAGCCTGGGCAACAGAGAGAGAGACTGCATTACAAAAAAAAAAAAAGAAAAAAGAAAAGAAAAGAAAAAAAAAAAAGGAAGAAAAAAGAAAAGACCTAAAAATATATATTGAAAGCTGTAGTAACCAAAACAGCATGGTACTGACATAAGAACAGATACATAAACCAACGGAACAGAACAGAGTGCCCAGAAGTTAATACACGTATCTACAGTCAACTGATTTTTGACAAAGGTGCCAAGAATGTTCACTGGGGAAAGGACAGTCTCTCCAATGAATGGTGCTAGGAAAACTGGACATCCATAGGCACAACAATGAAACTATACCCTCACTCCTCTACATAAACAATCAACTCAAAATGGCTCAAAGAACTAACAAAACTATAAGACTACTAGAACAAAACAGGGGAAATGCTTCAGGACATCGGTCTGGGAAAAGATTTTATGAATAAAGACTTCAAAAGCACAGGCAACAAACAACAAATGGAATTATGTCAAACTACAAAACTTCTGTATAGCAAAGGCAAAAATCAACAGAGTAAAAAAAGACAACCTACAGAATGAGACAAACTATACGCAAATTACTCATCTGAGGGGATTAACATCAAGAATTTACAAGGAACTCAAACATCTTAACAGCAAAAAAAAAAAAAAAGAAAAAATCCAATTAAAAATGCACACACAATGTGAATAGACATTTCTCAAAGATTATATACAAATGGCCAACAAATATGTGAAAAAAATGTTCAACATCACTAACCATCAGGAAAATGCAAATCAAAACCACAATGAAGTATCTTACCCCAGTTAGGATAGCTATTATCAAAAACACAAAAAATAACAAATGCTGGCAAGGATGCACAGAAAAGGGAACTCTTATACAGTGTTAGTGGGAACGTAAACTAGCACAGCCACTATAGAGAACAGTATCAAAGCTCCTCAAAAAACTACAAACACGACTACCATATAATCCAGCAATCCCACTGCTAGGCATTTATCCAAAGGAAAGGAAAACACTGTATCAGAGACGTCTGCATTCCCACGATTACAGCACTATTCACAGTAGCCAAGATACAAAATCAACCTACGTGTTCAACGATAGATGAATGGATAAACAAAATGTGATGTGTGTACACACACACACACACACACACACACACACACACACAGAGGAATATTATACATCCATTAAAAATAATGAAATCCTGTCATTTGCAGCAACATACATGGAACTGGAGGACATTATCTTATGTGAAATAAGCCAGGAGCAGAAAGTTAAACACCATAAGTTCTTACTCATGTGGAAGCTAAAAAAAGGTTCATCTCATGTAAGTAAAAAGTAGAACAGAGGATACAAGAAGGTGGAAAGGACAGGGGAAAGGGAAGAATAGGGAGAGATTTGTGAAAGGATAAAAATTACAGCTAGATAGGAGGAATAAGTTCCAGTGTTCTACATAACTGTGAAATGACTACAGTTAACAATAATACATTATATAGATTCAAATAGCTACAAAGAGGCCACAGAAGGTTCCCAATGCAAAAAAGGGATAAATGTTTGAGATGAATACACTAATTACCCTGATCTGATCACTATATATGTATCAACACATCACTATATGATGAAATTTTGCATAAAAAAATCACTACATATCCCATAAACACGTACAATTATTACGTCAATTAAAATAAATTTTTTAAAAAGCTATCTTCCTGCCAGCAGATGTGTTAAAAAAAAAAAAACTATCAAGACATGAAAATACATAAAGAACATTTAAATTCCTATTACTAAATGAAAGAAACCAATCTTAACTGGCAACATACTGTATGATTTCAACTATGTGATGTAGTAGGAAAGGCAGAACTATGGAGACAGTAAAAAGATCAGCAGTTGCCAGTGATTAGTGGGGAGGAAGGAATGAATGGGTAGGGCACACAGGATTTTAGGGTAGTGAAACTACTTTGTACGACACTGTACTGGTGGATATGTTATTACACATTTGTCAAACCCCAACAGTGAACCCTAATGTGGACTATGGACTTTGAGTCATAATGATATGTTAACGTAGATTCACCAAGTGTAACAAATGTACCACTCACTCTGGTGTCAGATGTTGATAATGGAGGAGGCTTCGTGTGTGGGGAGTCAGGTGGCATACCGGAAATATCTGCACCTTATGCTCAATTTTGGTGTGAACTAAAAACTGCTGTAAAAAAATAATGCTGACCAGGCAAGGTGGCTCATGCCTGTAACCCTAGCACTCTGGGAGGCGAAAGCAGGACTGCTTCAGCATGGGCAACATACGGAGACTTCATTGCTAAAAATATAAATAAATAAAATTGTAGGTATGGTGGGGCATGCATGCCTGTAGTCCCAGCTACTCAGGAGGCTGAGGTGGGAGGATCACTTGGGCCCAGAAGGTCAAGGTGACAAGATTCTGCCACTGCACTCCAGCCTGGGTGACAGAGCAAAACCCTGTCCCAAAAATAAAATCTATTAAAAAGAAAAAACTCAAAAGCCTAAGAATTAAAATATACAATAACAGAAATTAAAATTGATAGATGGCTTTAATACAGATTAAACAAGACTGAGAAATCGAAAAAGGAAGATGGGTCAAAGAAAATATCCAGACTGCAGTATGAAGACACAAAAGCCAAAAGGATAAAAATATAGAAGAAAGCAAAAGAGAGAAGGAAGATCAAAAGGTGATGAAAGACAGACTGAGGCAGTGACTACATTTGAAAAAATAATGGCTAAGTACTTCTAAAATAAATTTTTAAAAAACTCACATTCAAGAAGCACTATGAATCCCAATAAATACAAAATCAGATGCGGACTTGTCATAGTTAACTACTGAAGACAAAAACAAAGAAAATCTTAAAACTGAGCAAATGATGCACATTAAAGGGCTAGGGTGGGAGGGCCAGCTTTTTCACGGGCTACCTGAATGACATGCCTAGTCAAACAAATCCCCTGAGCCCTATGCAAATCAGACATTGCCTCCTCCAGCCTCTGCATATATACCTGGCAGGTGTCCACCGCACGTGGAGACCTCCTTTTTTGGCTTTGGAGCACCCCCTCCGTCTCTGTACAGGGGAGCCTCTTCCTTCTGCCTTATCGTTTCTTTCTTGCCTATTAAACTCTGTTCCTTAACACCAAAAAAAAAAAAAAACTGAGCAAGTGAGGAAAAAACTTATCTTCAAAGAAGTAACAGTAAAACCGATAGGTGATTTCTCTGTATAAACAATGGAAGCCAGGGGACAATGGAATGATTGGTTTGAAGAAGCAATAGTAACTGCCAACTTGTAATTCATTATCCTACTTCAGTGTTAGCCTAAAAATGAACTTTAGAAAACAAGCAAACACTGAAAAAAAAATTTGTCAACAGCAGAACCACACTAAACACACACACACAAAAAAATGCTAAGAGAAAAAACTGTCAACAGCAGAACCACACTAAAAAAAAAAAAAAAAAAAAAAAAAAATGCTGGCCGGGCCCGGTGGCTCACACCTGTAATCCCAGCACTTTGGGAGGCCGAGGCGGGCGGATCACAAGGTCAGGAGATCAAGACCATCCTGGCTAACACAGTGAAACCCCATCTCTACGAAAAATACAAAAAGTTAGCGGGGCGTGGTGGCAAGCACCTGTAGTCCCAGCTACTCAGGAGGCTGAGGCAGGAGAATGGCATGAACCCGGGAGGCAGAGTTTGCAGTGAGCCGAGATTGCGCCACTGCACTCCAGCCTGGGCAACAGATCGAGACTCCGTCTCAAAAAAAAAAAAAAAAAATTGCTAAGAGAAAAATGATCCCGGATGAAAGCCAAGAGACACAAAAAAGAAGAGCAACAGAAAGAGTAAATGTGGGTAAATCTAAATTAACATAAACTGTATAAAATAATAATAATGTCTTACAGGCCAGGCACAGTGGCTCTGCCTGTAATCCCAGCACTTTGGGAGGCCAAGGCAAGCGGATCACGAGGTCAGGAGTTCAAGACCAGCCTGACACCCAGTCTCTATTTTTAAAAATACAAAAAATTTGCCAGGCGTGGTGCTATGCACGTGTAATACCAGCTACTCGGGAGCCTGAGGCAGAAGTATCGCTTGAACCTGAAAGGCAGAGGTTGCAGTGAGCTGCGATCGTGCCACTGCACTCCAGCCTGGGCAACACAGTGAGACTCTGTTTCAAAAAAAAAAAAAGTAATTAGTCTGTAACTTGGTGGGCACCTGTAATCCCAGCCACTCAGGAGGCTGAGGCAGGAGAATCACCTGAACCCAGGAAGGCAGAGATTACAGTGAGCCAGGATTGCACCACTGCACTCCAGTCTGGGTGACAGAGTCAGACTCTGTCTCAAAAAAAAAAAAAAAAAAAAACTAAACTAAAACTTAGAAATGTCTACATATTTATTCATTCATTTATAAATACTTCATTCCATATTTTCCACCAAAAAACACCAGTGAGACAAGTGGAACTGTTATATATTTTTGAAAATCTAGGGTCTAGCTTAATAGAAGATGGCTGTATCCTTCTAAGTGCTTCTGTACTCCATCATATACTGTCCTGATTGAAGTATATGAAGATCCATCCTGAAATGATCTAAAGTTGAAAGTAGGAATATTTTAACAGCTTTGTCTTAAATATTTTCTTCTTCAATATTACACCAAAACTCAATGGTAATTTCTTAAAATGAGTTGTAATATGAAAACTGAAATCATGTAAGTACTGTCTGTTACATTAAAATCCAGTGATGTAGGCTGGGCGTGGTAGCTCACGCCTGTAATTCTAGCCCTTTGAGAAGCCAAGGCGGGCAGATCACTTAAAGTCAGGAGCTCGAGACCAGCCTGGCCAACATGGTGAAGCCCCATCTCTACTAAAAATACAAAAATTAGCCAGGTGTAGTGGTATGTGCCTGTAATCTCAGCTACTCAGGAGGCTGAGGTGAGAGAATCCCTAGAACCTGAGAGGCAGAGGTTGCAATGAGCCGAGATCGTGCCACTACACTGCAGCCTGGGCAACAGAGCAAGACTCCACATCAAAAAAAAAAAAAAAAAATTCCACTGATCTACTTTACCCTCTGAGTAGATACTTTGCCCATGCATAATTTTATAACATAATATACTGGTGATCTGGAAAATATTGGTCCACTAAGTTATGTACATCATCTTTCCAATGTTGACACATTTCATTACACAGCATCAGAAAATAACATTAGGCCGGGCGTGGTGGCTCATGCCTGTAATCCCAGCATTTTGGGAGGCCAAGGCAAGCAGATCACCTGAGGTCAGGAGTTCAAGACCAGCGTAGCTAACATGGTGAAACACTGTCTCTACTAAAAATAAAAAAATTAGCCTGGCATCGTGGCATGCACCTGCAGTCTCAGCTACTCGGGAGGCTGAGGCACCCGAATCATTTGAACCCAGAAGGCAGAGGTTGCAGTGAGCAGAGAACGCACCACTGCACTCCAGCCTGGGCAACAGAGTGAAACTGTCTTCCAAAAAAAAAAAAAAAAAAAAAAAAAAAACCAGAAAACATATATAATTCCACTGATCTCATCAGAAAAATCTGTTAAGTATTGGGCACCTTTCAAGTTCATGGTGTCAGGTTCAAGTTTTCTAAAATTTTAATTTTTCTATCAAAGCTCAAATTTTATCACTGGCAATTAACATTATCAGTCTTCCTTGAAGTGACATGCTTGGTTTTTCAAGAAAATGCTTGTTAAATATAAAAAATCTGGATAACTTTGCATGAGTCCATCACACTTTCAAACAGATGTTTTATGAAAAAAGCAGCTAGCTCAGCTCACAACTCAAACCACTTGTCCATTTTCTCAAATTAACCATCTTACTGCACTAAGGAGAGAAGAAATGCTTTATATGAACTCATTTCATCACAGAATATAAAAAGACATGAATACAAGATCTGTGAAATTGGTTTTTTTAGTTTTGGGTTTTTTCTTTTATTTATTTATTTATTTGAGACAGTCTCACTCTGTCGCCTAGGCTGGAGTGCAGTGGTGCAATCTCGGCTTGCTGCAACCTCCGCCTACTGGGATCAAGCCATTCTCCTGCCTCAGCCTCCCAAGTAGTTGGGATTGCAGGTGCGCGCCACCACACCAAACTAATTTTTGTATTTTTAGTAGAGACAAGGTTTCACCATGTTGGCCAGGCTGTTCTTGAACTCCTGACCTCAGGTGATCCACCTGCCTTGGCCTCCCAAAATACTGGGATTACAGGCAAGAGCCAAGGATCTGTGAAATTTAATAAAATTGAACATCAAGTCAAAATTTATTTTAAATAACAAATGTTTGGGAGTAAGGAATACAACATCTACTTAATGCCACTGTCTTTCTTCATACAAAGTGGCCAGTAGTTTTATCCATGACACTTTTGCACTATCAATGAAAATGTCAACACAATGAAAAACACAAACTGGCCAGGCATGAATGCCCATGTCTATAATCCCAGTACTTTGGGCGGCCAAGGCAGGAGGACTGCTTCAGGCCAGGAGTTCAAGACCAGACTGGGCAACACAGTGAGATCTGTCTCTACAAAAATAAAAAAATTTAGCCTGGTGTGGTGGCACATGCCTGCAGTCCCAGGAGGATCACCTTAGCTGAGGGGTTCAAGTCTGTAGTAAGCTGATAATAGCACCACACTCTGGCCCAGGAAACAGAGTGAGTGAGGCCCTGTCTCAAGGACGGGGAAAAAAAATGCAAAGAATATCTTATCTTGACAACTCTTTGACAGGCTCTCTGGGACCTCCATGGTTGACAGATCATACTTTGATAACCACTGATCAAGCCAAATGAAGATATATTTTTAATAATGAGTATATGAAGTAAAAGTCATCCCAAATGGAAAGAATAAAGAAACTGTTTCCATCCATAGATGACATACATAAAAAAGTCCTAAGGGATCCACTAAACAATTTACAAATGAGTTCAAGGTTGCAGGATACAAGATCAAGGTACCAAATCAACCATATTTCTATATATTAGCAATGAACAATTCAGATGTAAAATCTAGAAAAACAATTTTACAATAGCATCAGAAAGAATAAGATTCTTATTCTTTGCCCAAAATGTATTGAATAACAAAAAGTGCAGGCCAGAGGCCGGATACAGTGGCTCATGCCTGTAATCTCAGCACTCTGGGAGGCCAAGGCAGGTGGATCACCTGAGGTTGGGAGTTCGAGACCAGCCTGGCCAACATGGAAAAACCTGTCTCTACTAAAAATATAAAAATTAGCAAGGTGTGGTGGCGCATGCCTGTAATCATCCCAGCTACTCTGGAGGCTGAGGCAGGAGAACTGCTTGAACCTGGGAGGTGGATGTTGCGGTGAGCCAAGATCGTGCCACTGCACTCCAGCCTGGGCAACAGGAAGGAGGGAATGGAGGGACGGGAGGGACAGGAGGGACAAGAGGAGCGCTCGAACCTGGAAGGCAGAAGTCATGCCACTGTACTGCAGCCTGGATGACAGTGAGACTCCCTCTTAAAAAAAAAAAAAAAAGTAGGAAACTACAAAATATTGTTTAAAGCATTATAGACAACCTAAATAAATAGAAAGATATCCCATGTTCATGGATCAGGAGACTTAATATTGTTAAGATAGTAATAATCCTCAACTTGATACACAGATTCACTACAATCTCTACCAGAATTCCAGCTGGCATCTTTGTAGAAGTTTTCAAGTTGATCCTAAAACTCAGAAGGAAACTCAAGGGACCCTGAAGAGCCAACATAATTTTGAAAAAAAAAACAAAAACAAAAAAAAAACAAAGATTTACACTTTCTGACTTCCAATCTTATTACAAAGCCACAGCAATCAAGACAGTGTAGTACTGGCGTAAGGATAGACATACAGATCAATGAAACAGAATACAGAGTACAGAAAAAAACCCTATATATGTACAGGCAAATGACTTTCAAACAAGGATGCCAAGACCATGCAACAGAAAGAATAGATTTTTCTAAAAATGAAGCTTGGACAACTGAACAGCCTCATGCAAAAGAATGAAGTTGTATCAGCCGGCGCGGTGGCTCACGCCTGTAATCCCAGCACTTTGGGAGGCTGAGGTGGGTGGATCACGAAGTCAGGAGTGCGAGACCAGCCTGGCCAATATGGTGAAACCCCGTCTCTACTAAAAATACAAAAATAAGCTGGGCATGGTGGCGCACGCCTGTAGTCCCAGCTACTCGGGAGGCTGAGGCTGGAGAATCACTTGAACCCAGGAGGCAGAGCCTGCAGTGAACAAAGTTCATGCCACTGCACTCCAGCCTGGGCAACAAACCAAGACTCTGTCTCAAAAAATAAAAATAAAAATACAAAAAGTCTTAAACAAAAAAAAAGGACTGAAGTACTGGCATATGCTACAACATGGACAAAACTGGAAAGCATTATGCTAAGTGAAAGTAGGCAGTCACAAAAAAAACAAATATTAGTATTCCATATACACGAAAGGTTCAGAATAGGCAAATATATTAAGAATGCATATTGGTTGTTGCTTCGTGCTACTGAAATGGGAAGTAGCTTAGGGTGACTGATTGCTAAAAGGTAGGGGAATCCTATTGAGGTGATAAAGTGTTCTAGACTTGTTTGTGGTGATGGTTGCACAACTCTGAATCAGTCGGGTGCCAGTAAGGTATGTGAATTTATTAGATTGGTACAAAAGTAATTGTGGTTTACAAGTGGCAAAACCCCAATTATTTTCGCACCAACCCAATAGTTCACTATAGCTGTTAAAAAAATTATAAAGTATGGGAGGCTGAGGTAGGGAGATCACTTGAGGGCAGGAGTTTGAGACCAGCCCGGCCAACATGGTGAAATCCTGTCTCTACTAAAAATACCAAATAAATAATAAAGTAAAATAAATGATAAAGATGTGCAAATATACCATTTTAATTGGGAACAACAAACAAAAATATCCAGGAGTACATGTAAAAAGAAATACGCAGAACCTACATAAAGGGGAAAAATATAAAACGTCAAAAAGAAACAAAAATTATGTAAAAATGGGAAGATACATTATTTCCTTTCGGGAAAGACACCGTAAGATGTCAACTCTTACCCCACTTATAAACATAATCCAATTTCAATAAAAATTCCAATAGAAACGGAGGAGATGCAAAAAAAAAAAAAAAGGATTCTAAAGTTTCATCTTAACAAATGAGTAACTTGGCCAGGCACGGTGGCTCACACCTGTAATCCCAGCACTTTGGGAGGCCAAGGCAGGCGGATCACGAGGTCAAGAGTTCAAGACCAGCCTGGTCAACATGGTGAAACCCCATCTCTACTAAAAATGTAAAAAAAATTGGCTGGGCATGGTGGTAGGCGCCTATAATTCCAGCTACTCGGGACGCTGAGACAGGAGAATCACTTGAACCCGAGAGGTGGAAGTTGCAGTGAGCCGAGATCATGCCACTGCACTCCAGCCCAGGTGACAGTGTGAGGCTTCATCTCAAAAAAAAAAAAAAAAAAAAAAAAAGAAATGAATAACTTTTCACAACCTATTTGGTTTAACGGCACCAGGCACAAAGATAAATTATAAAGTGACTAAATTAAAACTAGATGATGAAATAATAAACAGCTTAAAAATAGGCCTCCAAGAATATACTCATAAATTCTGTACAAGACAGACATGGTGCTGGGTGCGGTGGCTCACGCCTGTAATCCCAGCACTTCGGGAGGCCAAGGTGGGCGGATCATCTGAGGTTGGCAGCTCACGACCAGCCTGACCAAGAGAGAAACCCCGTCTCTACTAAAAATGCAAACTTAACCGGGCATGGTGGCACATGCCTGCAATCCCAGCTACTCGGAAGGTTGAGGCAGGAGAATCGTTTCAACCTGGGAGACGGAGGTTGTGGTGAGCCAAGATCATGCCATTGCACTCCAACCTGGGCAACAAGAGCGAAACCCCGCCTCAAAAAAAAAAACAAAAAAACAAAAAACCAGACAGACCTGGCATTTCAAATCAATGGAAAAGAGAGAAATTCAAATTTGCTAAAATCACTAAGTCATTGTTCAGAAAAATTAATGTTAGATCCTACTTCATACTTGATACCAAAATAAATTCCAGATGAATAAAAAATTAAATTTAACAAATCCATAAAAGCTAGAAAAAGACTTAATTGAAAGCCGGGCGCAGTGGCTCACGCCTGGAATCCCAGCACTTTGGGAGGCTGAGGCGGGCGGATCACGAGGTCAGGAGATCGAGACCATCCTGGCTAACACGGTGAAACCCGTCTCTACTAAAAATACAAAAAATTAGCCGGGCGTGGTGGCGGGCGCCTGTAGTCCCAGCTACTCGGGAGGCTGAGGCAGGAGAATGGTGTGAACCCAGGAGGCGGAGCTTGCAGTGAGCCGAGATCATGCCACTGCACTCCAGCCTGGGCGACAGAGCGAGACTCCGTCTCAAAAAAAAAAAAAAAGAAAGAAAAAGACTTAATTGAGTATCTAATCTTGAGTGGGAATGACCTTTCTAAATAACAAAAGACTACTTGCCATTAAAACTCAAGAACCATGCCAAGTGAAGTGGCTCGTGCCTATAATTCCCGGCACTTTTTTTTTTTTTTTTTTTTTTTTGAGACAGAGTCTCACTCTGTCACCCAGGCTAGAGTGTAGTGGCGCGATCTCAGCTCATTGCAACCTCGACCTCCGGGGTTCAAGAGATTCTCGTGCCTCAGCCTCCCAAGTGGCTGGGATTATAGGCATGCATCACCACACCCTACTAATTTTTGTATTTTGGGTAGAGACAGGGTTTCACCATGTTGGTCAGGCTGGTCTCCTGACCTCAGGTGGTGATCCACCCGCCTCAGCCTCCCGCCAAAGTGCTGGCATTACAGGCGTCAGCCACCGTGCTGGCCTGTAATCCCCAGCACTTTGGAAGGCCAAGACAGGAGGGTTACTTGAAACCAGGAGTTCGAGACCCACCTGGGAAACACAAAGAGGCCCTGTCTCCACCAAAAAAAAAAACAAAAGTTAAGAATTAGCTGGGCTTGCCAGCACACACCTGCAGTCAGGAGGCTGACATAAGAGGATCGCTTGAGCCTCAGAGGTCAAGGCTGCAGTCAGTCTTGATCACGCCACTCACTACACTCCAGCCCTTAGAGACAGACCAAGACACTATGATGACCCACCCCACAACCAAAAAAAAAAAAAAAAAAAAAACACCCACAACTTTGCAGGAACAAATATAGTAGTTTAAGACATCCTATCATGTTAGGACACCCTATCATACAGATTCTTAAAAATAGAATATCTAATATTTTTAAAAAAAAAGGCACTCTCATATAAAGCTTTTAGGCAATAAATTAATACAACCTTTCTAGAAGGTAACTGAAAATCAGAACCCTTAAATAATTACATCTAGGCTGGGCACTGTGGCTCATGCCTATAATCCCAGCACTTAGGGAGGCCGAAGCGGGTGGATTGCTAGAGCCCATGAGTTCGAGACCAGCCTGGGCAACATGGTGAAACCCCATCTGTACTAAAAATACCAAAAACATTAGCCAAGTGTGGTGGCCTGCGCCTATAATCCCAGCTACTCAGGAGGCTAAGATGGGAGGACTGCTTAAGCCTGGAAAGTAGCGTTTGCAGTGAGCCATGGTCACGCCACTGTACTCCAGCATAGACGACAGAGTAAGACCCTGTCTCAAAAAAAGAAAACAAGCCAGGTGCAGTGGCTTGTGCCTGTAATCCCAGCACTTTGGGAGGCCCAGGAGGGTGAATCACTTGAGGTCAGGAGTTCAAGACCAGCCTCGCCAATATGGTGAAACCCCATCTCTACTAAAAATACAAAAATTAGCCAGGCATGGTGGTGCGTGCCTGTAATCCCAGCTACTCAGGAGGCTGAGGCAGGAGAATCACTTGAACCAAGGAGGCGCAGGTTGCACTGAGCCAAGATTCCACCACACCACTGCACTCCAGCCCAAGCAACAGAGTGACATTCCATCTCAAAAAAAAAAAAAAAAAAAAAGGAAGAAGAAAAAAACCAAAAAACACCAAATTTACATCTTGACCTGGGACATGACCCAGATTTCTATGCTTAAAAATATTTTCATATTTTTTTAAACAGGAAAACATTAGTTAAATATGTGTCACATTCAAAAGACTAAAAGTAGGCTGCCATTAAATTCTGTTCTCAGATACTTGTATTTTGGGTAGAAACAGGGTTTCATCATGTTCGCTCATGTTTTTTATGAGCATTTTATAAGAAAATGCTCATAAAAAACAGTAGGTAAGTATAAACTCAGTTTATACATATTCACAGAAGACAGCTAGATTTATATAAACCAAAATTTTAACAATCACAAGGTTTGTATTTCTTCAGTATTTTCTACAGATTTCTACAGTGATTAAATTATAGGCAGGAAAAGAGAGGGTTTGGGGTTTTTCGAGAAGGAGTCTCCCTCTGTCACCCAGGGGTGTGATCTCAGCTACCTGCAACCTCCACCTCCCAGGTTCAAGTGATTCTCCTGCCTCTGCCTCCCAAGTAGCTGGGGATTACAGGCGTGTGCCATCATGCTCAGCTAGGTTTTGTTTTTAGTAGAGATAGGGTTTTACCATGTTGGCCAGGCTGGTATTGAACTCCTGACCTCAAGTGATCCACCTGCCTTGGCCTCCCAAAGTGCTGGGATTACAGGCATGAGCCACTGCGCCCAGCCAGTTTTTTGTTTGTTGTTTTGTTTTTGTTTTTGTTTTTCCCAAAGGGAAAGCACTGGATCCATGGAGTTATAGAGAAAACTTCTCTGTGTACTTTCATAAACAACAGGTCCCTGGTGACTGTGTCAATATAGTGTTCTTGTTTTGAGATGGAGTCTCCCTCTGTCGCCCAGACTACAGTGAAGTGACACAACCTCTACTCACTTCAACCTCCGCCTCCCAAGTTCAAGTGATTCTCCTGCCTCAGCCTCCCGAGTAGCCAAGATTACAGGGGCCCACCACCACACCCAGCTTATTTTTTTATTTTTAGTAGACATGGGTTTCACCATGTTGACCAGGCTGGTCTCGAACTCCTGACCTCACGTGATCCGCCCGCCTAGGCCTCCCAAAGTGCTGGGATTATAGGCATAGCCGCCACACCCAGCAAATATAGTGGGGTTTTTTTTTTCTTTTTTTTTTTTTTTGGTTGTTTATTTGAGATGAGTCTCACTAGTCGCCCAGACTGGATGGAGTGCAGTGGTGCCATCTTGGCTCACTGCAACCTCCACCTCCCAAGTTGAAGCGATTCTCCCGCCTCAGCCTGGCAAGCAGCTGGGATTACAGGCACACGCCACAATGCTAAGCTAATTTTTGTATTTTTAGTAGGGACAGGGTTTCACCATGTTGGCCAGTCTGGTATTGAACTCCTGACCTGTGGTGATATGCCTACCTTGGCCTCCCAAAATGCTGGGATTACAGGTGTGGGCCGCCACACCCCAGCCTTTTGTTTGTTTTTGAGACAGAGTCTCCGTCTGTCACCCAACCTGGAGTGCAGTGGTACGATCTCAGCTCACTGCAACCTCCGCCTCCCGGGTTCAAGCAATTCTCATGCCTCAGCCTCCTGGGTAGCTAGGATTATAGATGTGTGCCACCATGCCCAACTAGTTTTTGTATTATAATAGAGACAGAATTTCACCATGTTGCCCAGGCTGGTCTCGAACTCCTGAGCTCAGGCAATCCACCAGCCTTGGCCTCCCAAAGTGCTAGGATTACAGGGTTTTTTTGTTTTTGTTTTTCAATCACTCAAAGATAGCCAGGTGCAGTGGTGTGTGCCTGTAATCCCAGGTAACATGAATCTGAGTCAGGAGGATCATTTGAGCCTGGAAGTTCAAGACCAGCCCAGGCAGCATACCAAGACCCCCATCTCAAAAACTTATATGCATATATACCACGTAGACCAACTTAAATTATATCAAGTCCACAAAGTTTTCTCCCATCATCCCAAAACTAAACTCCTCCCACTGCACTTCAACTAAAACTATTTCACAAAATTTACCATTTTTATTTTTCATGCTGTTGTTTTGCATATTTCTTATGCTAGCACTGCGTTAAATGTTGATATGCATTATCTTATTCACTCCTCACAAAATCCCTATGAGACATGTATTAAGAATAT
This sequence comes from Homo sapiens, assembly GCF_000001405.40. NCBI lineage: Eukaryota > Metazoa > Chordata > Mammalia > Primates > Hominidae > Homo > Homo sapiens. The sequence goes on from NC_000002.12 coordinate 61,455,857, forward strand.
CCTCATCTCCAAATAAGAAACAAGGCATTAAGAGGTAAGGGAACTTAGCCAAAGTCAGAGACTTAATAAATGACAGGAGCAAGATTTGAACTCAGGTCTACCAGGTTCCAAAGATCACTCACTCAAGTATCATCCTACTGCCTCATCTGTACTCTGGAACCTTCCTTAAGAGAAAATACACAGCTAAATGTATTTCTATACCTACCAGCATACAGGAGAATGCTTTACACAAGTGTTTATGTTTTTAAAAAAACAAATATTTAAACAGAGTTAAGGTGAAACACAACTCAGTAAATACAATATTAAGAAATGGTTTTCAGTGTATTAGATATCCGTGGGCTTACTGCCCAGAAGCAATTTCACCTCTTTCATGGTAACAACGTGCCAGATTTCTTTTCCAGAAGCACACTCTTAGTTATGAGATTTGGGTGAGATCAGCTTCAAGAATAGGTCCTGATTAGTTTAAACCAATCAAAGTCCATCCTCTTTGAACTCTATTTCAGGAACAGAGTCAATAATATATGAAATGACATTTGTCAGGAAGGTTTTGGAAAAAGCAGCCTTCTTGTTCTTGTACAGTAAGTTCCAGAAAAGATTCACTCTTTTTCTCCGCATAGTTTAAGTACGTGATGTCCAAACACTGTGGTATGAAGATGTGGTATAAAAATGGTGCAGTAGTGCTGGGCACAGTGGCTCACACTTGCAATCCCAGCACTTTAGGAAGCCAAAGTAGGGAGATCACTTGAGCCCAGGAGTTGGAGACCAGCCTGGGAAACATGGTGAAACCCCATCTCTACTAAAAATAAAAAAAAATGGCCAGGCATGGTGGTTCACGCCTATAATCCCAACATTTTGGGAGGCTGAGGCAGGAGGATAGTTTGAGCCCAGGAGTTCACGACCAGCCTGGGCAACACAGTGGGACCCCATCTCAATTTACTAACAGAGTAAAAATAAAAAACACCAAAACGAAAATTAGCTGGGTGTGGTGGCACAGGCATGTAGTCCCAGCTACTATGGAAGCTGAGGCAGGAGGATAGCTTGGCCCACCTGGGACGTTGAGGCTGCAGTTAGCCATGACTGAGCCACTGTACTCCAGCCTGGGCAACAGAGCAAGACTCTGTCTGAAAAAACTAAACAGACCAGTGGTGACTGCTCACACCTGTAACCCCAGCACTTTAAGAGGCTGGAACAGAAGGATGGTTTGAGCCCAGGAGTTCAAGACCAGCCTGGGTAACATGGTGAAACCCTGCCTCTACAAAAATTACAAAAATTAGCCAGGTGTGATGGCACAGGCTTATAGTCCCAGCTACTCAGGTGGCTGAGGTGGGAGGATCTCTTGAGCCTGGGAGGTCAAGACTACAGTGAGCCGTGATCGTGCCACTGCACTCTAGACTGGGCGACAGAGCAAGACCTGTCAAATAAATAAGGTGCAGTAGCCATTTCTGTTACCATAGGAAGGGCCAAACTGAGGTCAAAACCAAGGAAGCCCAGCAAGCCACAGAGAAATAAAGTCCTGATTATGTTATAAACCCAATGATTAAAAGTAAAGCACACCTGAATATACACCTAGACGGCCTACTTATAGCTTTTAAAGAAAAACTCTGTTTCTGCCAAAGAAACGGTTTTTTCTGGTCCTTGAGACAGAATCCTACCTAGTTTAAAAAGAATAATAATTCTCAACCTTAAATTTAACCCACAGGTACTAATATCACGAACTAGTAAAGTGTTGTGTGTGGTGCCTCACGCCTGTAATCCCAGCACTTTGGGAGGCTGAGGCGGGAGAATCACTTGAGGCCAGAAGTTCAAGAGCAGCTTGGGAAATATAGTGAAACCCATTCCCAAATAAATAAGCAAGCAAGTTGGGTGTCATCATGAGCACCTGTAGTCCCAGCTACTTGGGAGGCTCTTTTGAGCCCAGGAGGTCAAGGCTGCAGTGAGCTAGGATCATATCACTGTACTCCAGCCTGAGTGACAGAGTGAGACCCTGTCTCCAAAAACAAACAGCAGCAGCAACAACAAAAAGTACCATTTTATGAAGAGGGTGGCAAGCAAGACATCACAAAAGCAAGGACTGACAGTACTTGATATATCCGAGAAAACAGGAAACACCACATCTAGCCTACCCTTGTTTTCCCTTCTATTATCAACCCACAGTGATCTTACGATTTTTCAGATATTTTAAATAAACACTGATCCTACCACATGCAGGCACTGTAAAACAGTAGTAACAGTTGCAATCATAGAACTGATAGTCTCATAGAATAAAAAAATTACAGTTGTAAACATAGAAATACATAATTCTAAATTGTGGTAAATGCTATGAATAAAAAGAACCAGAGCTACTTCAGACTTGGAGTTCAGGAAAGACTTCTCGAAAAAAATCATTTCAGTCAAAACTTAAAAGCATAAGAAGGTATATACAGGCCAGGCACGGGGGTTCACACCTGTAATCCCAGCACTTTGGGAGGCAGAGGCAGGCAAATCACCTGAGGTCAGGAGTTCAAGAGAAGCCTGGCCAACATGGTGAAACCCTGTCTCTACTAAAAATACAAAAATTAGCCGGGCGTGGTGGCGGGTGCCTGTAATCCCAGCTACTCGGGAGGCTGAGGCAGGAGAATCATTTGAACCCAGGAAGCAGAGGTTGCAGTGAGCCAAGATCACACCATTGCACTCCAGCCTGGGCAACAAGAGTGAAACTGTCTCAGAAAAAAAAAAAAAAAGGTATGTATAAAGGCTCAGTGTCATCAATGAAAGAAGGCAAAAAGGAAAAAAAAAAAAAAAAAGGCAAAGAGAACAAGGGAATGAAGCTAGCAGAGGCTAAGTCATGCAGAGCCTTCACAAGTCAAGGTAGGCCATATTTCACTCCTCTCATTCCCAGCAACTATTTCAAACAGGGCCCACTTGAATCTTCCATCTTCCTTAAAATCTTGGCGGGGCACAGTGGCTCACGCCTGTAATCCCAGCACTTTGGGAGGCCAAGGCAGGTGGATGGTGAGGTCAGGAGTTCAAGACCAGCCTGGTCAACATGGTGAAACCCCATTCCTACTAAATTTACAAAAATGAGCCGGGCACAGTGGTGGGCGCCTACAATCCCAGCTACTTGGGAGGCTGAGGCAGGAGAATTGCTTGAACCCGGGAGGTGGAAGTTGCAGTGAGCCGAGACTGCGCCACTGCAATCCAACCTGGGTGACAAATCAAGACTCCATCTCGGGAAAAAATAAAAACAAATCTTGCCTAATCCACTTTAGCCCAAATAAATCTCTCCACAGTTCCTTTAATGGTTTCTTATGAGTTTCCCAACTTCCACAGTCAGGGTCCTCTTAAAAATTAAAAAATAAAAATAAAAAAAGATAGCTTGGTTAGTGAAAAGTACAGAGAAGAAATAAGCACAACTAAATTCTAGTCCTACCCCTGCTACTTCTTTGCTGTGTGACCTTAGACAAATCTTTCTATTTCTCATGACTCTTACAAAGGAAGTACCTTCAAGGAAAACACTGTATAAGAAATTTCAGTGTTCAAATAGCTACAGAAGTGTATTATCATCACTGTGTTAAATATAATTCATCATAGTATTCCAACTTCATAAGCATGACACCACCTCCTAAAATTTGGGCACAATTAAGATACTTGAAAACAGGCCAGGCACGGTGGCTCACACCCATAATCCTAGCAGTTTGGGAGGCCAAGACGGGCGGATCACTTCAGGTCAAGAGTTCGAAACCAGCCTGGCCAACACGGTGAAACCCCGTCTCTACTAAAAATACAAAAGAATTAGCCGAGCGTGGTGGCAGGCACCTGTAATCCCAGCTACTCAGGAGGCTGAGGCAGGAGAATCGCTTGAACCCGGGAGGCGAAGGCTGCAGTGAGCTGATATTAAGCCACTGCACTCCAGCCTGGGCTACAGAGCCAAAAAAAAAAAAAGGCCAGGCACAGTGACTCACACCTGTAATCGTAGCACTTTGGGAGGCCAAGGTGGGCAGATCACCTGAGGTCAGGAGATCAAGACCATCCTGATTAACACGGTAAAACCCCATCTCTACTAAAAATACAAAAAAATTAGCTGGACATGGTGGCGGACGCCTGTAGTCCCAGCCACTCGGGTGGCTGAGGGAGGAGAATGGCGTCAACCCAGGAAGCAGAACTTGCAGTGAGCCGAGATCGCACCACTGCACTCCAGCCTGAGCGACAGAGCAAGACTCCATCTCAGAAAAAAGATACTTGAAAACAGTTTTATGTTGGCTTTTTTTGAGCACCCACATATTACTTAGTTTCCAAGCTTATTAAGAAATTACAATAGTCTCCCTTATTATCTTTGGTTTTGCTTTCCATAGTTAACCACAGTCACTATGGTCCAAAAATATTAAATGGAAAATTCCAGAAATAAACAATTCATAAGTTTTAAATTGCCATTCCGAGTGGCATGATGAAATCTTGTGCCGTCCCGTCTAGGATGTGAATCATCCTTTTGTCCAGCATATCCAGGCTGCACATGCAACCTACCCATTAAGTCACTAAGTAGCTGTCCTGGTTATCAGATCCACTGTGGCACTACACAATGCTTGTATTCAAGTAACCCTTACTTTACCCAATAATGGCCCCAAAGTGCAAGAGCAGCGATACTAGTAATTCAGATATGCCAAAGAAAAGCTTATTTGAAGTGAAAAGGTGAAAGTTCTTAAAATAATGAGAAAAAAAACAGTATATAGGGTACAGCACTATCTGTGGTTTGAGGTATCCACTGGAAGTCTCAGAACACATTCCACTTGGATAAGGGGGGAATACTGTATACCCTTTTTCTCCTCAAAAGAAATCTTACATAGAATTTCGATTCATAAAACAGGTAGAAGGCCGGGTGTGGCAGCTCATGCCTGTAATCCCAGTACTTTGGGAGGCCGAGGCAAGTGGATCACGAGTTCAGGAGATCGAGACCATCCTGGCCAACATGGAGAAACTCTGTCTCTACTAAAAACATAAAAATTAGCTGGGCATAGTGACGCACGCCTGTAGTCCCAGGTACTCGAGAGGCTGAGGCAGGACAATCACTTGAACCTGGGAGGTGGAGGTCCAGGAAGCCAAGATCGCGCCACTGCACTCCACCCTGGCAACAGGGCGAGACTCCATCTCAAAAAAAAAAAAAGAAAAAAAAAACAGGTAAAGGTGAGCTTTTTGTTGTTGTTGTTATTTCATTCTTATTAATAAAACTTACAAGTTAGAAAAAAAGCGAGCTTTGAATTTTGAAAGAAGGTAAGAGGGGCCGGGCAGGGTGGCTCACAACTGTAATCTCAGCATTTTGGGAGGCTGAGGCAGGTGGATGACTTGAGCTCAGGAGTTCAAGACCAGCCTGGCCAACAGGATGAAACCCTGTCTCTACTAAAAATGCAAAAGAATTAGCCAGGCATGGTGGCAGGCCCCTGTAATCCCAGCTACTCGGGAGTCTGAGGCAGGAGAATCACTTGAACCTGGGAGGCAGAGGTTGCAGTGAGCCGAGATGGCACCATTGCACTCCACCCTAGTGAACAAGAGCGAAATTCCGCCTCAAAAAAATAAAAAAAAAAACCCAAAACACTGAAATCTGAAATACAGAAAAAAAAACATACAATTCATTAAATAACAAAAATATGAATGGTTAAATTTACTAGTAATTGCTTAATACATTCTCTACCAAAATAACTTTTATTTTAAGAGATGAAGTCTTGCTATGTTGCCCAGGCTAGCCTTGAATTCCAGGGCTCAAGTGATCCTCCCACCTCAGCCTCCTGAGTAGCTGGGAATACTACAGGCACACATCACCATGCCCTGCTAAAATAACACTTTCTAAAGGATAATATTCAAGACAGGTGAAAGTGCCCTTACACAGGCACGACTACGACTAAAAGATCAATATATCCTTTCTGGCAAGCAAACAGTATGAAAATAATGAAAAATGTTTATATTTTTTGACACAGTAAACTCACGTCTAGAAATCTAAAAGAACCAGGGATGTAGATAAAAGATTTAAGTAGAAAGATGTACATTTGCGGCATTATTCATAATATGGGAGAACTGGAAACAGATATATTAAATTTTATATAAAATGAAATCTTATACAAAAACATGTTTTCAGCCAGACGCGGTGGCTCACACCTGTAGTCACAGCATTTTAGGGGGCCGAGGTGGGCAGATCATGAGGTCAGGAGTTCAAGACCAGCCTGGCCAACATGGTGAAACCTCATCTCTACTAAACGTAACAAAAATTAGTCAGGCATGGTGGCAGTTGCCTGTAATCACAGCTACCCAGGAGGTTGAGGCAGGAAAATCGCTTGAACCCGGGAGGCGGAGGTTGCAGTGAGCCAAGATCAGGCCATCGCACTCCAGCCTGGGGCAACAGAACAAGACTCCATCTCAGGGGGAAAAAAAAAAAAAAGAAAATCAGCCAGGCGTGGTGGCTCATGCCTGTAATCCCAGCAGTTTGGGAGGCCGAGGTGGGTGAATCACTTGAGGCTAGGAGTTTGAGAACAGCCTGGGCAAAACAGTGAAGCCCCATTCCTACAAAAAACACAAATATTAGCTGGGCATGGTGGTACGCACCTGTAATCCCAGCTACTTGGGAAGCTGAGGCAGGAGAATTGCTTGAACCCAGGAAGAGGAGGTTGAAGTGAGCCAAGATCATGCCACTGCACTCCAGCCTGGGCCACAGAGTAAGACTCCGTCTCCAAAAAAAAAAAAAAAATCAATTCAGGAGAACCGGACAAAGTAGCTCACACCCTGTAATCCCAGCACTCTGGGAGGCTGAGGCAAGCGGATCACTTGAGGCCAGGAGTTTGAGACCAGCCTGACCAACATGGCGAAACCCCATCTCTACTAAATATACAAAAATTAGCCCGGCATGATGGCACATGCCTATAATCCCAGCTACTTGGGAGGGTGAGGCACAAGAACTGCTTGAGCCCCCCAAGGCAGAGGGTGCAGTGAGCCGAGACTGTACCAATGCACTCCAGCCTGGGAGACAGAGGGAAACTGTTTCCCAAAAAAAAAAAAAAAAAGGCAGCCAGGTGTGCTGGTATACACACCTATAGTCCCTGCTACTCAGGAGGGTGAGACAGGAAAATCACTTGAGCCCAGGAGGTCAAGTTATAGTAAGCAATAATCACTTCATTGCACTCCAGCCTGGATGACAGAATAAGACTCCATCTCCAAAGGGGGGAAAAAAATTCCAACTTTAGATTAAATGTCTACTGAAAAAGTTATGTTACTAATTGATTTCGTACCTATATACTCATAGTATCTAAAAAGCTCTGGAAACATGTAGTTTTATTAAACGGTTCACTGCAGAATAACAGTATTAAGAAAGATTCTCAGCCGGGTACAGCATACCCCAACACTTTGGGAGGCTGAGGCAGGAGCATCACTTGAGCCCAGGAGCTTGAGGCTGCAGTGAGCTATAATTGGGCCACTGCACCCCAGCATGGGTGATACACTGTCTCTTAAAAAATAATCAAAAATCAAAAAATTTGAAATTTTATTCAATGAAAAAGATTCTTATTCAGCTATACTTATTACCACTTTTGAATTCCTACTACAATTATCACAGAAATTTGTCTGAATTTTTGAAGATACATAAAACACGGTCAGTAATTTTCACTTTGCCAACTGAACAGTGGTGATTCAGATAGATCATCATAAAATTTATACAATGTTAACTAGTAAGAACTTTTAGGCCAGGCAGGATGGCTCACACCCCTAAACCCAACACTTTGGGAGGCCAAGGGAGGCGGATTACCTGGGGTCAGGAATTCAAGACCATCCTGGCCAACATGGTGAAACCCCACATCGACTAAAATTACAAAAATTAGCCAGGCATGGTGGTGCATGCCTGTAATCCCAGCTACTCAGGAGGCTGAGGCAGGAGAATCGCTTGAACCCAGGAGGCGGAGGTTGCAATGAGCCGAGATCATGCCATTGCACACCAGCCTGGGCAACAGGAACAAAATTCCTTTTCAAAAAAAAAAAAAACTCTTAGCCTAATCTGGGATTAAGTCCTGTGGTTCCACCAAACAGTCACATGTGACCCTAAGCAAGTCACATAAATTCTCTAAACCTTAGTTCCCTCATCTGAAAAGGATGACAGAGTACCTCCCTCAAAGAACTGATTAAATCAGCAGCATGCAAAGCATGTAAAGTACTTAAGTACCCAACACAAACTATTCAATAAAGTAATCTGCTTTAAAAATAAAACACACTGAAAGGCCGAGGCAGGTGGATCACCTGACATCATTAGTTCAAGACCAGTGTGGCCAAACTGGTGAAAATTAGTCTCGACTAAAAATACAAACATTAGCTGGGCGTGGTGGCAGGCGCCTCTAATTCCAGCTACTCAGGAGGATGAGGCAGGAGAATCACTTGAAGCAAGGAGGTGGAAGTTGCAGTGAGCTGAGATCGTGCCATTGCACTGCAGCCTGGGCAACAGAGTGAGACTCCGTCTCAAAAACACCACCACCAACAAAATAAACACAACAGAATTATTCTGCAAATACAGATATTGGAGTAGCTGAGTTCCATCTCAAATTTGACTATGCAGGTTGACAGGTGATCTTGGCAAACTACTTATCCTTTCTGAAGTTCAACTTTTTCACCAAATGGTATTGGGATACAACACTTGCTCTTGCCTATCTCACATGAATTATCCATTTTGGACAACTTGGTAAACTATAACCCACCAAACGAATACACAGAGTAAAATCTACAACACATAAGTGGTTTAAAACAATGACGTACACCAGGCGTGGTGGCTCACGCCTGTAGTCCCAGGAGGCGGAGGTTGCAGTGAGCCCAAGATCGCACCACTGCACTCCAGCCTGGGCGAAAGAGCGAGACTCCGTCTCAAAAAAAAAAAAAAAAAAAAAAAGAGGTACTATGTAATTTTCACTCTGCTTTCAGAGAAATTTACCTTACGAGGTAAATAACCTCAGTTTACTAGTGAGTTTGCTATGGTGATGGCCTAAAGCATGTAATTTTAAGCCTCCAACTCCTCACCAAGATCTAGAAATGCTTTGGCCTTTGTAAACTGGTTCACAAAAGTAACTACAAAAGCAGTTATCAGACAAACTCAACAGAACAAGCAGAGGAACAGAAATTTAAAATTTATCCTAAACAGAATGTAATCCCACAAAATGATAACAGCAAAATTTACTCAATACATCCAAGCTTTTTAAATGTTTTTAAAATGAAGCATGAAAAGAAAATGGCAAGTCCAGTATTTTAGTATTGTTGGGATTGGTTATTCTAACACTAAAGCCAAATATGATTTTGAAATGTAGTTTCAACTTTTATGATATGTGTCAAGATTATATTTAAAAAGGGTGGGTGTGGTGGGGCAAGGGTACTTATGATAGGATCCTTAGTCTGGTTCCAGGAACAAACTTCAACGGGTCCTCAACCTGTAAGCACAATTCTGTGTCTGTATGCCTCTGCATGTTTCCACAGTGAAAGTTTACAGCTTCAGATTCTCAGGACTAGAGGTATAACTAATAATATTAATACTCTCACCAAAAACTGATGACAAAACGAACTGTTCATAATCTGTTACTTTTAACGATACTGCATTCTGCCAAACTTTAAACATTCCACATTAAGTCCTTACTCTTATCAAAAAGTCTGTGCATATCTAATACAAAGCTATACTACCCACACTTGTGTCTACCCTTTCATTTAAAACACAATTAACTGGCCAGGCATGGTAGCTCATGCCTGTAATTCCAGTACTTGGGGAGGCTGAGGCAGGAGAATGGCTTCAGACCAGGAGTTTGAGACCAGCCTGGGCAACAATGCAAGGCCCTGTCTCTATTAATAAACAAAAACACGGCTAGGCACGGTGGCTCACGCCTGTAATGCCAGCACTTTGGGAGGCCGAGGCAGGTGGATCACGAGGTCAAGAGATCGAGACCATCCTGGCCAACATGGTGAAACCCCATCTCTACTAAATATACAAAAAATTAGCCGGGCGTGGTAGCGGGCGCCTGTAGTTCCAGCTCCTCGGGAAGCTGAGTCAGGAGAATGGCGTGAACCCGGGAGGCGGAGCTTGCAGTGAGCAGAGATGGCGCCACTGCACTCCAGCCTGGGTGACAGAACAAGACTCTGTCTCAAAAAAAAATAAAATAAAATAAACAAAAACACAACAAAATTTGCTGGGAATGGTAGAGGGAGGGGAGGGATAGGGAGAGATTTGTTAAAGAATATAAAATTACAGTGAGATAGAAGGAATAAGTACTACTACAGAATGACTACGGTTAACAATAATATATGATACAAGCCGGGCATGGTGGCTCATGCCTATAATCCCAGCACTTTGGGAGGCCAAGGCGGGCAGATCACTTGAGTTCAAGAGTTCAAGACCAGCCTGGCCAACGTGGTGAAACCCCATCTCTACTAAAAATACAAAAATTAGCCGGGCTTGGTGGCACATGCCTGTAGTCCCAGCTACTTGGGAGGATGTGGCAGGAGGATTGCTTAAGCCCAGGAAGCGGAGGCTGTAGTGACCCAAGAGCATACCACTGCACTCCAGCCTGGGCAATGGGAAAGAAACCCTATCTCAAAAAAACAATAATATATGATACAGTTTCAAATAGCTAGGAGGATACTGAATGTTCCCAAAGCAAATGCTAAATGTTTGAGATGGATATACTAATTAACTTCAACTGATCACTATACGTTTTATGTATTGAAACATCACTATGTACACCATGAATATGTAAAATTATTATTTATCAACTAAAAATTTTTTAAACAAAATTTTTAGGCCAGGCATGCTGGCTCACTCCTGTAATTGCAGCACTTTGGGAGGTACAGGCAGGCAGATCCCCTGAGGTCAGGAGTTTGAGACAAGCCTGGCCAACATGGCAAAATCCCACCTCTACTAAAAATACAAAAATTAGCCAGGCAAGGAGGCGGGTGCCTGTAGTCTCAGTTACTCAGGAGGCTGAGGCAGAAGAATCACTTGAATCCGGGAGGTGGAGGTTGCAGCTAGCCGACACTGCATTCCAGCCTGGGTGAGAGTTAGACTCCGTGTCAAAAAAAAAAAAAAAAATTTATTACACTCGTTTGCCCAGGTAGCCTTCTCTAAGTGTGATCACTGTTTGTTAATTTCACAAGAAACAGTGTTTTTGGTTTGTTTTTTCAAGACAGCAGTCTTGGCCAGGCGCGGTGGCTCACGCCTGTAATCCTAGCATTTTGGGAGACGGAAGCGGGTAGATCACACGGTAAGGAGTTCAGACCAGCCTGGCCAATATGGTGAAACCCCGTTTCTACTAAAAATACAAAAATTAGCTGGGCATGGTGACGTGTGCCTGTAATCCCAGCCACTTGGGAGGCTGAGGCAGGAGAATTGCTGAACCCAGGGAGGCAGAGGTTGTAGTGAGCCGAAACCGTGCCACTGCACTCCAGCCTGGGTGACACAGCGAGATTCTGTCTCCAAATAAAAAATAAAAAAATAATAATAATAAAAAAAGCAGTCTTACTATGTTGCCCACGCTGGTCTCGAACTCCTGGCCTCAAACAATCCTCCTGCCTCAGCCTCCTGCCGAGGCGGGATTACAGGGGCGCACCACCACGTCTGACTGTTTTGTGAGGTTGCTTTAATACTAATTACGTATTTTTCAGCATGACCTGGAAACACACCACCCAAAAATATGCACAATTTTATTGCTTCTCTCAGCTGGCTAAACTGTTACAGGGTGTCGTATTTAAAGATGAATTCTGAGCACATTTTGGGAGGACTGTAACTTTGTTTTTTTTTTTTTTTTTTTTGAGATGGAGTCTTGTTCTGTGGCCGAGGCTGGAGTGCAGTGGCATGATCTCGGCTCACTGCAACCTCCGCCTACCAGGGTTCAAGCAATTCTCCTGCCTCAGCCTCCCAAGTAGCTGGGACTACAGATGCCTACACCACCACACCCGGCTAATTGGTGAATTTTTAGTAGAGATGGGGTTTCACCATATTGGCCAGGCTGGTCTCGAGCTCCTGACCTTGTGATCCGCCCACCTCGGCCTCCCAAAGTGTTGGGAATACAGGCGTGAGCTGTATTCAGAGTTGCCCGGCCAACTCTGAATTTCTAAATCAACGTTGAACTGATGCTCATCTTTGTACAAGGTACAGGCGGGAAAAGGGCAGACTTTATAGGTAATTACTGCAAATGAGATCACAAGAAACACATATAATCTACTTCAACAAGTTTTATCAAGCTCCAACCACTCATGTTCATTATCATGCTCCATCATAGCCACGGATAAGCAAAGAACTACAGAAAAAAAAACAACTTTTAATAGTGTGGTATAAACTACACATGTAATTGTTGAAGTAAAAAAAATGTTTTTTGAGACAAAGTTTCGCTCTTGTTGCCCAGGCTGGAGTGCAATGGCACAATCTCGGCTCACTGCAACCTCCGCCTCCGGGTTCAAGCAATTCTCCTGGTCAGCCTCCCCAGTAGCTGGGATTACAAGCATGTGCCACCACGCTCAGCTAATTTTGTATTTTGAGTAGAGACGGGGTTTCTCCATGTTAGTCAGGCTGGTCTTGAACTCCCAACCTCAGGTGATCCGCCAACCTTGGCCTCGCAAAGTGTTGGGATTACAGGCGTGAGCCACTGCGCCTGGCCGTAAATTTTTTTAAAAAGGAAGCATCACTGTGAGATTATTGTTTAAGAGTTAAACTTTTAAATTGAGCCTCAAAGGCAATATTAAGAAACTAAGTATTTTTAGAGTCCACTGGCTTACACACAAATAGAAAATCCTTACTTGTTCATTAGAACAGGTTTCTTAGAGGGTGCACATGACCAGATTTTGAGAAGCTGGTTGAACTAACTGTATTTGCTTAAAGGTAATAAAAGCTAAATTCTATTTCAATTCTCCACATTTCTAACACTCCATAAATGCACTGCATTTTTCAGTGCTTCTAACCAAAGTTCTAGGGGTTTCCCAGATAATCTTAAATAAGACCTTTCATTATGATCAAGATGCCACCTCTTTTCAAAAGATAAACCAACTTTACTTTCTTTAGATGTTTTGTTTAAAATTTTCCAAGTTTAAGATATTTTAAAATCAGCCAGGCGCAGTGGCTCACGCCTGTAATCCCAGCACTTTGGGAGGCCGAGGCAGGCGGATCACAAGGTCAGGAGCTCAAGACCAGCCTGACCAACATGGTGAAACCCCGTCTCTACCAAAAATACAAAAATCAGCCGGGCATGGTGTGGGGAACCTACATTTCCAGCTACTTGGGAGGCTGAGGCAGGAGAATCGCTTGAACCTGGGAGGCAGAGTTTGCAGTGAGCCGAGATCATGCCATTGCCCTCCAGCTTGGGCAACAAGAGCAAAACTCTGTCTCAAGAAAAAAAAAAGATATTTAAAATCACCAACAAAATTAAGTACTTGTTCCTCATATTACATTGCAAAACGATTAACTTTCCAAGTTGAGCGTAACAATCATAATCACACGACTTGTATGTGAGATATAAAACACAGTAAGTATTGAGGATTTAAGTTTATCATATCGTAAACCGCCTGCGCCAGAAATAAAAGTATCTCAAAATACACACAAATAATCTTAAAATTCTAGGATAATTTAGGGTGACACAAATACTGGAACCTCTAGTTGGAATATGTGCAAAAGCCTATTCCACCTATCAGGAAGTAAATACGGAGTTGAAATTAAGTTAGAACCCTTCCACTTTTATTATTGTCTTTGGTCATTAAAGTGACAGTCAAACACAAATACCATGGTACATTTTATAAATCAACTGTTTTAGCGAATTGTATTACAAAATTAGATAGTCTGAAAGTCTGTGGAAATATCACAAACAGAATACAAATCCAAAACCCACATAAACTGTTCATAAGTGAGCATTTTTTCAACAATCAACTTTTTGTAAATTGATCCCTTCATCTAATTCACCTCTGCCAACTAGGCCTTTACGCCCAGAAGTAGTTGATTTGCAATATATCTTCTATAAGCTGAAATACCATCTTGCAAGGGTCGAGAATAAAATAAAAAGGCCAGAAAAGATCAACGTACCCTTTTTAATAATAAAAAGTAAAGTACCAGGTAAAAGGCCTTTCCTTCCAAGAGAGATAGGCCATAACTATCCCGGGATGGTATGTGTAGTACAGTGCTCTGCTTAACAGAATGTACCATTAAAGCGGTGAATGCTACACTAAGAAACATCATTAACAAATTTATTTTAAAAATAGGTATGAAGGTTCCAATCATCACTATCACAGTTCGTTTTCAGCTATTTAAGGTCTGGCTGAAGTGTTTAAGACACCCACAAACCCGCAAGGGAGGGAAAAACCACCACCCTGCTCCCGGGAGTTTAATGAAAATTAGCAGGTAAGAGAGGCCTCGGCAGCACGCTGGAAATCAAAGAGGGCGGCCGGAGGATTTGGACTGCGGAGGAAAGCCTCGTCCTCCGACCCCACCTCCCCGCACCTTCCCGGCAGGGCGAAGGAGGCGAAGGCGGCGAGGGGTTCATTACTGCCTTCATTAATTGACACCTGTAATGAGGAAACTTTCCGAGAGCCCAGAGCGCCCGGGCCAGGCCGAGCCGGAGCTCCGCGGCGGCCGCCTCTCGGGCGCCCAGGTAACCCGGCCGGGCTGGGCCCGAGGCGCCGCGGCGGCCGCGCCACCGCGCACCTTCCCGGGGCGCTAGGCCCGCACGCCGCCCGGCCCGGCCGTCGCCTCCCGCAGGCCGCGGCAGCCCGGGGAGGCCAGAGAGCTGCGCGAGGACCCCAAACCGTGCACCCCGACAGGCCGCTACCGCGGCTACTTACTTTCATTTAACACCTCCACCAGGTCTGCGCAGTTCTCGCACATCGTTCGGCCGCCGCCCCCCCCCTCCCCCGCTTCGGATCACACTGACTGATCCCGACCGGCGGGGGGGAGGGGAGAGAGGCGGAGGAGGGGGCCGGCCGGCCGGCGGGGCGGGGAGGCGACTAGGGCGGGCGGCGGCGGGGACGGGGCGGGGAGCAAGAGAATGGGGGAGGGGGCCGGCGGTCCCCGCAGCGGGAGGGGGAGAGGAGGGGAGCGAGGGGAGGTGCGCAGGCCGGAGGGGCGCCGAGGCGCCGGCGGCGGGGAAGGGGGGGAAGGACGGGGGGAGGGGAGAGGGGGGGAGGGGGCGGGTGGGGAGAGAAGCAGCAGAGTCACTTCACCGACCAGACGCCGCGGCCACCGCCGACGCCGCCGCCATTTTAACAGAGCGCTCGGGCTGCGCTCGGCTCTTTCCGCCCGGGCTTAGGAGCGGACGAGAGGCGCCTCGCGCTCTCATTCCTCCGCCTCCCT
This sequence comes from Homo sapiens, assembly GCF_000001405.40. Classification (NCBI taxonomy): domain Eukaryota; kingdom Metazoa; phylum Chordata; class Mammalia; order Primates; family Hominidae; genus Homo; species Homo sapiens. The sequence continues at coordinate 61,471,158 of NC_000002.12, forward strand.
CCCTTTCTCGCCTCTCCTCCGCCCCCCACCTCTCCCTCCGCACACACGCCGCACGCTCCACACCCCGCCGTGGCCGGCTCGCCGCCCTCCCTTTCCTCTTCCGTCCGGCCTCCCCGCCCTCGGTCCACCCCCTCCGCGCGCTCGCCCACCCCGCCCAGCCCGGATCTCTGTCAGCGGCCGGAAGGGAAACGCGAAGCCAGCGCGGCCGCGGGGGGAGTCCGGGTGAGTAGGAGAAGATGGCGGAGGCAACGGACGGGTCGCGGTTGCGTGGCGTCGCCCACCACGACCCACTCCACGGGCTCTGAGGCCCGGGGAGCGCCAGGTCACTCGCTCCGTCCTGTCCCCCGCCCCTGGGCTTCGCCATTTTTCCCCAGGGCCTGGGTCGGGGAGTTGGTGCGGGTTTCTTTGGTGTCCCCGGCCTCTTCCGCGCTTAGGCTTTTGGGGTACGGGAAGCAAGGAGTCAACTTGGGTGCCGGGCCGGGTCTACGCCGTAGCCCTCTTTCGGGCGCAAGGGCCACTCCCCCCGGGGTCTGAGAGTGAATCAGCCCAGGGCCCGGCTTAACTGCATCGGTGATTATCGCTACCCTGCAGTTCCTTGAAGGTCCTCCGTCCTGGAGCAGTAAGATCCTTGACGTAACTAGAAATGGCAGGGTAAGGAGTGTTTGCCTGACATCGTCTCGTTTTTACGGAAGAGGGCCCCTCACGATGTGCCCATCAGCCCCACCTGAAATAGCAAGAAATCTTCTTCAGCAGAGAGCGAATAACAAGGATATTAAGATAAAGAACAGGTGAAGGGGGCAGTCAGCTGAAGCTTGTAAGGGAATTTTCCTCACGCCGGCACTTACCCCTTGCTTGCTAATTTTTGTGTTCAACGTGTTTACATAGACATGTGACTGCAAAGTCCGAAAGATCGTGTACAGAATCTCTGAACGGTAACCAGAGTGTCTGTCAAGGCTCTGTAGTCATTCTCTCGATAGCTTTTGTGGAGGTTATGGCACGCCCATCTCTCCATGCCAGAACCACCTGGTTCCAAATGCTTTGCCTTTCTGCTGCTTGAAGTTGATACTATAAACAGTCTGCCCAACCCGTTTTGTTTCCCACTAGCAGGTGATCCTTAGGATTGTAGTTCTATTCTACCATCATCTTCCCTTCTTCCTTGTCTTTCTCACAGAATTGGGTTTTTGCAGACTTACTTTGGATCCTGAGGCAGACATTCGTTGTCCACTCAACATACATTCCCACGTATCCCTTTTTTCCCTGCCAACACAACCCCAATTATTTTTATTTGAATTTTTTTTTTTTGAGACAAAGTCTCACTCTGTCGCCAAGGTTAGAGTGCAGTGGTGCGATCACAGTTCACTACAGCCTCCACTTTATGGGCTCAAGGGATCCTCCCACTTCCCTAGTAGCTGGGGCTACAGGCGCTCTCCACCACACGTAACTAATTGTTTTTTATTTTTAGTAGGGACAGGGTCTTGCTATGTTACCCAGGCTGGTCTCAAACTCCTGGCCTCAACTGATCCTCCGGCCCAAAATGTTAGGATTACAGGTATGAGCCAACGTGCTGGTCTCACGTTTTTTCAGGTAGCAGTTGAAACCAACCATCATGGTGATCTGGCTTTTCTAGGGCTGGCCATACATAATTGAGTTCCTCCTGATAAAAGGTAAGCAACAATCCTGAGAAACATAGTGGGAGCCCTGTGTCTACAAAAATTTAAAAGGTGGCTGGGCGCGTTGGCTCACTCCTGAAATCCCGCACTTAGGGAGGCTGAGGTGAGCAAATCACCTGAGGTCGGGAGCTCTAGACCGGCCTGACCAACATGGACAAAGCTCATCTCTGCTAAAAATACAAAATTAGGCATGGTGGTGCATGCCTGTAATCCCAGCTACTCAGGAGGCTGAGGCAGGAGAATCGCTTGAACCCGGGAGGCAGGGGTTGCGGTGAGCCGAGATCGCGCCATTGCACTCCAGCCTGGGATAAGAGTGAAACTCCGTCTCATAAAAAAAAAAAAAAAAAAAGGCCAGGCATGGTGGTTCATGCCTGTAATCCCAGCGCTTTGGGAGGCCGAGGCGAGAAGATCACTAAATCAGGAGATTGAGACCATCCTGGCTAACACGGTGAAACCCCGTCTCTACTAAAAATACAAAAAATTAGCCAGGCATGGTGGTGGGCGCCTGTAGTCCCAGCTACTTGGGAGGCTGAGGCAGGAGAATGGCATGAACCCAGGGAGCAAAGCTTGCAGTGAGCTGAGATCGCGCCACTGCACTCCAGCCTGGGCGACACAGCAAGACTCCGTCTCAAAAAAAAAAAAAAAAAATTACCTGGTCGTGGTGGCTCACGACTATAATCATAGTACTTTGAGAGTCCAAGGCAGATGGATTGCTTGAGCCTGGGAGTTCTACATCAACCTGGGCAACATGGCAAAAGTCCATCTCCAGTACATAAGAAAATTAGTGGAATGTGGTGGTGCACACCTGTAATCCCAGCTACTGGGGAGGCTGAGGTGGGAGGATCACTAGAGCCCAGGAGATTGAGACTGCAGTGAGCTGTGGTCATACCACTGCAGTCTAGCCTGGGTGACAGAGTGAGACCCTCTCTGGAAAAAAAAAGAAATGTAAGCAGAAATCTGCAGGATGGGTTCTTTGGGAAGAATTCCCAAAAGAATTCCTAATACGATGAGGGACAAATTCAGCTAACATACCATTTAACCCTTTCTGCCTGAAACATGGTCTTGATGCACAAAGTAATACCCATCTTGTAATTTTTTTAACAATGAAAACTTTTACCCCATTTGCGATTTCATTGTTTAAAAAATTTGATTAAACAGGCCGGGCACAGTGGCTCACGCCTGTAATCCCAACACTTTGGGAGGCTGAGGCAGGTGGATCACCTGAGGTCAGAGTTCAAGACCAGCCTTACCTACATGCTGAAACCCCATCTCTTCTAAAAATATAAAAAATGAGCCGGGTGTGGTGGCGGGCACTTTGTAATCCCAGCTACTCGGGAGGCTGAGGCTGGAGAATTGCTTGAACCCGGGGGTGGAGGTTGCAGTGAGCCGAGATTCTGCCATTGCACTCCAGCCTGGGCAACAAGAGCAAAAAAAATTCCATCTCGAAAAAAAATGATAAAACAGAATCATAAAGTGTGGATCCCTGATGCATCTTTGAACAACAGTCTATGCTCAGACTGCTTATGTGAGAAAAATAAAATGTATTTTTCTTGGCTGGGCATGGTGGCCTACACCTGTATTCCCAGAACTTTGAGAGGCTAAGGAGGGCAGATCACTTGAGGACAGGAGTTAGAGACCGGCCTGGCCAACGTAATGAAACCCATCTCTACTAAAAATACAAAAATTAGGCTGGGCGCAATGGCTCACGCCTGTACTCCCAGCACTTTGGGAGGGGGAGGTGGGCAGAACACAAGGTCAGGAGTTCAAGACCAGCCTGGCCAACGTAGTGAAGCCTCGTCTCTACTAAAAATACAAAAATTAGCCGGGTTTGATGGCGCATGCCTATAGTCCCAACTACTTGGGAGGCTGAGGCAAGAGAATTGCTTGAACCCAGGAGGCAGAAGTTGCAGTGAGCCAAGATCGCACCAGTGCACTCCAGCCTCGGCGACAGAGCAAGACTCCGTCTCAAAAAAAAAAAAAAGCCGGTTGTGGTGGAGGGCACCTGTAATCCCAGCCACTCAGAAGGCTGAGGCAGGAGAATCCCTTGAACCCGGGAGGCAGAGGTTGCAGTGAGCTGCAGTTGCCACTGCACTCCAGCCTGGATGACAGAGCAAGACTCCTCAAAAAAGTTCTTTTTCTTTAAGCCATTCTTCAGATTTTCGTTACTTGTAACCAAACACATTTCTAACTACTGATTACAGATACTCTTTTTTTTTTTTTTTTTTTTTTTTGAGTCTCGCTTTTTTTGCCCAGGCTGGAGTGCAGTGGAGTGATCTCCGCTCACTGCCAGCTCCGCCTCCCGGGTTCAGGCCATTCTCCTGCCTCAGCCTCCTGAGTAGCTGGGACTACAGGTGCCACCACCACACCTGTCTACTTTTTTGTATTTTTAGTAGAGATGGGGTTTCTCCATGTTGGTCAGGCTGGTCTCGAACTCCCACCCTCAGGTGATCCGCCCGCCTCGGCCTCCTAAAGTGCTGTGATTACAGGCGTGAGCCACCGCGCCCGGCCAAGTGTGTATAACTGTTGATCAACATTTTGAAGACCAGTTATGACAGTTAAATTATTTGCCACAACTCAAATGAACAGCAGAGCACTTTATCACAAACTAACATTCACCCTGGAATGTACTGTACAGTCAACCTATTCTGTCTCCTTCCATCTCTCCATTCCTATGCCTTTCATCTTTTTATTTTATTTTAATTTTTTTTTGAGATGGAGTCTTGCTCTGCTGCCCAGGGTGGAGTGCAGTGGCGCAATCTCGGCTCACTGCAAGCTCTGCCTCCTGGGTTCAAGCGATTCACCTGCCTCAGCCTCCTAAATAGCTGGGATTACAGATGTGTGCCATCACATTGGGCTAATATTTATATTTTTAGTAGAGACAGGGATCTTACTATGTTGCCCAGGCTGTTCTTGAACTCGGTCTCAAGTGATCCACCCACCTCAGCCTCCCAAAGTGATGGGATTACAGGTATGAGCCACCAGCCCTGGCCTAAATTTAAAAAAAAGGGTATTCCTATGTTGCCCAGACTGGTCTCGAACTCCTGAGCTCCAGCAATCCTCCCACCTGCCAAAGTGCTAGGATTACAGTTGAGCCACTGCACCCCACAGAGATCTCACTGTGTTGCCCAGGCTGCAGTGCAGTGACAATTCATAGGCCCAGCATGCTTTGAACGGCATGCTTTGAGGTGATCCTCCTGCCTCAGCCTCCCAAGTAGCTGGGACTACAGGCATATTCCACCACTTTCCTGGCTCAAGGAATCCTCCTGCCTCAGCCTCCTGGGTAGCTGGGAGGACAAGTGTGTGTCACCACACCTGGACAACTGGGGGTGTATTTGTATCTTATGGGATGGATATTTGGTGATTTGTTATGAGCAAATTGATACCCTTCTGTTTGTGGAGATTCTCTTGAATCCTTTTTTCCATACACTCCATTTTCTTCTGTTTGGAACTCATGTTTACTTATGGAGTGGTCCTCAAATTTTTAAAAGTTTATATTTTGCATCTTTTTCTCTTTTCCCTCTATTTTTGGGAGATTTAAATTTCTTTTTTTTTCTTTTTGAGGAGTCTCGCTGTCGCCCAGGCTGGAGTGCAGTGGCGCCGTCTCAGCTCACTGCAAGCTCCGCCTCCCGGGTTCACGCCATTCTCCTGCGTCAGCCTCCCAAGTAGCTGGGACTACAGGTGCCCACCACCATGCCCGGCTAATTTCTTTGTATTTTTAGTAGAGACAGGGTTTCACAGTGTTAGCCAGGATGGTCTCCATCTCCTGACCTCGTGATCCGCCCGCCTTGGCCTCCCAAAGCGCTGGGATTACACACGTGAGCCACCGCACCTGCCTCTGCAACTCATTTTTTATTTCTGCTATTCTCTAATTTCCAAAATTCTGTTCTCTTGATATACCTTTACTGTGGTATTGTTTTTCTTGGTTGCAGAAAGCTCTCAACTTTTCTAAGGGTACTGGTGATTGATATTTTTGTTTACTTTTGCCTGTGCAGTCTGTTTTCAACTTGCCCGTTTCCATTTTAAAATTCATATTGAGACTGCCCTTAGATGTCTGATAATCCTTAGTTGTCCATTTACACACCCATTATATAAAATGTATAGGGAAGGCCAGGCACGGTGGCTCACGCCTATAATCCCAGCACTTTGGGAGGCTGAGGTGGGTGGATCACCTGAGGTCAGGAGTTTGAGACCAGCCTGTCTAAACATGGCAAAACCCCATCTTTAGTAAAAGCACAAACAGCTGGTTGCGTTGATGCGTGCCTGCAGCCCCAGCTTCTCTGGAGGCTGAGGCTGGAGAATCGCTTGAATCCGGGAGGCGGAGGTAGTAGTGAGCCGAGATCACGCCACTGCACTCCAGCCTGAGCAACAGAGCAAGATTCTATCACCCCCACCCCCCACCCCGCAAAAAAAAAAATCAATCTATATCTGAGAGAGAGTGTCTCACTCTGGCTGGAGTGCAGTGGCACAATCTCAGCTCACAGCAACCTCTCCTTCCCAAATTCAAGAGATTCTCCTGGCTCAGCCTCCCAAGCAGCTGGAACTACAGGCACGTGCCACCACACTTGGCTAATTTTTGTATTTTTTTGTAGAGACAGGGTTTCACTGTGTTGGCCAGGCAGGTCTGGGACTCTTGGCCTCAAGTGATCCGCCCACCTTGGCCTCCCAAAGGGCAGGGATTACAGGTGTGAGCTACCAAGCCTGGCTCCACTCACCCTTTTGAGAAGGCTCATGGCTACTTAGTTTACTTACATTTTTTAAGAATACAATTAGTATTTGTACCAGGTTACATCTGTGTTCTCATTCCAAGGCTAATGTTTATTCTTTGTTACATTTAGATGCTAAGTAGAGTTAGACAAGAAGTGCCCTCTAATCCCAAATAAAGGTAAAATGAGTCAAAATGCCACAGGAGGAATTTGTTTCTTGAGAACAAAAGGTATCTTAGGAACATGTTCATTTTACACAACTGCTGCATTTACTAGGAACAATAACCTTAGAAATCTTGTTTGTAAATCAAGGGGTCCAACTTCATTTAAAATGTTACTTGATGCTTAAACACAAATACCCACTATCATTAATATAGGAATAAATGAGTCAATAAAGGAAAAATAAATGTAAACCAAGTTTATTTTGCTTTTTAAGTAGTGTTCTTAAAGCACTACAGCTTGGTAAACAATGTAAATTAGTATAAGTCATCTCAAAAGCCAGAGTTGTTTTGTTTTTTAATGAGTTGTTAAAAAGATGCAGCCTATTCTAACAGGATAAATATTTTTAACCATTTCACTTCGAGTTAATGAAGGCTCACAAATGAGCAACACTCCTCATTGAGGAAAACAAAAAGCTGTTGTCGACAAGCGACAGCACACACACACAAAAACAAAAAGAACTGTGTAAAAATAACTAACTGTGTTCCCATATTTTTGAAGTCGCTTTACAATGGGATGATATGCACATGATCTTGCTGCAATCTTGCCAAAGAGACTTTGTAATACATGTAGTCTAGACAAACGATTCAGTCCAAGAGGTGCTAACTTCAGACAATGCAGCACTATAATCCTTTAAACAACGCAATTTGTTTTACTCATTATCTTTTCTTCTAGGCTGAAATAGACTAGAAGGAAAATGCTCCCTAATTAAAAATTGGTATTGTTTACAGGAAAAATTGTATAATTTTGCATTAGAATTACAAGTATATGTTCAAATCGAATTTGCCTCCTCCCCCCAGCCCAGCCACAAAAATGGGCATGAAGTAAAATTTTTAAAAATGCCTTAATTTTCAACTTCATGCAAACTAAATAAAGATGACCAAAACAAAAGCTTAAACAATGGAAGGATATTTCACAGAAAATTTCTTATACAAAAAAACACATAAGAAAAAGGGCCACTAGGTGACATTTTAATTTACAAATTGGCATCATTTTGGTCGACAAATACCCACATGCTGTTTTCCTCTGCTAACGAGTTGCAGAGAAAAAAAACAGCATGAATTTGGATTTTAATCACACATTTCTTCTGGAATCTCATGTGGATTAAAGATGCCAGGGACAGACATTTGACGTTTATGTTTCTCTTCATCAGCCTGCCGTAGGGCTATTTCTCTCTCTTCCAAAAACAAATCAGAAGTGTCTTCACCTGCAAATTCCTGTGAAAACAGATAGTTGAAATGTCAACGCAATAAACTTCAACTTGCAAAGAAAGAAATCATAGATGAGCAATTTCCTTTTTAGAGAAGGAAGGAATATAAATTATCCATAAAGTGGCTGGGTTTTAAATTATAGGATAGTGACACAGTATACTACATAGCTGAATGAACTGCAAACCTGTTAACTGGTGGGGGGGAAGATTACAAAAGAATCATGGGCCCCGGCATGGTGGCTCACGCCTGTAATCCCAACTTTGGGAGGCAGAGACGGGAAGAATACTTGATGTCAGGAGACCACCCTGGCCAACATGGTGAAACCCTGTCATTACTAAAATTAGCCATGCATGGTGGCACAGGCGCCTGTAATCCCAGCTACTTGGGAGGCTGAGGCAGGAGAATCACTTGAACCTGCATGGCGGAGGTTGCAGTGAGCCAAGATCACGCCACTGCTCTCCAGCCTGGGTGATAAAAGCGAGACTGTGCCCCCCCAAAAAAAACAAAAAAAATGGTGTGATACCTTACAGTAAATAGTCTTCAATGTGATTATTATGCATTGTATGCTTCTACCGAAGTATCTCATGCATCCCATCCCCTAAGTATATACACCTACTATGTATTCACACAAATTTTGTTCTCTTTGTGATAGAGTCTTGTTCTGTAGCCCCAGCACATTATCTCAACCTCTTCCTCCAAGATGCAAGCAATTCTCCTGCCTCAGCCTCCCCAGCAGCTGGGATTACAGGCACCACCACATCTGGCTCATTTTTTGTATTTTTACTAGAGACGTAGTTTCACCATGTTGCCCAGGCTGATCTCAAACTCCCAAGCTCAGACAATCCACCTGTCTCGGCCTCCCAAAGTGCTAGGATTACAGGCATGAGCCACTGCACCCAGACACTTTTTTCTCTTTTCTTTTGAGAGGCAGTCTTGCTCTGTCGCCCAGGCTGGCGTGCAGTGTTATGATCTCAGCTCACTGAAACCTCTGCCTCCTGGGTTCAAGTGATTCTCCTGCCTCTGCCTCCCGAGTAGCTGGGACTACAGGCACCTGCCACCAGACCTGGCTAATTTTTGTATTTTTAGTAGAGATGAGGTTTCACCATGTTGGCCGGGCTGATCCTGAACTCCTGACCTCAACTGATCTGTCTGCCTCGGCCTCCCAAAGTGCTGGGATTACAGGTGTGAGCCACTGTGCCCAGCTAAAAATTCTTCATATGCCAAGATACCAAGAAAGATGTTTCTCCTAAGGCTAATTAATAACTGTCATTAAATTAAGTTTAGTTATATTATCATTGACTTCGTAGCTATCAGTTAACTTTTTTTTTTTTTTTTTGAGATGAAGTTTCACTCTTGTCACCCAGGTTGGAGTGCAATGACGTGATCTCGGCTCACCGCAACCTTTGCCTCGTGGGTTCAAGCAATTCTCTTGCCTCAGCCTCTCAAGTAGCTGCGAATACAGCTGTGCGCCACCACGCCTGGCTAATTTTTGTATTATTAGTAGAGACGGGGGTTTCACCATGTTGGCCGTGCTAGTCTCAAACTCCCGACATCAGGTGACCCACCCACCTTGGCCTCCCAAAGTGCTGGGATTACAGGCATGAGCAACTGCGCCCAGCCTAGGTAACTTTCATTAGTTTTTTAAAAATTGGCTAATATTTTTACAGTAAAAAAAAAAAACCTTTGTATTTTGGAGAAAATATTTAAGAGCTAAGAGACTAATTCTTATTCAACAATCATGGATAAACTATTCATCAACTACTTAGGGTTTCACAGTACTTCCAAATTTCTTTAAAGCAAGATGTTCAAAGAAAAACCCTTCCCAAAAGTATGAATAAAGCACTGTATAACAGCAGAAGAAAGACATTCTATCTAGTAACTTTCACAAGTTCCCTCAACTAACAAAATTGGTATAAAATTATAAAAAGAACTACCAACGTTTTTCTTACCCAATATTCCATTATACATTTAAGACTACCTAAAATGAATTACATTAGTAATAAGTTTATCCGAATAACATCTCAAACATATCTATCCTTATTGGACTTTAGTTTTTCACTGTATTACCAGTCTCAGGTTTTTTGATTACAGAGATTGTGTAAACGTATTATCTTGAAACCCCATTTATTTGGCATGACAAATCAAGTGATAAAAATTCTACAATGTAACATAAAAGTGGTCACATCTACCCCTAATATTTCTGCAAGAGCAAATAAATACATACCTTTATTTGAACTAGGAAATCTCTTAAATGTTCCTTGAAAGCAGGAATATCTTGATTTAAGCTGAAAAGCCCTGTCACAAAGAGCTTTACTTGAGCACTGCAAATCAAAACACAATGATTAAATAATGATTTATTTTTCCCCCGAGACAGAGTATTGCTCTGTCACCAGGCTGGAGTACAGTGGCATGATCTCTGCTCACTGTAATCTCTGCCTCCCGGGTTCAAGACATTCTCCTGCCTCAGCGTCCCAATAATGTTTTTTTTTTTTAATCAAGAATTTTTTTTTAATTTTTGAGACAAAGTTTTGCTCGTTTACCAGGTTGGAGTACAATCGCACAATCGCGGCTCACCGCAACCTCTGAAGCTATTCTCCTGCCTCAGCCTCCCAAGTAGCTGGGATTACAGGCATGCACCACCATGCCCGGCTAATTTGTATTTTTAGTAGAGACAGGGTTTCTCCATGTTGGTCAGGCAAATCTCAAACTCCTGACCTCAGGTAATCTGCCCGCCTAGGCCTCCCAAAGTGCTTGGATTACAGGCGTTTGCCACCGTGCCCAGCCTTTTTATTTTTTGAGACAGTCTTGCTCTGTCACCCACACTGGAGTGCAGTGGCACAATCTCGGCTCACTGCAACCTCTGCCTCCTGGGTTCAAGCAGTTCTCCCCCTCAGCCTCCCAAGTAGCTGGGATTTCAGGCACCCACCACCATGCCCAACTAATTTTTTGTATTTTTAGTAGAAACGGGGTTTCACCATCTTGGCCAGGCTGGTCTTGAACTCCTGACCTTGTGATTCACCCACCTCAGCCTCCCAAAGTGTTGGGATTACAGTCATGAGCCACCGTGCGTGGCCTTTTTTTTTTTTTTTTTTTTTTTGCTTTTTTAAAGAGGCAGGGTCTCACTCTATCACCCAGGCTGGTGTACAGTGGTGCGATCATAGCTCACTGCAGTCTTAAACTCCAGGATGCAAACAACCCTCTCGCCTCAGCCTCTCCAACAGCTGGTCCTACAGATGCATACCACTTCTGACTACTTTTTTTTTTGTAGAGACGGGATCTTGTTTTGTTGTCTAGGTTGGTCTCCAACTTTTGGGCCCAAGCAATCCTCCCACCTTAGGCTTCCCAAAGTGCTGGGATTACAGGTGTGAGCCACTGTGCCCGACCAGGAACATTCTACGTTTATTAAAAGGTATATTTACTCTTGTAGGTGAGGGAAGGCCGACTTAAGGAGATTAGCCACATATTCCTGAAGAAAGATTTGGTTGTTAACTGGATTTCCAGGATTTAATGATGTACTTATTTTTCCTTCTTCAACCAAATTAAACATATATGCAAGAATTGATGCATGCATTGTTAAACCTGTTGATAAGAAGAAAATTATTAACTCCAAAATGTAATATAACTATAGATCTTAGCGTTTTTTTTTGTTTTGTTTTTTTTTTTTAGACGGAGTCTCGCTCTGTCACCCAAGCTGGAATGCCGTGGCGCAATCTTAGTTCACTGCAACCTCTGCCTCCTCGGTCCAAGCCATTCTCCTGCCTCAGCCTCCCGAATAGGTGGGATTGCAATCACATGCCACCATGCCCAGTATTTTTATTGTATCTTTTATTTTTTTATGGTATTTTTAGTACAGACAGTTTCACCATGGTGGCCAGGCTGTTCTCGAACTCCTGACCTCATAATCTCCCCGCCTCGACCTCCCAAAGTGCTGGGATTATAGGCGTGAGGCCCTGTGCCCAGCTGGCACTTAACATTTAAATCGTATTAAATTCTTACCAGCAGTATGTGAAGTGTCTGTCACAACAGAAAAGATATGCTGGAGAATATCACAAAAATAAGTTTGATAAAAACTCTGAGCTGCAGCTTCTTCTTGTGCAACATTTTGTAAGAGTGTAAAAAGTATCTGTAAGCCTAAAAGACATAGAATACCAATGGAAAGTTACTACAGACTGACAGCACTCATGATAGTATTTAGCTCTTATCAAAGTATTCTGAATCTAACCCTGTTCTCCCTTTTTTTTGGGATGATGACTAATAATTACTTGCATAAGGTTTCTTAAATTAATAATGGAATACAACTATATCCAATGCTGGCTTACTTATAAATTATAATAAGTTGTGTGAGAGCTAAACTGTGAAGATGTAAAGGCATAAAGATCATATAATGGACTTTGGGGACTTGTGGGGAAGGGCAGGAGTGGGTGAGGGATAAGACTACACATAAGGTGGAGTTCATACACATGAGGGATAAGACTACACATAAAGTAGAGTTCATACTGCTCACATGACAGGTGCACCAAAATCTCAGAAATCACCACTGAAGAACTTATTCATGTAACCAAAAACCACCTGTTCCCCAAAAACTATTGAAATAAAAAAAGAACCTCATGAATATTTTTTAAAAGCCTATGGGAAAAAAATTACAATCTAAGTTATGACTATTACCACCCTTTCACCATTTCTGAAAGCTCAGCTGATTCTATATGAACTTCTACAACATCACTACCCAGTAGAACTTTGTATTACGCAAACCAATTATTACTAGGCCGCTCTCCCCATAACTCAATTCTGCCTATGGACTCACTTGGAGTGGAGTGGAACAGTTGATTAAACTGCTTATAGGATTTTCTCAGATGTTCATATATGTAATTCACACACTCAAAACTCTGAACAAGTAATACCTTCCTATGTACAATTAACTATATTTGTATTTTTGGATTGGCAGGCAAATGAATAAAAGAACATCTTTTATTTACCCGTATCTGCGACATTCCTCATAGTATGTTTGAAAGCCCAAATGATGGAATCCAAAACAAGTTTAAACTGTGTAGGTGGAATAGCAAGGAATGCTGGGAAACAATGAGAATTGACAGCCTGAAGTAGTAAGAAAAAGTTCGTTCTATGTTCAGGATATTCTTCAAAGTCCTAAAAATAAGTGGTGGAAACAAAATAATGTTTCAGTGTCTTTGTTGTGCTAGACAGGAGGGGAAAAGCAAGGCTTAATCCAGTATAAATATTTGGAGTTTTCAATAAACCACAGAAGATAGAATGCCTCCTGAAAGGTAAACCCAAGTAAAATACAATCCACCTCTCACGGAAAATGAAACTGTCCCGTTACGCACATGAGTTATCAAATTGAAGGAGAAAGACAACCTTTTTAATAGAGAACTCATCTAAACCATTATTACCATAAGACTACTACTATCACTTTTGTTTTTAATTTGAAATCACCACTACAGATTACAAAAAAATTTAAGTTACCGTGTAAATGTGTCCACTTAACGTATCTTTTATCTCTTTTTTCTTTTTAAACAGTCTCACTCTGTCACCCAGGCTGTAGTGCAGTGGCGCAATCTCAGCTGACTGCAACCTCCGCCTCCTGGGTTCAAGAGATTCTCCTGCCTCAGCCTCCCGAGTAGCTGGGACTACAGGCATGCGGCACCATGCCCAGCTAATTTTTTTTCTTTAGACAGAGTCTTGCTCTGTCACCCAGGCTGGAGTGCGTGGCGCGATCTTGGCTCACTGCAAGCTCCGCCTCCCGGGTTCATGCCATTCTCCTGCCTCAGCCTCTCCGAGTAGCTGGGACTACAGGCGCCCACCACCACACCCGGATAATTTTTTGTATTTTTAGTAGAGACAGGGTTTCACCATGGTCTCCATCTCCTGACCTCGTGATCTGCCCACCTCGGCCTCCCAAAGTGCTGGGATTACAAGCGTGAGCCACGGCACCCAGCCTAATCTTTGAGTAGAGATGGGGTTTCACCATGTTGGTCAGGCTGGTCTTGAAATCCTGACCTCAGGTGATCCACCGGCCTCGGCCTCTCAAAGTGTTGGGATTACAGGTGTTGAGCCACCACGCCTGGCCATTTTTGTATTTTTAATAGAGATGGGGTTTTGCCACGTTAGGCAGGCTGGTCTTGAACTCCCGACCTCAGGTCATCCGCCCGCCTTGGCCTTCTGAAGTGCTGGGATTACAGGTGTAAGCCACCATGGCCAGCCTATTTTCTCTTGTTAACACATTTTTCAGTTTCTTATAAGCATATACTACACTTTTATAATTGAAACATGCAGACTTACTTTCTCATTTATTCAAACCAATTAATACAACTACGTTCATAAAAGGATGCCCCGACCTATGAGGTTTCAATAAATGCTACATACCATGTGAATGCTAAAATCTGTTTTCCATATTTACTTTTTACCAATCAAGATTCTGTGTAGTAAATTCTTCTTCTTGGAGTGCAGTGGCGCAATCTCAGCTCACTGCCATCTTGAACTCCCAGGCTCAAGTGACCCCCCCCCCCACTTCAGCCTTTCGAGTAGTTGGGACTACCGGCACATGCCACCATGACTGGTTACTTTTTGAACTTTTTGTAGAGATGAAGTCTCACTATATTGCCCAGGTTGGTTTCAAACTCCTGGGAAGTAAGTTCTTGAAAACCAAGAAAGTATTTCCCTAATATACAAGTTTAAATATTTAAACTCCATGGCATTAAAATTATGTTATATCCACAGACATACTTTAGCTTTCAAGAATTAAGGCTATCCTGCAGAATTTCCCCCTTACATAACTGAAATATTACACACCTTATTTATCATATTCAATGTGCATTCAAAAACAGCATCAAATATTTGAGGTATTTCAGCTGTTATATGTCCCCCTAACTTGTTGACAATTATGGCCATAGTACTAAGCACTTCTGGTTCTCTAGCAGCTGGGACATTTCTCTGATAATCAATGAGAACTGCATCCAACAGAGGGGGAACAAAATTTTCAGCGACCTGTTGGGGAGGGAAAAAAAAGTTATGTTTTAATTTAGGTACATGGTGACTATTTTAAACAACAAGGTTATTCCTGTCTATGAGATGTAGCATGATCATCTACTGAAAACAGGAAAATCTTGTGTTTGTATTAGGGTTTCCTACGTCAAAACAGTTTTTAGCAAAAGAAAGCAGGAAATCACAATGGGTTGGGAAGTCTCATGGACACACTGTCATTCAAGACTTTTTTTTTTTGAGACAGTCTCACTGTCACTCAGACCAGAGTGCAGTGGCAAATCTCTGCTCACTGCAACCTCCACCTCCCAGGTTCAAGCAATTCTTGTGCCTCAGTCTCCTGAGTAGCTGGGACTATAGGTATAGCACCATGCCCAGCTACAAAACTCTCACAATAAGAAAAGTGAGGCTCAAAATTCAGTGGGTGTCTCCAACTTAGGTGGCAGAATCAGGATTCTACGTATACTGTATATGTAAGATGGCAGCAAGCGAGCCCTCAATACTGTCTTTTTATTTTTGAGACGGAGTCTTGCTCTGTCGCCCAGGCTGGAGTGCAGTGGTGCCATCTTGGCTCACTGCAAGCTCCGCCTCCAGGTTCACGCCATTCTCCTGCCTCAGCCTATCGAGTAGCTGGGAGTACAGGCACCTGCCACCACGCCCAGCTAATTTTTTATATTTTTAGTAGAGACGGGGTGTTTCACCGTGTTAGCCAGGATGGTCTTGATTTCCTGACCTCGTGATCCACCCAACTCAGACTAATGTTTTAATCTAATGAATGCTAACTGGTGAGTATTTTCACAAGCAGAAATAACATCAATCAATTACTCTCAGAAAATAAGAAAGACTATGGATTTCTATTATTTTTTTGAAACTGAATCTTGCCATGTTGCCTAAACTGGACTTGAGCTGGGGTGATTCGCCTGCCTTACCCTCCCTGGTGGTTGGGATTACAGGTGCATGCTACAATGCCCAGTAAGATTTTCATGATTCTAAGTAAACTGAGTTATACTTAAAGAGTAACTTCTTGTTCTTTTTTTTTTTTTGAGACGAAGTTTCCCACTTGTGGCCCAGACTGGGGTGCAATGGCGCAATCTTGGCTCACTGTCACCTCCACCTCTGGGGTTCAAGTGATTCTCCTGCCTCAGCCTCCTGACTTCAAGTGATCCACCCGCCTCGGCCTCCCAAAGTGCTGGGATTACAGGCATGAGCCACCGTGAAAAGCCAAGACAAGGAAAATAAACACAATGTTTCATGTGAACAAATATCCCAAACTTTAACATTAATGTTACAAAAGATGATACCCTTTGTATTATTCCCACTGTGCTCCCGACACGTGCTCAAGCTTCTTGTAAATTACAAACATCACAATTCCTTCAATACATCTTACTTTCTGCTTTCAAATTTTAAATACAGTTCTGTTCACATAATACGCATGTTCAGAACCTTTCGATATTTAGGTTAGCCAACTTAAGTATTCCACAAGAATTATATTCAGAACAAGTTTACTGAAAAGTATTTCCTTAACAAGAAACAATACTGAAATTTCAAAACTATGAAAATAACTAGCACACTTGTAAAAAAAAAAACCAAAAAACAAAAAACCAACACTATTCCAAGTAATAGTAGTATTAGAATTTTTTGGACTCTCCCAAGGCTCAATTGAATAACAAGAATGAAACGATACAGTTAAAACCTAAAACTAATTCACAATTTTACAAGTTGAGGCATACGCAGCTGGTTTTTATTACTGAAAATGATTTCCTTTTCTGCAAATCATTTAGGAAAAAGGGTGTAAAAAAGACTTTCAGGCCTTTAATCTGGGAAGCAATCACTTTGCTAAAGAGGTAAAGTAATGACAACTTTGTAGCTCTAGCAATTGTTCTAAAAATCAAGAGGAATGCAAAAACTGCACCGGTACTCCATTAATTAAATCCTCCTAACCTATCTATGGAAACATAAAATGACCCAATTTTCTTAGCTATCTTGTTACATATCACCACCCTTCGCTACTGATTAACAGCAGTTTCTTTTGAAGATGGAATACAGCTATTAGTATATTAACGTAAGGACTACAATAAATAAAATGCCATAAAATAACCACAAAGTTGATATGCTTTAAATTAGCAAAATGCACATAATAGAGTATAGCATATTCCATAAAACACAGCATCAACACTAGAAATCAAAAGCAAAGCATCTCTCACTTACCATCTGTGGATCATTGGATCGGCTCACCCAACCAGATATTAACTTTAAAGTTTCCCTTTTTACAGTTCGCATACTTCTAATCAATGGTTGCTTTGTAACCATTTCACCTACAAAACAGAATCAAATGGAATCTAATTTTACCACTAAACTTATACAGTGGTACTCAGGTGTACATTAGATGCAATTCCATTTTACCATTAAAAAGTTTAAAGCCAAAAGTTCACAAAATTTATTGGGAAAATAAGCTTTAAGACTAATTTTAAAAGGGAAAGGTACACTTAACTGTTTTAAATATGTCTAGGGTCATTTGGGAAATGGGAGGTCTGATTTAAATCTGTAAAAAACATCAAATGTTTGACTTAAGGCAGTAGAAGAGAAGTGGTTTGTTTATACTGCATTGTGTAAGAAATCAGAATCACCTACCATTAGCTTGGATAGCTGCAGAAATATTTTCACTGAGGCACTTGTATACATTAAGCATATCTAAATAAATTCTTCCAAGCTGAATTACAAAGGGGTGTCCAACAGCTTTGCAGGCTCTCACATTTGTTTTCAAAATGCTACCAAGCTGCTTGACTGTTTCAGGATCTTTCAGTATATCCACATTCTTGGAGGAAAAAAAGCAAATTCCATTTATCATATAAGAATTATCCACGGCTGGGAACAGTGGCTCACGCCTGTAATCCCAGCACTCTGAGAGGCCGAGGCGGGCGGATGATGAGTTCAGGAGATCGGGACCATCCTGGATAACACGGTGAAACCCCGTCTCTACTAAAAATACAAAAAAAATAGCCAGGCGTGGTGGCAGCCGCCTGTAGTCCCACCTACTCGGGAGGTTGAGGCAGGAGAACGGCGTGAACGCTAGAGATGGAGTTTGCAGTGAGCCGAGATCGCACCACTGCACTCCAGCCTGGGCGAAAGAGCAAGACTCCGTCTCAAAAAAAAAAAAAGAATTATCCATCATAATGGCCAGGCGAGGTGGCTCACACCTATAATCCCAGCACTTTGGGAGGCTGAGTCGGGTGCATCACCTGAGGTCGGGAGTTCAAGACCAGCCTGACCAACATGGAGAAACCCTGTCTCTACTAAAAATACAAAATTAGCCAGGCACAATGGTGCTTGCTTGTAATCCCAGCCACTTGGGAGGCTGAGGCAGGAGAACTGCTTGAGCTCGGGAGGCAGAGGTTGCAGTGAGCCGAGATCACGCCATTGCACTCCAGCCCGGGCACCAAGAGTGAAACTCCATCTCAAAAAAAAAAAAAATCCACATAATTACCAAAGCAAAAGCCATTACGCTTCCCTTACCCTAAACCATATTTATAATCCCAAATGGTAAAAACGAACACAAACGCCTTTTTGTCTACATCTACTTAAGAATGAAGTAATATAGTTCTATTTTTTTTTTTTTGGGACGGAGTCTCGTTCTGTTGCCCAGGCTAGAGTGCAGCGGCGTGATCTCGGCTCACTGCAAGCTCTGCCTCCCAGGTTCACGCCATTCTCCTGCCTCAGCCTCCTGAGTAGCTGGGACTTACAGGCGCCCGCCGCCACACTCAGCTAATTTTTGTATTTTTAGTAGAGACAGGGTTTCACTGCGTTAGCCATGATGGTCTCGATCCCCTGACCTGGTGATCCGCCTGCCTCGGCCTCCCAAAGTGCTGGGATTACAGGCATGAGCCACCACACCCAGCCTATTCCTATTTTAATATCAAATGAGAATGGAAATTACAGTATTTTTTTTTTTTTTTGAGACAGAGTCTTCCTCTGTCACCAGGCTGGAGTGCAGTGGCATGCTCTTGACTCACTGCAAGCTCCGCCTCCTGGGTTCAAGCCATTCTCCTGGCTCAGCCTCCCGAGTAGCTGGGATTACAGGCGCCCACCACCATGCCTGGCTAATTTTTGTATTTTTAGTAGAGACGGGGTTTCACCACGTTGGCCAGGATGGTCTCAATCTCCTGACCTAGTGATCCACCCGTCTCGGTCTCCCAAAGTGCTGGGATTACAGGCGTGAGCCACCGAGCCCGGCCCAGATTTTTCATTTATTTTTTTTTTTTTGAGACAGAGTCTTGCTCTGTCGTCTCGGCTAGAGAACAGTAGCTCAATCTCGGCTCACTGCAACCTCTGCCTCTTGGGTTCAAGTGATTCTCCTGCCTAAGCCTCCTCAGTAGCTGGGATTACAGGCATGTGCAACCACGCCCAGCTAATTTTTGTATTTTTAGTAGAGACGGGGTTTTGCCATGTTGGCCAGGCTGATCTCGAACTTCTGGCCTCAGGTGATCCGCCCGCCTCGGCCTTCCAATGTGCCAGGATTACAGGCGTGAGCCACCACACCTCGCCCAGATAATAAATTATAGAAAGACACACATAAAAGCACTTATGGATCACACATACATGTTAAAAGGCTTGAATTCAATACATTTGTAAAGAACACGTCTTGTTAAATCCCATGAAAACTTTTAAGAAAAGGTAGAAATACTTACTTTGGTTGCCTGCTGGATTATACTATCCCACACTTGATTAGGGAGTAACATGTACTTTTCTATCAAGTGTTCTTGTACTGTTTGATCTGTTTGTGCACCAATCATGTACCCCACAGCTTCATAAAACGTATGAACCTATTTTAAAAAGCAGACATTTTAACGTTTATGTTATACACCCTAATAAGGAAAACCACACACAAGCAATTCACAAACGTCTTGAAACTGATTTTGGCCCAGGTGCAGTGGATCACTCCTGTAATCCCAATACTTTGAGAAGCCAAGGCAGGCCAATCACTTGTGGTCAGGAGTTGCAGACCAGCCTGACCAACGTGGTGAAACCCCATCTCTTCTACAAATACAAAGAAATTAGCCAAGCGTGGTGGCAGGTGCCTATAATTCCAGTTACTTGGGAGGTTTGAATTGCTTGAACCTGGGAGGCAGAGGTTGCAGTGAGCCGAGATTGCAATACTGCACTCGAGCCTGGGTGACAGAGGAAGACTCCACCTCAAAAAACAAACAAACAAACAACCCAAACTGGCCAGGCATGGTGGTGGCTCACGCCTGTAATCCCAGCACTTTGGGAGGCCGAGGCGGGCGGATCATGAGGTCAGGAGTTGGAGATGAGCCTGACCAACATGGAGAAACCCCGTCTCTACTAAAAATAAAAAAATTAGCTGGGCGTGGTGGCAAGCACCTGTTAATCATAGCCACTGAGGAAGAGAATCGTTTGACCCCAGGAGGCAAGGCTGCAGTGAGCCGAGATTGCGCCACTGCACTCCAGCATGGACGACAGAGTGAAACTCCATCTCAAAAAACAAACACACACACACACACACACACACACACACACACACACCCCAAAACAAAACAAAACAAAAAACACCTGATTTTGTTTGTTCGGAA
The DNA here is from genome assembly GCF_000001405.40 of Homo sapiens. Lineage (NCBI taxonomy): Eukaryota > Metazoa > Chordata > Mammalia > Primates > Hominidae > Homo > Homo sapiens. Next base: position 61,491,545 of record NC_000002.12, read on the forward strand.
TAATTTTACATAGGACAACAGCCTAACAATCTTCTGGTCAAGAATCTGTCTCACTATGAAAATTTAACCAGGCTGGGCGTGGTGGCTCACACATATAAAATCATTTTGGGAGGCTGAGGCAAGCGTATCGCTTGAAGCTAGGAGTTCAAGACCAGCCTGGGCCACTTGGCAAAACCCCATCTCTACCAAGGGGGGGAAAAAGGTTAGCTGAGTGTGATGGCAGTGCATGCCTGTAGTCCCAGCTACCCACGAGGCCAAGGTGGGAGGATCACCTGAGCCTGGGAGTTCAAGGCTGCAGTGAGCCGTAATTGTGCCACTGCACTCAAGCCTGGGCAACAGAGTAAGACCCTGTCTCAAGGAAAAAAGAAAGAAAATTTAATCAGAAACACTTCTATTGGATCCAATAGTTGCCCTCCTATTTCCATTGATACATACAGATTGATACAAGTGTTACTTTCTAAAAATAACATATGCTCAGTGCTTAACATACCTGTTGAGGCTGAAGATCACAAATAATAGTGTTAATGTTGTTCAAAATTTCATCAATAAATGGCATCACTTCTCCAACCTGAACCTGAACGAAATGCCTGCGGCATTTTTGGGCTATTTTAATGAAAGTATCACAAGCCATATCCTGGACTCCATCATGGGTCTCTAACAAGACAAAAATATTCATTTATTTTGTCCTGGACTCCATCATGGGTCTCTAACAAGACAAAAACATTCATTTATTTTCTTCAATAAAAATAAAAGCAAAATATAGTAAAGAAAGAGATTTACCATGCATGAATTCGAACAGCTTGTTAACTACAGTCTTCAGAAATTTCCAGTGAGCTCTCAAAAAACGTGGGTATTGACCTACTATGTACATGATATTTGATGCAATAATAGCTTTATTATCTTTGCCTCTTTTCTGTTCACATAATCCTAATAGATCCTGTAAATAAGACAAATTTGTATTATTTATTGTAACAACATAATACTTATTTAGCAATTCTAATTCATACCTATCCCTTGCATACCTTTATAACAGTAACAAGAAATCGTTTTTCGTCCTCTTCATGCATTGCTCCACTAATGGAGCCTATTGCCCAACACAATGTATTCAAATTTTTCCATGACCACTCTGTACCATTCACTTGATTGTGAAGCTTCTCTGTCATTATTCTTTCTGTATCTACATAATCCAGATGAGTAAGATAAACTACAAAGAAAAACATGGTTTCAAATGCAAATAATGAGCAGAATTTTATTGATGAGTAACAATACATTTAGAAAATATTTAGAAACTACAAGTACATTTCCTAAAATGTATTTCCACCCCAGAATAGATTTATAAAGGTAAAGATTAACAGTATTTATTAACTTACCCAATGTTTCCCTCATATTCTTATACAAATTTATGGAATCTGTATCCTTCATGAATTCTCTCACAACTTCTCCTTGATCATTCTCTACAACCAATACTTCCTCTGGTTTAGCCATTCGACTAACCATTAATAAACGGACCTATACTCAACAATATATCAATCAAGAAAAAAATCGTTAGATCACTGAAATCATTAGTGTAGAAGCTTAGTTAAAAACAAACAAAACCAAAAAAACCACAAGCCAGCCATGTGTAGGGATTCATGCCTATAATTCCAACTATTCCGGAGGGCCGAGGCAAAAAGAACTGTTGTGGCCAGGAATTTGAGAGCAGCTTGAGCAACACAAAATGACACCCAATCTCTAAAACAATAAAAATACTGGGGCTTAAAGCACAACAGAAAAAACTATGTAAATATAAATGAAGTAAAACTAAAAAATTTAAAATTTGCTAGGCATGGTGGTGTGTGCCTGCAACCAATTACTTGGGAGGCTGACACAAGAGAATTGCTTTAGTCTAGGAGTTCAAGATTGTAGTGAGCTATGACCACGCCACTGCACTCCAACCTGAGCCACAGAGCAAGACCCTGTCTCCAAAAGAAAAAATTTTTTTTCACTGTAATTCTACAAAAATGGCTTTATAATTATTTAAGTGTGTTTTAATGTGATTTTTTTAACCAACTTCTGTTACAGGAGTTTCCTGTGTCTCATTCCTAGACTCTGGTTTAGTAGATTGGCAGGTGGCCAATGAATTTGCCTAACGAAATCACAACCAATGTTGATACTGAGAGAAGGACCACACTCTTGAGAATCAAGGTTCTAGACTCAACTCCTTTCATGTTCTAGTTTTCCACACTCATGGAGAAGTTGTTGGGTTCTCTTTTTATAGCTAATTTATTTACACAGATTAGAAGTATTTGGATTCAGACCTCAAAACCACAGTATGCAACAGGAAGAACACTCAACCAACCGCTCTGTTACCTTGAATAACATGGGCAAATATAGCTGTCTCCTGGGAGGAACATCAAAATGTTGACTTCCAGAAAGCAACGGAGAGGCAGATGTAGAGAATGGACTCTCTCTATAGAGTTCAGCAGCCAAATGATTCCAGTATTCAAGACAAATTTTAAAGATTTCAGTTTCTTCTACTTCAGATACCAACAACATATAATGAAGGGCCTACACAGAAGACCAAAACTGTTAAAATAATTCTTAAACATTACCAACTTCAAATTGCTTTTCACTTGTTACACCTTAAGGGAAAATAAAAATTCATGTTTTATTCATCACAACTCAGATTTCAATACTTATCAAATAGACAGCAAACTCTGGAGTAACTCTGCTTCTTCTGACATGCCCTAAAGCACTTCAAAAATCTCTCACATAGTAGTTGATCAATATGTATTTTTATCATGTCTCCTAATGGAACGACATTTATTTAAAAGGCCTTGGGTGCCAATAAGTGGTATCACAACCCAAATGTACCATCACAGAGGAGAGAACAAACAAAATACTGAATATTCATACAATGAGAATATTCTTCAGACATGATAAAAAGTGAGGTATTGATACAGGTTACAACATGGAAGAACATTGAAAACACAACACCAAATAAAAGAAACCAGACACAAAAGGTCACATGCATGATTCCCTTTATATGGTATAATCAGAATAGATATATCTACAGAGACAGAAACCAAAATAATGGTTGCCAGAAGTTGGGGAGAGAACAAAGGAGAAAGTGACTGTTTTAGGGGTAAAGGGTCACCTTCGGGTGATGAAAATGTTTTGGATCTAGGTATTAATGGTTGTATAACATTGTATATATACTAATATGCCACTGAATTGTGTGTGTGTGTGTATATATATATATACTTATGTTTATATATATATATACTTAAGTTTATATATATATATAAAGAGAGAGAGAGAGACATTTTCTTCCTTCAGACAGAGTCTTGCTCTGTCACTCAGGCTGGAGTGCAGTACTGTGATCTTGGCTCACTGCAACCTCAGCCTACTGGGCTAAAGCAATTCCTGTGCTTCAGCCTCCTGAGGAGCTGGGATTACAGTCATGTGACACCACGCACAGCTAATTTTTTTGTATTTTTAATAGAGACAGAGATTCACGATGTAGGCCAGGCTGGTCTCGAACTCCTGCCTCAAGTGATCCACCCACCTCCGCCTCCCAAAGTGCTGGGATTACACGATGAATTGTATATCTTTAAATGAACAAATGCATGTTATTTGAATTAAAACTGAAATTTTAAAATAAGGTCTTTGAAATTTTAACCTTAGAAATGATATAATAATTAGTAATTTAATTTTGATTATAAATTTTTAGTCCTAGCTTTATGGAGAACATAAAATCAGAAAACTGGGCTTATAACTGTAATTCAGAATTGAGAATATATATAATGTACTGATCAAATATTAAGTAATAAGAAATCTCAAAAGGTACATACATTTTAGAAAAAGGCACTTTTAAGAGTTATTAGTAGGCAGAGCAGAATTTTAGGAGCAAAAGCTCCACATATCTTACCTCCATAAGAGTTTCCCTGAGATTTAATCTTTTTTCTATAAGTTGATCATGTTCCTTAAGAAAGGTGCAGAGAAACAAACTGAGATTTTGAATGAAGTTCTGTTCATCATCTTTTCCATTTGAGTACGCAAGTCGAATATTGGTATTTAAAGGAAGCATCTGCAAATTTTAAAAGGGACGATCAGTTCGCATTTTATAAAACAACTAAAGACACTTAATATTTTATTATTATTTTTTTGAGACAAGGTATCACTCTGTCCAGGCTGGAGTGCAGTGGTATGACCAAAGCTCACTGCAGCCTCCACCTCCTAGGCCCAATCAGTCCTCCTCAGCCCCTCCCGAGTAGCTGGAACCACAGGTATGTGCCATCGCACTAAGCTTATTTTTAACATTTTTGTAGAGACGGTATCTTGTTATGTTGTCCAGGCTGGTCTCAAACTCCTGGCTCAAGCAATCCTCCCACCTTAGCCTCCCAAAGTGCTGGGATTAAAGGTCTGAGCTATTGCACTCAGCCAACACTATTATTTTTAAGCCCTAATATCCCAACACCCTTTTGCTAATATTAAACCACATACAGAACTCCTAGGTCCAGTATACCTATTCTTATATCTCTAGGACTTAGATTTTGACTCTTCTCAAATAAATTAAAGGCCGCTATCACAGCCTTTAAATTTTTCTAGTATTTCTCACTGACATTGAAAAATGTAAAAATAATCAATTCATTCATTCAGATCACAAACATACATAGTAATCTATCTTTCCTTGTTTTTTAAAAGAGACAGGGATTTACCCTGTCATCCAGGCTGGAGTGCAATAGTGTGACCATAGCTCATTTTAACTTTGTATTAATAGGCTCAAGCGATCCTATTGCCTCAGCCTCCAGAGTAGCTGGAACTACAGGTGTGCAACACCACAGCTAGCTATTTTTTAAATCTTTCGTAGGTATGGTCTGGTTATGTTGTCCTGGCTGGTCTCGAACTCCTGGCATCAACTGGTCCTCCCATTCTGGCCTCCCAAAGTTCTGGGATTACAGTATTAACCACCATGCCTGGCCATGAACACAGTATTATGAATAACCTTCTAGATCATTTAATAGATAACCAATCAAACTAGGGCTGAAAAGAATTCCTTCAGACACAATGTTAGGAACAAGTCCCAGGTTTCCCACTGTCTGGTCAGGTATCTCCCAAAAGACCAAGCTCCTAAAGTGTGCAGAAATAAATTACCACAACACACCCCAAACCTGAATTTTAAGAAATTTTTGGAAACATCATAAAAATTTGTAGCTTACTACAAATTTTATGTAATAAACAAAAGATTATGGCTTATCTTTGATACGTCGTTCTAAAATAACTCATTTGGAATTTGGTATTTTCTAAGGCACTAAAATTATTCAGCCAATTTTCAAGATAGTATTATATTACCTGCTTTAGTTGCATCATTGTCAGAGTAAATAGTGTTACAAATTGTTCTTCATATTGGCTTACACTCACACCAGCAATCTCAGTGAGGCACTTCAGAGAGACATTTCGAAACATTGGAACATTCAGGAACTATTTAAAAGGGGGGAGGGAACCATAAAATTAATTGGCCTGATACACACTTTACTTAAAATTCACAATTAAAAGGAAAAAGGCTTTAACAATTAAATATAGGGGTAGATGTCAAAAACAGGCCAAGTGAATGAACATATTTTATCATGCAGATATACTGAGAGGGAATTTTATTGCCTACCTAGTATACAGTAAATGCTTTAGGAGCAAACTTTTTTTGTTTTTTTGAGACAGAGTCTCGCTCGCCCAGGCTGAAATGCAGGGGCTTGATCTCGGCTCACTGCAACCTCACCTCTTGGATTCAAGCGATTCTCCTGCCTCAGCCTCTCAAATAGCTGGGACTACACATGCATGCCACCACGCCCGGCTAATTTTTGTATTTTTAGTAGAGACAGGGTTTTGCCACGTTGGGCCAGGCTGGTCTCGATCTCCTGACCTCGTGATCCGCTCACCTCGACCTCCCAAAGTGCTGGGATTACAGGCGTGAGCCACAGCGCCCGGCCTAAACTGCTTTCTTTTGATGTGTCCTAAAATAACAAGGCTCCTTAACAACTTTCCTAGAATCTGTGATATGACTTTTAGGAATGTTATACTTTCTGTGTAATTACACAGGACCTAAAACTTGTGATTGCTTAGAATTTTGGGAAATGGTCAATGTATCTAAGAGTAATAAGAATATGGGAAAATTGGCTTATATATTCTATTGTTGAGAAGATAAACAGTTATCGTCTGGGGTTGGAAATCAGGGGGCATTAAAACCTTAAAATTAAACATACCTAATAATCTGGTGATTAAACATTAAAATATTTAAATAAATTAATGTTTGGACAATTGCATAATATCTTATGTCTGAGAATGTTCTCTGTAGGACTGTTGACAATAGAAAGGTTTTTACATAATTAAGCAATAAACTGATCATTCAAATACTATAAATCCATATTATCTTACCAAACTAAACTACGAAGTTGAAGAGGTCAAGTTATAATGTTCCAATTAGATACTTAATTTATTCATTATATCAGTCAAGAAAACATCTGAAAATATAATACAACCAACTGGTAACAGTGATTATCTCTGGATAAACCACTGTAGAACTTTACTTATTTTGAGACAGGGTCTCGCTCTGTTGCCCAGGCTGGAGTGCAGTGGCACGATCTTGGCTCACTGCACCTTCTGCCTCCTGAGTTTGAGATTCTCCTGCCACAGCCTCCCGAGTAGCTGGGACTACAGGCATACACCACCACGCCTGGCTGTTTTGTATTTTTAGTAGAGACCGGTTTCACCAACTTGCCCAGGCTAAACCATTATAGAACTTAAGCCATAACATGGTATCAATTTTAAATTATCAGTTAAAAGATGAACTTTTCATTTTTCAGAAATAGCACTTGACTTACCTCACTGTAACTTACTCAAACTAAAAGCAATATAATCAAATCCATTGTTCAAAATGAATTCATAAAATTACATGGTCTAAGTGGCAGAATCAGATTTGAAACTCACTTTAAATAATTTACTAGGTGTGAATATGGGAAATTTCTCCTGAGCAGCGTCCTCGTGTTAGAAACAAGGTTGAATAAGGTTTAGAATGCAGAGATGAGAGCTTTACATGTGAAAAGAATATATGTGGCTATCCGGTGACAAATAACTGAAATGTATTCACTGTACCTTATAAATCAATGTGCTGATTAATTTGGTCTCAAAAATATATCCCAGGGGAATCCAGTTCAGAAATCTGAGCAATGTTTCCAAGGTTGCATGTACAAGTGGAGCATTTTGAGAATTTTCCTATAACAAAACACACTTGTAAATAATTGCTTTCCTATTATTGTTTTTAAAAATGAAATTAAAAACACTTACCATTACAAACTGACACAGTTGAAATATCTGTGAGAATTCATTGCACATGCTAAAAAAAAAAACACACAAAAATATCAGATTTAGAAGACACAGAAATAAGTATCAGTTATCTATAATACTAATAAAAATGATTAAAGCCCAGTACAGTGGCTCATGCCTGTAATCGCAGAACTTTGGGAGGCCATGGCAGAAGGATTGTTTGAGACCAGCCTGGGCAACCCAAGGGGAAAAAGATTTCCTAATGACTACAACAAATGTTTAAAACTTAATGGAAGTATAACTATAGTTTATACCAGTTGCTTACTATTAGAGGCAAATCTAGTTTTCTGTTTTGTTTTAAAAAGAACACTATTGTTAACAATTGGGGAACTGAAAAGAAGCAGAGACAATAACTGATTTGAGGCCAGGCTCTGTGGCATGCACCTGCAGTCACAGCTATTTGGGAAACTGAGGCAAGAAAATCACCTCAATCCAGGAGGTGGGGGTTGTGGTGAGCCAAGATTGCGCTGCTGCACTCCACCCCAGGCAATAGAGCAAGACTTGTCTCAAAATAAAATAAAATAACTAATACGTATGTTTGGACACAAATCATTTGCTTAGAACCTATTAAACTAGTTACCATACAAAACAATTCCTGAAGTGTGTCTTGAACAATTCATTTTTCAACCTTCAGAGGTAAATTATTAGGCCCCGTCTAGGACTATTTCTTAATCTGCAGTTGAAAACCACTACAAGCAATTTAACATATTACTGATCATAGTTCCTTAAAATATCTACAATTTACATCCAAACTGCTTGAAATTGTTTGAGAAATCACTTTAAAATTCTAAAACATAATTATTACTTGCCTGTCTTTTAAATGCTTAGATTTGACTTGGGTTATCTGTCCACTAGAGAAATCAAATACTTCTTCACTCAAGAGTTTAAGAATCACCATATTATTTTGACAGAGACTTTCGCTGGTCCTACTTGCTCCAACAATATCACTGATAAAAGTTGGCCAATGTTTGGGCCATTCTTGTTTCAGTATCTAAAACAAGACATGAAATGTTAATCGCACTTCATTTCTCAAAGGCAAATAAAACAAACTTCAAAGAAATTATGTAATGGATAAAGGCAGGAGTAAGGATAAATCACTTTTCATTTTCTCCTCCTTTATTAAAGGAAGAAATGTGCCACCCTCTTCACCCTACTGGGTAGAAAACAAAACACAAAGTCTTTTATCTTAATCACCGCAGGACCCTTTTCAATTATCCTAATGAAAGGTCCAATCCGTCTAATGGGTCTGTCTGTGTATTAGTATCTGCCTGATAGATATGTAGAAATTATTCTAGGAGGCCTTGCGCGGTTGCTCATGCCTGTAATCCCAGCACTTTGTGGGGAGCCAGGGTGGGCAGATCACTTGAGGCCAGGAGTCTGAGAACAGCCTGGCCAGGCTGGGCGTGGTAGCTCGTGCCTGTAATCCCAGCACTTTGGGAGGCCGAGGTAGGAGGATCACGAGGTCAGGAGTTCAAGACCAGCCTGGCCAACATGGTGAAACCCTGTCTCTACTAAAAATACAAAAATTAGCGAGGCATGGTGACGTGTGCCTGTGATCCCAGCTGCTCGGGAGGCTGAGGCAGGAGAATCTCTTGAACCTGGGAGGCAGAGGTTGCAGTGAGCCGAGACCAGGCCACTGCACTCAAGGCTGGGCAACAGGATGAGACTCCATCTCAAAAAAAAAAAAAAAAAAAAGAGCAGCCTGGCCAACATGGTGAAACCCCGTCTCTACTAAAAATACAAAAATTAGCCAGGGGTGGTGGCGCGGGCCAGTAGTCTCAGCTACTGGGGAGGCCAAGGCAGGAGAATTGCTTGAACCTGGGAGGTGGAGGTTTCAGTGAACTAAGACGGTGCCACTGCACTCCAGCATGGGCGACAGAGCGACACTCCATTTCAAACAAGAAAAGAAGAAATTATCCTAGGAGACTCAAGGATTTAATTAACCATTGGTGATAAAAAGTGACCGGTTAAGACAGCTTATTATTGGATGCAATTTGAGCCTTGAAATGTAGTAGGGTTTGGATATATGAATTTAAAAGAGAGGACGCACTGCAATCGGGGCCTGAATAAACTTTTAACCAAAAGCCTCATGAACTGCATTATATTTGTATGCAAGTCTGGACTATTTATGGCACACACAAGGGATTTTTCAGATTATAAAAATACATGTTAACCTTCTTTATATTCTCTCCTCTCTCTCACCACTCAGAGAAGGGCTAACAGAAAGCTCTAAAGTATAATAAAAGCTGGAGTTAATTACTGAATACACTAAAATTTTTGGAAGCTTGGATGTTTCTAAGTCTTATTTAAATAGAAATTACTGTTTTTTCCCCCACACATACCAGGGTTCTCTGGAAAAAATTTTATGATATTACTATAGAAAACAGATAAACATAAAAATTATAAATTTAGTCTACATAGACAGTTTAAGGACTAAGCATGGAAATCAATTAGAAGGACGAGGAAATCAAAGGACTCAGAGACATACATGCAAAGGAAATATGCACAGGCATATCAGAAAATTAAAAAACAATCCGGCCAGGTGCAGCGGCTCACACCTATAATCCCAGCACTTTGGGAGGTCGAGGTGGGTGGATCACCTGAGGTCAAGAGTTTGAGACCAGCCTGGCCAACATGGTGAAACCCTGTCTCTACTAAAAATACAAAAAATTAGCCAAACGTGGTGGTAAGCACCCGTAATTCCAGCCACTCAGGAGGCTGAGGCAGAACAATCGCTTGAACCCGGGTAGCAGAGGCTGCAGTGAGCCGAGATCATGCCACTGCACTCCAGCCTGGGCAACAGAGGGAGACTGTCTCCAAAAAAAAAAAAAAAAGAAAAGAAAAGATAAATAAGAATCCAACAGAGTCCAGTCCACACTGCAGCCACATAAATGATGGCTTTAACGTTATTTGATGATTACTGCCACAGCAAATTAACATTCAAGTACTAGACAGTAGGTTACCTATTATTATAAGAATACTATCACTACTTCTGCAAAATATTAGTATACTTTATTTCCTAAGTAGGTCGAACATTTTGTTCAAATAATAAGCATAATTCTTCTAAGGAAAACAGTTAAGTTAAAGCTTACCTGAACAAGGATCATATTTAATTTTCCGATATACACCTTTTCTTTCTAAGGAAAAGTAAAAGATTAAATGAGAGCCTGAGGTAAGTATAAATAAGAATATAACCAGACAATCCTAACAAATGATTACAGCTCTACTGTAAATGACTGACTGTGCATATGTGTGACTATGTGTCTTGACAGAATTAGGTTGTAGTCAGACTCAATATCTAAATGATTTTATGCTCTCCCAATAAGCTCCAAAATAAACTCTTACCTCTACACAAGTTGGGTCAGATGACGTCTTGATAATGAGGCCAACAACGTATTTTTTTATTCCTATTAAAAAAATTGCACGTAATAAAAAAATTGTTGAGCTCTTTTGTAGCATGCAAATAAATTTTGAGAACTAATTAATGTGGGAATGGAAAGACTAAGTAAAATCAGTTAATATACTCTAATCCTGTCACCAGTATTGGCATTTTAAAAAAATTCCGGCCCGGTGCGGTGGCTCACGCTTGTAATCCCAGCAATTCTTTGGGAGGCTGAGGTGGGTGGATCACCTGAGGCCAGGAATTCGAGACCAGCATGACCAACATGGTGAAACCCTGTCTCTACTAAAAATACAAAAATTAACTGGGCGTGGTGGCGGGTGCCTGTAATCCCAGCTACTCGGGAGGCTGAGGCAGGGGAATCACTTGAATCCGGGAGGTGGAGGTTGCAGTGAGCAGACATCACGTCATTGCACTCCAGCCTGGGCAACAGAGCAAGACTTAAAAAAAAAAAATCAATGAATTTAATGTGCTATTCATATTTTTAAAGATGGGATCTGGCATTGTTGCCCAGGTTGGTCTTAAACTCATAGACTCAAGTGATCCTCCTGCCTGGGCCTCCCAAAGTGCTGGAATTACAGGAACAAGCCAACAAGCCCAGCCTATAACAAACTGCTATTCCAGTTTCTTTCATCCTGATTTGGTTCCATGTGTTTCTTTTCTTTTTTTTTTTTTTTTTTGAGACGGAGTCCTGTTATGTCACACACACTGGAGTGCAGTGGCACAATCTTGGCTCCCTGCAACCTCTGCCTCCCAGGTTCAAGTGATTCTCCTGCCTCAGGCTCCCGAGTACAGGCATCAACCACCATGCCTGGCTAATTTTTGTATTTTCAATAAGAGACAAGGTTTCACCATGTTGGCCAGGCTGATCTTGAACTCCTGACCTCAAGTGATCCGCCCTCCTCGGCCTCCCAAAGTGCTGGGATTATAGGTGTGAGCTACTGCACCCGGCCTTTTCTTTCTTTTTTTTGGAGACAGTCTTGCTCTGTTGCCCAGGCTGGAGTGCAGAGGTGCAATCTTGGTTCACTGCAACCTCCGCCTCCACCTCCTGGGTTCAAGCAATTGTCCTGCCTCAGCATCCTGAGCAGCTGGGATTACAGGCACGCACCACCACATCCAGCTACTATTTTTTTTTTTTTGAGACAGAATCTCGCTCTGTCGCCCAGGCTGGAGTGCAGTGGCGCGATCTCGCCTCACTGCAAGCTCCACCTCCTGGGTTCACGCCATTCTCATGCCTCAGCCTCCCAAGTAGCTGGGACTACAGGCGCCCGCCACCATGCTCGGCTATTTTTTTGTATTTTTAGTAGAGATGGGGTTTCACCGTGTTAGCCAGGATGGTCTCGATCTCCTGACCTCGTGATCTGCCTGCCTCGGCCTCCCAAAGTGCTGGGATTACAGGCGTGAGCCACTGCGCCCAGCACACCCAGCTACTTTTTGTATTTTTATAGAGACATGTTTTCACCATGTTGGCTAGGCTGGTCTGAAACTCCTGACCTCAAGTAATCCACCTGCCTTGGCCTCCCAGACTGCTGGGATTATAGGCATGAGCCACCAGGCCTGGCCCAAACTTCTAACCCATAAAAATTTATTGATGGCTTGGGCACAGTGGCTTACTCCTGTAATCCCAGCACTTTGGAAGGATGAAGCCGGTGGATCGCTTGAGGCCTAGAGGCGGAGGCTGCAGTGAACGGAGATCATGCCACTGCACTCCAGCCTGGGCAACAGAGCGAACTCTTGTCTCAAAAATGAATTAATATACGTGTTATTATTTTCCACTATACATTAATTGCAACATTAAGCTCATATTAGAAATACAACATTAACTTCACACACACAATGTTAAAAAAAAGAGGGAAGTTTAGGAAAAAGTTTTCATTTCAAATGCTCTTTACTTATGGATCTCTTCATAGTAAAACCTACTCTTTAAACAGTTAAGACATGATACTCATATCCTTGATTTTAATTTGCATCATGTAGAATTTGCTGAGCATCTACTATAGGTTCCATTCTCCAAAATCACAGGGTTCAAGAGTGTTGCAGAATGTTAAATTCTGAGAACATTTTTAAAGGAAAAGTAGTGTGGTACACCTATATTGAAACACTAAAAGGATATGAAGTAGCAACCCTAATTGAACAAATTACTATTTCCTACTACGTAAAATTAACAATTACAAATACTCTCACATCTGTTCACTTTACGCTTTGTCACCAAATCAGTTAAATTATGAAGATTTTTCATTTTCATAGCGTTCAGATTTTTGGAAAAGCAGTTAAAGGTTGTAGAGCTGTATGTTCCAAGCCTCATCTGGCATATATAGAACTGAGTGAAATTTTCGTTGAAAAGAAAAATAAAAAATTTAGTCATTAGCATTAGCAGGAAACTGACAACCTGAAGGCAGCAAAATGCTTGTGAGATTGTATAACTATGAGCTAATGTATTAAATTCACTTTCAAACTATGGTTCTTCAATGGCACTTAATTATATAATTTTTATTAACTATGACAACACTAGCCATTTCCCACAATATCCCAAATAAAAAATTTCTGTAACAGTAATTATGGACTTTCCTAATTACGAAAAAAATATTACTAATGCAGTAAAGCAACGTAATACATGTAAGAGAAATCTAATGGTGTTAAGTGTCAATATGCATAGTAACATTTATGCTACAAATACATAAAATGAATAGGGAAATGGAAAATATATTTTTTACATTTTGTTTTAGAGGCAGGGTCTTGGTCTGTTGCCCACACTAGAATGCAGTGGTGCCATCACAGCTCACTGCAGCCTTGAACTTCTGGACTCAAGCGATCCTCCTGCCTCAGCTAGCTGACTAGCTGGGACCACAGGTGCTTAGCACCGTGCCTGGCTGATTTTTCCTGGTCTCATTGTTGCTGGGGCTGGCCTTGAACTCCAAACCTCAAGCAATCCTCCTGCCTTGGCCACATTTTATGTTGGGATTACAGGCCTGACCCACCATACCCAGCCTAATACTATTTTTAAAAACAAAAAGTAGGAAATCAATTTTCCTTTTAAATGAACACTAAATTATAAGAATTAACTTGGGTAATCTATGCAACATTCTCACTTTTTTTTTTTTTTTTTGAGATGGAGTCTTCCTCTGTCTTCCAGGCTGGAGTGCAGTGGTGTGATCTAGGCTCACTGACACGGCCGCCTCCTGGGTTCAAGTGATTCTCCTGCCTCAGCCTCCTGAGTACCCTGGACTACAAGTAGATGCCACTATGTCTGGCTACTTTTTTTGTATTTTTTTTTTGAGACAGAGCCTCACTGTACCCCAGATTGGTGTGCAGTGGCGTGATCTCAGCTCACTGCAACCTCTGCCTTCCAGGTTTAAGCGATTATCCTGCCTCAGCATCCCAAAGTGCTGAGATTACAGACGTGAGCCACCGCACCTGGCTTTTTTTTGTATTTTCACTAGAGATGGGGTTTCACCATTTTGGCCAGGCCATCTCGAACTCCTGACTTCAGGTGATCCGCCCACCTCGGCCTCCCGAAGTGCTGGGATTACATGAGCCACCGCGCCTGGCTGATTCTGACTCTTATACTGTATATATTTTACTTCAAACTACTTTCCATATGTCCTTAATGCTCACTACATCTAATCAAAAATTCCGATAGTACTAACCCTTTTGTTCCTTACAGATTATTATCAATAAAACCCCCATGGCCAGGTACAGTGGCCCTAGAAACTGTGATTGCCTAGTACAAGGATTATTTGATCAAGTACCATTGTTCATTCCCCAAATCCCTTCCTCAAGGCTTGCCAAATAAATAAATAAATAAATAAATGCAGGTCAATTAAGAATAGCATTCCAGCCGGACGGATGGCTCACGCCTGTAATCCCAACACTCTGGAAGGCCGAGGCAGGCAGATCACTTGAGGTCAGGAGTTCCAGACCAGCCTGGCCAACATGGTGAAACCCTGTCTCTAATAAAAATACAACAAAATTAGCCAGGCATGGTGGCACGCGCCTATAATCCCAGCTACTCAGGAGGCTGAGGCATGAGAATCATTTGAACCCAGGAAATGGACAATGCAGTGAGCTGAGATCGCGCCACTGCACTCAAGCCTGGGTGACAGAGCAAGACTCCGTCTCAAAAACAACAACAAAAAATTCCAACTGTAGGCCAGGAGCAGTGGCTCATGCCTGTAATCCCAGCTACCTGGGAAGCTGAGGCAGGAGAAACGCTTGAACCCAGGAGCCAGAGGTTGCTCTGAGCCAAGATCGTGCCACTGCACTCCAGTCTGGGCGACAGAGCAAGATTCCGTCTCAAAAAAAAAAAAAAAAATCCAATGTTAAACTGCACTTAAAAATAAATTAGTACACTCAAGCCTGGGCGACAGAGTGAGACTCCACCTCAAATAAATAAATAAATAAATAAATAAATAATTAGCAATGATATAATACATATCTAGGTAGAAAATCGAAATGTTTCTAAGTAGCAGAAACAGCTCAGCTTGAAATTTGACAGAAAAGGACCCATTACTGGTCTCTGACTTTTTGTTCTAAATAAATTAGTGGGTCTCAGTTGCAAAACAGACATTTACATAACACATTTCAATTCCTTTAAACTGGCTTTCTAAGCTCTTCCTTAAAAAGCTTGATACAAAAGGTGAAGAAGGCCGGGCGCGGTGGCTCACACCTGTAATCCCAGCACTTTGGGAGGCCGAGACGGGCAGATCATCTGAGGTCAAGAGTTCAAGACCAGCCTGGCCAACGTGGTGAAACCTCGTCTCTACTAAAAATGCAAAAAATAAAAACAAAAAAATTTAGCTGGGCGTGGTGGCATGCGCCTGTAGTCCCAGCTACTTGGGGAGACTGAGGCAGGAGAATCACTTGAACCCAAGATGCAGTTGCAGTGAGCCAAGATTGTGCCACTGCACTCCAGCTTGGGTGACAGCGGGAGACTCCATCTCAAAAAAAAAAAAAAAAGAGTGAAGAAAACGATACAAAAATCAAAAACAAGTCACGCACGATGGCTCACACCTGTAATCCTGGAGCTTTGGAAGGCTGACATGGGAGGAGGGTTTGAGGAAACGAGCTTGAGACCAGCTTGGGCAACACAGCAAGGCCCCATTTCCACAAAAAATAAAAAAATTAGCTAGGCACAGTCGTTCGTGCCTATACTCCTAGCTACTTGGGCTGTGGCAGAATTCTACCCATCACCCAGGAGACTGAAGTTACAACGAGCTATGATTGTGTCACTGCACTTCAGCCTGGGCAACAGAGGGGATCTCTGTCTCTTTAAAAAAAAAAATCAAACAAGGCAGCCGGGCACAGTGGCTCAAGCCTGTAATCCCAGTACTTTGGGAGGCTGAGGTGGGCAGATCACGTGAGGCCAGGAGTTCGAGACCAGCCTGGCCAACATGGCAAAACCTTGTCTCTGCTAAAAATACAAAAATTAGCTCAGCATGGTGGCTTGTGCCTGCAGTCCCAGCTACTCGGGAGGCTGAGGCAGGAGAAGTGCTTAAACCTGGGAGGTGGAGAAAGAGAAGAGAAAGATGCATTCCTAGTGAGCTGAAATAGTGCCACTGCACTCCAGCCTGAGTGACAGATCAAGGCTCCATATCATTAATTAATTAATTCCAAAGAAAGGTTCTCATTGAAGTTGTGTGTCTTTGATAAGTCCTGACGTTGCCAACAGGATCTTCAATGGATTCAGATACTGACTTAGCACTGGTACAATCTAGTGGCCCAAGACCCTATTCTTCTCAATATAAATGAAAAAAATTCACATCCAAAGTTGGTAGGTCAGGTTGGGCATGGTGGCTCACACCTGTAATCCCAGCACTTTGGGAGGCCAAGGCACGTGGATCACCTGAGGCGGAATTCAAGACCAGCCTGGCCAACATAGTGAAACTCTATCTCTACTGCGGGAGGCTCCATCTCAAAAAAATAAAAATAAACAACAAAGTCGGTGGGTCAAATGCTCTAATTGTTTCTTGGAAAGCCATATAAAATTTATTCAAAATATAATACACACCCGTAGAAATGCCTAACCACTTACTGAAAGGCAGCTTATGACATGTAAATGTTCCAAATGCAAGGGTTAATGCATACATCTTTAATATTCCAGCTCTATTGCTCAATATAAAGAAAAATGTGTCTAACAGTCCCATTTCAAATAAAAACACAGCAATATCAAATAGTCAATATAAACTTGCAACTGCATAGTATCAACTTCAGCAAGCTAAAAAGATGAGATTTAAATAAACCTCAAGCTAACTTAGAAGGTACACACCATCTGCCAAATTCTTTACACAGCAATAATAATCTTATCCCTCAGAAACACCTTGTAAACACTGGATACTCAATGATAGCGTAAAAAGCACGCATTATTGAACCTGATTTTTATATGAACAGAATTCACTAAAACTCTTTAAAATATTGAGAACAAATTAATTCAAATGGTGTCATATTCCCATAGAAGCAACTCAATCTTCAAGTCATAGAGTTGTACATCAGCATCTTACATAGTCAGTGATAGTCATGCAGTAAACATTTTCAACCAAATAAGGATCTGACTTATTAAGAGAAAGATGCAGTCCTAGAAAAATCCTTAAAATGTGGGAGTCCATGTTACATATTCCAATTCCTCTCCTCCCCAGCAGCTAATTTTCACGTACAGTTTAAGTACCCCAAATCTGAAATCTGAAACACTCCAATATCTGCAAGATTGACTGACTGATTGAGATGGAGTTTCATTCTTGTGGCCCAGGCTGGAGTGCAATGGTGCTATCTCCGCTCACTGCAACCTCCACCTCCCGAGTTCAAGCGATTCTCCTGCCTCAGCCTCCCAGAGTAGCTGGGATTACAGGTGCCCGTCACCACGCCCAGCTGATTTTTTTTTTTTTTTAGGTAAAGACAAGGTTTCACTATGTTGGCCAGGCTGTTCTCCAACTCCTGACCTCAGGCAACCCACCTGCCTCAGCCTCCCAAAGTGCTGGGATTACAGGCATGAGCCACCACGCCCAACCCCAAATCTGCAAGTTTTAAAGCACCAACATGGCACTAAAAGGAAATGCTCAGGTTGGGTGAGATAGCTCACGCCTGTAATCCCAACACAAGGCGGGCGGCTCACCTGAGGTTTGGAGTTTGAGACCAGCCTGACCAACATGAAGAAACCCTGTCTCTACTAAAACTACAAAATTAGCCAGGCATGGTGCCGCATGACTGTAATCCCAACTACACAGGAGGATGAGGCAGGAGAATCACTTCAACCCAGGAGGCAGAGGTTGCAGTGAGTCGAGATCATGCCGTCGCACTCCAGCCTGGGCAACAAGAGCGAAACTCTGTCTCAAAAAAAAGGAAAAAAAAAGGAAATGCTCATTGGGCTATTTCAGTTTTGGAATGCTTAACTCGTGAGCATAATGCAAATATTCCAAAATCTGAAAAAGCCCAAAGTCTGGAACACTTCTCATCCCAAGCATTTCCAGCAAGAGGCAGTCAACCTGCACCACAGAAAATGGTTTAAGGCTTTTGATACACTATTAAAAATGTAAATTACAAATAGGAAAAAGGCAAGTTCAATCTAGTTTCGAATCAATTTCAGTTTAAACATTTATTTATTCCATAAGCTAAAAAAATGTAAATTTGGTACATTTCTACATCAATGCTATATATAATTGAAATGTTTATTACAAGTATCAGTCCATGAAAACATCAAAATTGGCTGGATGTGGTGGCTCAAGCCTGTAATCCTAGCGCTGTGGGAGGCCGAGGTGGGTGGATCACTTGAGGCCAGGAGTTTGAGACCAGCCAGGCCAACATGGTGAAACCTGTCTATTAAAATACAAAAAAATAGCCAGGCATGGTGGTGCACACCTGTAGTACCAGCTACTCTGGAGGCTGAGGCACAAGAATCGCTTCAACCCGGAAGGCAGAGGTTGCAGTGAGCCAAGATTGTACTACTGCAATCCAAGCAGCCTGGGCGACAATGTGAGACTATCTCAAAACAAAACAAAAAAACACACAAAATCGATCTTTTGAAAGATGGTCAATAAAATAGTGATCTGCTCTCTTTACTTACACAAGGGTATACAGGATATTGTTACTACTGTTCTCTCAATGAAATATTAATAAGAACAATGCCACATGGAAGACAAACAGCTAACAATAATTCTAAAGCAGGAGTTAAGTTAGGGTTCCCACAGATAATCTATAATTTAACCTGCTTTGATAATGTTAAGAGAAATGGATCTATATGCACATCCGCCATTCTTAAATGGATGTTTATGGCCTCAAACACACTGGACAAAAAATCTAAAAGATTAAAATTTTATTAAAATTGACAGGAGCATCACTCATGATAGCCAAAAGGTGAAAGCAGGTCGAGCACAGTAGCTCTTGACTGTAATCTAAACACTTTGGGAGGCTGAGGCAGAGGATCGCTTGAGCCCAGGAGTTCAGGACCAGCCTAGGCAACATAGCGAGACCCCATCTCTACAAAAAATAGAAACAGTGAGCCAGGTATGATTCATGCGCACGTAGTCCCAGTTATGCAGGAGACTGACGCAGGAGGATTGCTAGAGCCCCGGAAGTTGAGGCTAGAGTTAAGCCATGATCCCGCCACTGCACTCCAGCTTGGGCGACAGCGTGAGACCTTATCTCAAAAAAAAAAAAAAAAAAAAAAGTTACATGGATGTAAGCTAGGGATCAAACACTGTTAGGTATCAAGTATAGGCCTTTCATGGAGGCCTGTAATCAAAATACTTGGAATGGGGCAAATTGTTACATTAACCAGAAATGGAAATACTATTCCTATCAATCATATACAATGTGCCTGAAAATACTGCTTTCTTTTCTTTATTTTTTAGACAGAGTTTCGTTCTTGTTGCCCAGGCTGGAATGCAATGGCGCAATCTCGGCTCACTGCAACCTCCACCTCCCAGGTTTAAGCAATTCTCCGGCCTCAGCCTTCAGAGTAGCAGGGATTACAGGAATGCGCCACCACGCCCAGCTAATTTTTTTGTTATTTTTAGTAGAGATGGGGTTTCACCATGTTGGTCAGGCTGATCTCGAACTCCCAACCTCAGGTGATCTGCCTGCCTCAGCCTCCCAAAGTCCTGGGATTACAGGCAAGAGCCACTGTGCCCAGCCTATCTTTTCAGATATTATCACTCTGTTGCCCAGGCTGGAGTGCAGTGGTGCAATCAATCAGGGCTCGACCTCCTGCCTGGACTCAAATGATTCTCCCGCCTCAGCCTCCTGAGTGGCTGAAACTACAGGGGCACTCGACCATACACTGCTAGTTTTCTGTATTTTTAGTAGAGAGAAGTCTAACTATCTTGTCCTGGCTGATCTCAAATTTCTGGGCTCAAGAGAGCCTCCCAAACTGCTGGGATTGCAGGCCTCAATCACTGTGCCTGGCCTGCCTTGTTTTTTTTAGAAATGAAAAACATAATTTATAGCTTACAGATATTTCTTTTTCTTTTCTTTTTTTTCTTTTTGAGACGGAGCCTTGCTCTGTCGCCCAGGCTGGAATGCAGTGGCATGATCACAGCTCACTGCAGCCTCCACCTCCCTGGTCCAAGCAACTCCCCTGCTGCAACCTACCGAGTAGCTGGGATTCTGGGATTACAGGCACACGCCACCATGCCCGGCTAATTTTTTTTGTATTTTTAGTAGAGACGGGGTTTCACCATGTTGGCCAGACTGGTCTCGAACTCCTGACCTCAGACAATTGCCTGCCTAGGCCTCCCAAAGTGCTGGGATTACAGGCGTGAGACATCGCACCAGGCATTAAGTATATTTCTTACATTATCCTACCATGGTTTAAATACTGACAAAAAACGATTTGGAATGCCTGTCAACTCTCTGAGATTAGACTGATAATTTTTGCTCCCATCTCTAACATTGTATTCTGTGGGATTTCTCATGAATTTGTTTTAGATGCAAGGACTTAAGTCTAATATTTACATTTTCTTTTCAAAATCATAAATGAAACAATCACCTCTGAGTAACACTATCAACTTATTAGAAACTTACATTATCATCTAGTTCTGAAAACTTCCCAAGGAAATTAGGAAATAGGGTTTCTGCTCTGAATTCCATAGTCAACGAACTATGAAAAGACTAAACACCACACATACAGGGAAAAGCAGCAGAAATGTTAAATTCCAAGAGCTTTTGCAAAATTGAGGTGTTTTCTCACAACAGGAAGGGAAAGTGAGTTTGAACTGGGCTTTGACTAGCTGGATTAAACTACACGTTCAAGAGATAAGTGAACAATGGCAATTCTCTATATTAGCAAGAAATAATCAGGAATTGACATTAAAGATGTTCATTCTCTCCAAATGCATCCACAGATCCAAGGCAATCTCAATAAAAATTTCAGGACAGCTTTTGTTGAAATTTGCCAGATTTCACTCTAAAATTTTTATGGAACAGCAAAAAACCAACAATAGCCAAACCTTTTAGAAACAAAGTTGGGGAGCTGGGTGCGGTAGCTCACACATAATCCCAGCACTTTGGGAGGCTGAGACTGGCGGATCACTTGAGGTCTGGAGTTCCAGACCAGCCTGGCCAACATGGGGCAACCCCATCTCTACTAAAAATACAAAAATTAGCCGGGTGTGGTGGTGTGCACCTGTAATCTGGCAGGTGGAGTTTGCAGTGAGCCAAGATCGCGCCACTGTACTCTGGCCAGGAGACAGAGCATGACTCTGTCTCAAATAAATATATAAACCTTGACCCTTACCTCACCTCATATACAAAAATTGAGTAAAATGAATCACATGATGCTTTTTTCAGACAGGGTCTTTGTCGCCCAGGCTGGAGTGCAGTGGCATGATCTCGGCTCACTGCAACCTCCACCTCCCGAACTCAACTCAAGCATTCCTCCCACCTCAGCTTCCTGGCAGTCGGGATTACAGGTGCATGCCACCACGCCTGGCTAATTTGTTTGTATTGTTTCCGCCTGCCTTGGCCTCCCAGTGCTGGGATTACAATTGTGAGCTACTGTGCCCAGCCAAATCACAGATCTTAATGCAAAAGCTAAAACTATAAAGGTTCTATAAGAAAACGTACAGAATATCTTTTTTTTTTTTTTTTTTTTGAGAGAGAGTCTTGCTCTGTCACCCAGGCTGGAGGGCAGTGGTGTGATCTAGGCTTACTGCAGTCTCTGCCTCCCCAGTTCAAGCAATTCACCAACACACCCAGCTAATTTTTGTATCTTTAGTAGACATGCGGTTTCACCCTGTTGACCAGGCTCGTCTCGAACTGCTGACCTCAAGAGATCTGCCTGCCTCGGCCTCCCAAATTGCTGGAATTACAGGCGTGAGCCACTGTGCCCAGCCAAAAACTTACAGAAAATCTTAAGTGACCTTTGCATGACAAAGATTTCTTGAATACAACACAAAAAACATCAACTATATAAAGAAAAAAAAATCAACACTGATTTTAATCAAAATCTGAAATTTTTGCTCTGCAAAAGACACCATTACAAAAATTAAACAGGAAGCCACAGACAAAACACTTGCAAAATATACAGTTAACAAAATACTCCTGACTAGAATACAAAGAGCCCTTAGATCTCAATAAGGGAATAGCCCAATAAAAACTGGGCAAAATTGGCGGGGCATGGTGGGCTTACACGCCTGTAATCCTAGCGCTTTGGGAGGCTGAGGCAGGTGGATCACGAGGTCAGGAGATAGAGACCAGCGTGGCTAACATGGTGAAACCCCATCTCTACTACTAAAAATACGAAAAAGTAGCAGGGCGTGGTGGTGCATACCTGTAATCCCAGCTACTCAGGAGACTGAGACAGGAGAATCGCTTGAACCCAGGAGGCAGAGGTTGCAGTGAGCTGAGATTGTGCCACCACACTCCAGCTGGGGCAATAGAGCCAGGCTCCGTCTCAAAAAAAAAAAAAACTGAGCAAAATTTTTGAACAGACATTTCACCAAAAACATACTGGCATGGCAAAGAACATGTAAGGATATGTGATGGAACACAGAACAACACTACTCCACATGGAAATTAAGGCTGGGCGTGGTGGCTCATGCCTGTAATCCCAGCACTTTGGGAGGCTGAGGTGGGCTGATTACCAGGTCAGGAGTTCGAGACCATCCTGGCCAACATGGTGAAAGCTCGTCTCTACTAAAAATACAAAATAATTAGCTGGGTGTGGTGGCACATGCCTGTAGTCTCAGCTACTCAGGAGGCTGAGGCAGGAGAATCGCTTGAACCCGGGAAACAGAGGTTGCAGTCAGCCGAGATCAGGCCACTGCACTCCAGCCTGGGCGACAGAGCAAGACTCTGTCTTTAAAAAAAAAAAAAAAAAAGAAAGAAATTAAAACCACCATGAGATGCTATTGTATATGCACTACAATAGCCAAACTAAAAACATTGTCTATACCAAATGTCAGCCGAGATGTGAAACATACTTATACACTGCTGGTGAGACTGACATGACCACTTTGGAATACAGTTGGATGCTTAAACATACACCAAAACATCCATATGGGCTGGGCGCAGTGGCTTATGAGTATAATCTCAGCACTGTGAGAGGCCGAAGTGGACAGATCACCTGAGGTCGGGAGTTTGAGACCAGCCAGGCCAATATGGCGAAACTCTATTACAAAAACAAAAATTATGCTGGTGTGGTGGTGCATGCTTGTAATCCCACCTACTTGGGAGGCTGAGGCACAAGAATCGCTTGAACCCGAGAGCCAGAGGTTGCAATGAGCCAAGATCATGACACTGCACTCCAGCCTGGGCGACAGAGTAGTGTGACTGTCTTAAAAAAAAAAAAAAAAAAATCCACACAATCCAGCCATTCCACTCTTACCAAGCAAGTGACAACAAGCACATGTGAAGAGGGGCAGTGAAGGTGAAAGTAATCGGATAGAGGCAGATCTTGATTATACAGAGGTAGTTTCACAGGAGCATGCACAAGATAAAACTTATCCAACTGTACACTTTAAACCTAATAAATAAGGCAAATACAAAAATTCTCAAAGGCCAATATCAATTAAAGGAAACATGTTAAATATCTTCAATACTACAGGAGATCTTCAGCAGAAGTGACCCTATTAGTTCCGTTTCTGAAACTTTGAGACTTTGTGGTGAAAAAATTGTAAAGGACACAGAAAAGTAGGTGTTAGTGAGCTCACTTAGGAAGGTATTTCAGAAGGTTCAGGATATTTTGAGACTGGTATATGGCAATTTGGTGAAATGCAGATATTTCATCAAAAACAGTTGGTAACCCACTACTTACTCATACTCAGCATATGTAAGCACAGGGCTTCCTATACATTAGCTCTAATGCCCAAAACCTTGCAACACAAACTGAAATATGAGGTCAAATAATGTAGCCAGTATTACGGTGCCAATAAATATACCACGTGTCTCACGTCAAAGGAGAGCACTAAATAAAATTTTATGAGTGGATCAGCTTTGGTCTGCCAACTAAAGACATGAAACTGTACAACTCAGAAATTTTAGTGGCCCAACTACTTATAAAATCCAACCTGGCCGGGCACGGTGGCTCACGCCTGTAATCCCAGCACTTTGGGAGGCCGAGGAGGGTGGATCACGAGGTCAGGAGATCGAGACCATCCTGGCTAACACGGTGAAACCCCATCTCTACTAAAAAAAAAAAAAAAAACCACACACACACACACACACACACACACACACACACAAAATTAGCCAGACGTGGTAGCAGGCACCTGTAGTCCCAGCTACTCAGGAGGCTGAGGCAGAAGAATGGTGTGAACCCAGGAGGCTGAGCATCCAGTGACCCAAGATCTCGCCACTACACTCCAGCCTGGGCGACAGAGCGAAACTCCGTCGCAAAATTAAAAAAAAACAAAACAAAACAAAACCAACCTTGCATGGTGGCACATGCCTGTAATCCCAGCTACTCGGGAGGCTGAGGCAGGAGAATAGCTTGAACCCAGGAGGCGGAGGCTGCAGTGAGTGGAGATTGAGCCACTGCACTCCAGCCTGGGCAACAACAGCGAAACTCCGCCTCGAAAAAACCAAACCAAACAAAAAAAAAAAATCAAACCTTGTAATTACGATCTTTCCACTTTGGATTACTTTTTTCATAAATTCGCTTCTTCTCTATTCAATGTGAGCCAAGTGTGGGTTTTTTTTTGAGACTGAGTTTCGCTCTTGGTGCCCAGGCCGTAGTGCAATGGCGCGATCTCAGCTCACCGCGACCTCTGCCTCCCGGGTTCAAGCGATTCTCCTGCCTCAGCCTCCCCAATAGCTGGGATTACAGGCATGCGCCACCACGCCTGGCTAATTTTGTATTTGTAGTAGAGATGGGGTTTCTCCATGTTGGTCAGGCTGGTCTCGAACTCCGGACCTCAGGTGATCTGCCCGCCTCAGCCTCCCAAAGTGCTGGGATTACAGGCATGAGCCACCATGCCCCGCCTGTGAGTAAGTTTTTATCAATCAATGAAATGATCTATAAGCCATACACATTAACTGATTAAAACAATCCCTTGGTTTAAATAAAAAGTACAGAAATACCTTTATATAGCATCATCTTTCCCCCCAACAGGAACAAAGGAGGCTTCCTCTTTTTTTTTATTTGAATTATCTAAATGCCATTTTTAATTAATTAATTAATTATTTTTTAATTTCAGAGTTTCACTCTTGTTGCCCAGGCTGGAGTGCAGTCGTGCTGTCTTGGCTCACTGTAAGCTCCACCTCCCAGGTTCAACCGATTCTCTTGCCTCAGCCTCTCAATTAGCTGGGATTAAAGGCATCTGCCACCACACTCAGCTAATTTTGGTATTTTTAGTAGAGACCGGGTTTCACCACACTGGCCAGGCTAGTCTCGAACTGACCTCAGGTGATCTGCCCACCTCAGCCTCCCAAAGTGCTGGGATTACAGGTGTAAGCCACCACACCCAGCCTAAATGCCATTTTTAAAAAGGGATGGGGAATTATCTGAATCATGACTCTGATAAAGAATCAACACCACTGGCAGTCCTAGAGGACCTTTAAGACTTCAGTGATGGCTAGGAGTGGTGATATACCTGTAACCCCAGCACTTTGGGATGCTGAGGTTGGAGCATCACTTGAGGCCAGGAGTTCAAGACAAGCCTGGACAACATAGGCAAACTGTGTCTCTATCAAAATTAGAAAAACTTAGCTGGGTGTGGTGGCACATGCCTGTAGTCCTAGCTATTTTGGCAGGCTAAGGCGTGGTAACTGCCTGAGCTCAGGAGTTTAAGGCTGCAGTGTGCTATGATTGTGCCACTGTACTCCAGCATGGGTGATACAGTGAGATCTTGTCTCAAAACAAATGAATAAATAAAAGACTACCATGAATAGCAACCACTCTTTATTAGGGAATTCTTCCATTTGACATATTAAAATTTCCCAGCCAGGCTTGGTAGCAATTTGGGACGGCAAAGTAGGAAGACTGCTTTAAACCCAGGAGTTTAAAACCAGCCTGGGCTTCACAGTGAGACTCTATCTCTAAAAAAAAAAATTTTTTTTAATTAGCTGGGCATGGTGGTGCGGACCTACAGTGCTAGCTACTCTCAAGGCTGAGGCAAGAGGGCAGGATGCAATGGCTCACGCCTATAATCCCAGCACTCTGGGAGGGTGAGGATCACCTGAAGTCAGGAGTTCGAGACCAGCCTGGTCAACATGGCGAAACCCTGTCCTTACTAAAACAAATACAAAAATTAGCCAGGCATGGTGGTGTGCATCTGTAATCCCAGCTACTTGGGAGACTGACACATGAGAATCACTTGAGCCCAGGAGGCAGAGGGTGCAGTGAGCCAAGACTGCGCCACTGCACTCCAGCCTGGGTGACAGAGAGGGACTCTGTCTCACAAAAAAAAAAGAAAAAAAGCCTGAGGCAAGAGGATCACTGGAGCCCAGGAGTTCCAGGCTGCAGTGAACCATGATTGCACCACTGTACTCCAGCCTGAGCAACAGAGTGAAACCCTACATCTTTAAAAAACAAAGAAAAAGCCAGGCGCGGTGGTTCGCACCTGTAATCCCAGCACTTTGGGAGGCCGAGGCAGGCGGATGACGAGGTCAGGAGATCGAGACCATCCTGGCTAACACGGTGAAACCCCGTCTCTACTAAAAAAAAAAACAAAAAACAAAAAACAAAACACACACACACACACACACACACACACACACACACACACACACACAAAGTTAGCCGGGCGTGGTGGCAGGCGCCTGCAGTCCCAGATACTCAGGAGGCTGAGGCAGGAGAATGGTGTGAAACCGGGAGGCAGAGCTTGCACTGAGCCGAGATCACGCCACTGCACTCCAGCCTGGGCAACAGAGCGAGACTCTGTCTTAAACAAAAACAAACACAAAAACAGACCAAAAAAAAACCAAAGAAAAAAAGACACTCTGAGCCCCAATATCAAGGAGCTTATAGTTTGAAGGATGGGGAATAAAGTGACTAAAACAGCCAAGTGTAATGTGGGGTGTGAGGGACAAAACACATAAAACACAAACAAATAGACACACACTTACGGCCTAAAGCTAAATGAAAATCCAGAGAAATGTAATAAATTTTATATAACAAATCTCAACTTATTTAAATGTTTTATTATCTCGCCATTTCTCTTGCTATAAAAATATCTTTTGGAAAATTAAATGTTCTTTTAAACATCCTTACTTTCTAATTATGTCTATCTTTTGCTCTTTTTTTTTGAGATGAAGTCTCGCTCTGTTGGAGTGCAATGGCGTGATCTCAGCTCACTGCAACCTCCGCCTCCCGGGTTCAAGCAATTCTCTTGCCTCAGCCTCCTGAGTAGCTGGGATTACAGGCATGTGCCACCACGCCCGGCTAATTTTTGTATTTTTAGTAGAGATAGGGTTTCTCCATGTTGGTAAGACTGGTCTCAAACTCCTGACCTCGTTATCTGCCTGCCTTGGCCTCCCAAAGTGCTGGGATTACAGGCGTGAGCCACCGTGCTGAGCCTATCTTTTGCTCTTTAAAATTTTATTCTCCTGTGACCCACTGGTACAGGATACAGTAACGTATAACACAGCAAGAGACATCTAACCCACTCAAGAATCATGAGATTTTCCTGACAGTATTTATACAAGAGGCCTAAATTGAAAATGTCATTAATTTAAAAGAACATGTTAGCCAGGCAGTGGCTCATGCCTGTAATCTCAACAGGCATGGAGGCCGAGGCGGGAGGACCAAAAGGTCAGGAAATCGAGACCTTCCTGGCTAACATAGTGAAACCATCTCTACTAAAAAAAAAAAAAAAAAATTAGCTGGGTGTGGTGGCGGGTGCCTGTAGTCCCAGCTACTCAGGAGGCTGAGACAGGAGAATGGCATGAACCCAGGAGGTGGAGCTTGCAGTGAGCCAAGACTGCGCCACTGCACTCCAGCCTGGGCAACAGAGCAAGACTCCGTCTCAAAAAAAAAAAAAAAAAAAAAAAAACACCACGTAAAAATTAACATGCTGTGGACAAGAACCTAAAAGCAGATAAAACAAATTCTACATCAGAAAAAAAATGCAGGAATCTAATTTTGGCATACTCTTATGCAGTGAAACCTTTCCTTCCTTTAAAATATACCAGGCATTTCTTTCCAATTATGTGAATGAAACTTAGCTAAAGGGCCGGACTTAGACATCATTCTGTTCTTTTAGCTTGTGAAGCACTCATTATATACACCTAATTTGCTGATTTATGATTCCTCTTTTACATGTGTTTTGTCTTCCCAACTATAACACTGTGACATACAGCACTTTGATGTACATGTATATTTTTATAACCTTAATATTTAGTAGTAATCGGTACAAAGGAAACGCACAATATGCACCCCAGGTGAACAAATATATATGCTATGGTAGTTGGACAAAGGGTATAGCTACAGCAAAAAGCAAAGCGAATACCTTTAAAAGACAGGACACTTACAGAAAAAGGAAATAAAATGTTTTAAATTAATTTATGTAATTTCCAATACCAAAGTTACTTAAAGATGAAGGAAAATTAATGTTCAGAAGTTCTAGTGTATTTTGTGAAATAAATCTTTAGGTTAGAGAAGCCTCCCAGTTAAAATTAAAAAGGTAATCATGTTGACTAAGTATGGTGGCTCATGCTTACAATCCCAGCACTCTGGCAGGCCAAGGTGGGAGGATTGCTCAAGCCCAGCAGCCAGCAGCATGGGCAACACAGCGAGACACCATCCCTACAAAACATTAAAAAAAAAAAAAATTTAGTAGGGCATGGTGGGGCATGCCTATGTTCCCAGCTACTCGGGAGGCTGAGGTGGGAGGATTGCTTGACCGCAGCTATTTGAAGCTGCAGTGATGGTGCCAATGCACTCCAGCCTGAGGAACAGAGTGAGAATCTGTCTCAACAAAGAAGAAAGAAAGAAACAAAAATTTTTTAAATTAATTTTGTCTGTAACAAATGTAACTACAGTGTTGATAAACTAGTATAATCATATCTATTTTCAACCTGGAAAACATCTTCCAGAACCATCAAATGTGATAAAAAACAGAGATGCAGATTTAAGAACAAAAGGAGGATTTAAAATTATACAACAGTAAAATGGGACAGAAGTAAATCACCTTTTCTTGGTACGGCAGACCATGGCCAAAATTAAATCTGGGGCTCATAACACATGAGTAAAACAATAGTAGTAAAGAAACAAGGAATGACTACACTAAAGATCCCTGAAGAATAAAGTATGAAGGACCTACTTGGACCACATAGTCAAATTGTGCTTATTAATTTCTCAGTCCATCACAGAACGTGATCTAAAATAGTTTCAAACCATAATAAAACATTTAAAGAAATGAGAACCTCTTTTAGGGCACATTATTTGCTCCTGCACTATCACTCTTAATCTATGATTTATGATGTATTAAAGATATTGCCACTGAATATACTTAATATTCTTAAAAAAAGACACTGGCATTAAAATCTCATCACATTCAACTCTAAATGTGCTCAAACTTTGTCAAGGTTTAAGTCAGATTAGCTAAGTAAATCCATGTCACTATTCTACCATAATGATGATAAGAGAATGCAGGTGAAGGACAATACTTAAAAGACAAATAATCAAAGAAATTAGACATATTTTAAATGAAAATACTACTAGAAGTATCATGTGCCCCATAATAAAGTCAAGAAAAAAATTTCTATTTTTCAGAGATAAATGAAATATAGTAGGTAAAAAGGCAGTGTATCATAACTGAAATTAGCTAAATCAAAGAATCCCAAGAAACTAATGTTGCCTCAGGTTTCTCAAAATATGACTACATTCCTCAAGGTAGCACAGACAGAAAAGTTAAATTACTCATTAACAGGTATCACTACACCTTCATTTTCTGATCTTTCTTCATTTCAGAAGCCAACCTCTTCCAAGGCATTCCCAGAACCACAAAAGGCAAAACAGCTTTGTGATCTTTAGTACTTGGCTTTTCCATTCCCGAGTTAACCTTACATATGGTTTTTTTTGTTGTTGTTGTTCTTGTTTTTTGAGACGGAGTTTCGCTCGTTGCCCAGGCTAGAGTACAGTGGCACAATGATGGCTCACTGCAGTCTCAACCTCTTGGCTCAAGGGATCCTCCTACCTCACCCCACTGATACCCCTGTCCCCGCCGCCACCTGCACCAAAATACCTGGCTAATTTTTAAATTTTTTGTAAACACAGGGTCTCGCTATGTTACCCAGGATGGTCTCAAACTTCTGGCCTTAAATGACCCTCCCACTTCAGCCTCACGAAGTCCTGGGATTACAGGCTTGAGCCACTGTGCCCGGCCCATATTTTATTTATATATATGTTTTTTTGGAGATGGGGTCTCACTCTTGTCACCCAGGCTGAAGTGCAGTGGCAGGATCATGGCTCACTGCAGTCTCGACCTTTTGAGCTCAAGCAATGCTCCCACATAGCTGGGACCACAGACATGAACCACCATACCCAGCTAATTTTTTAAATTTTTGTCCAGATGAGGTCTTGCTATACTGCCTAGGCTGGTATAGAACTCCCAGACTCAAGCGATCTACTTGCCTCGGCCTCCTGAAGTGTTAGGATTACAGGCGTGGGCCACTGTGCCATAGCCCATATTTTTAACTAGAATATTTATTGTCAGAGTTTTCAACAGTCCAGTCTCCTCTTTCTCCCAAAAGATAACCTGTAAGTGGCCTTCCTGTACCCACCAATACAAACAGACCTGTTTGCTTCATGATAAAAGCAATAAGCTCCATTAGAGCAAAATATACTAAAGATTCATTACATGCCCCCTCAAACAGTCAACTACAATAAAAATGCCAGGAAAAACAAAACTCTGAATTTATAATTCTTTATTTTCCTACCTTCGCACTGGTTCCTTGGAAGAATCTTCCACCTTGTTTTTATCACATTTTCCAAAATTTGTAGTCCATAGTACTGAAAATTGGAGAATAGAAGCATGTGAATATATTGCTTATAGGACTGGCAACTCTCAGGATTCACAAATGGACAGACATTCACACATTTACATCTAAAGTTTCAAAAACATTATGCTACCAAGTTTAATTACACATATTAAACAAGTATCTATTCACCCATATACTGAGTTTTCATGCATTTTCCTCATTTTATTGTTTGCTACTCTATATAACGTCCTGCTGTTTATACATGCTCACACCAGGAGGAAGAACCAAATAAAAAGCCCTTTAGCAGCCAAATAGGCTTATCTGTCGAAGGAAAAGTAGCAGCCAGATATGAATTCACAGCATAAATGACTGCTCATAGGCTCACGTACTTTAACACGAACAGGCTCCTAAGAATTTAGCAGCTTGGATGCTATCAAGCTTCCTACCATCCTCTAGGAGTTATAAGCTTTTGGCCAAATATTAAAGTATTGTCACAGATACTTTCTATAGAAAGTGTTTACAAGCATCACTGGTGTGTTACTTAAGGAGCAGCAAGACAACCCATGGGTTTATTTTATATTTTAACCCCACCCTTATAGTTGCTATTTCTACTAATTTAAAGATAAACTTTTGTGCACAGTCAAAATAATCACAAACGCATGTTGCAATCTGTATCTACCTTTCAGGTATTTCTTCCTAAATACTGAAAGTTATAACTAAAAGTATAAAAAATTAAAAAACAGAGATACCACTTTCAAGCCATTTTGTCCCTCCTGCTGATTACTCACTCTAAATAGTCAACAATATTTATAATAATTTATAAAGCCCCAGGAGTTACTACCTGAATTACTATGACCAATTAGTGTGGATAGGCAGGAGGAAGAAAAGGGACAAAACCGTTGTGGTACATTTCAACTGAGAGAATTAGGGAAGAATCAGCTATAATATCTGAAAGGTAAGCTCATTCATATATAGACATATAACCTCAGATTGCAAGTTTTGGCTGAGAATAAGAGTTCATCTTTAAAATGGTTAGTCATTACACAATAAAATAGGAGCATTAGTATTTCAACCAAAGGGATCATGTGAATGCTCATTTTATCCAAAGCACAATATAGACTGTCCCAAACTACATTGTGCTCAAACAGTGAATGTTTTTGCTGTTTTCTTTCATTTTAACATTTCACACTCTTCAAGAAAATTTTGCCATTTCAACTAAAGTACTACATTTGCAGAACATTCCTTAAAAACTTTCAAAATAAAAACAAGGCCAAAGCAAAATTCTAAAATTACAAATTTGATGCTATTAAAATGTTTCATAATCAGCAGTAAATAGTGATGCTTTCTAACCTGTTCACTTTTAAAAACATATCTATTTATTATGTCTAGGTCTGAGAAATATGTAAAAAAAAGAGAGTTGTCCAAATGCCTGAAGTTCTTAATTAGCTTTTAAAAACATACTACCCTAAGCATTTTCTTTAATTTTATAGGCACAAAATCAGATTGTCAAGACTCAGTAAGTCAAAGCAATGCACTGCTTACAATATATCCTCTTGCCAAAAATCAATTAAAAAGCCTTTAAAACACTAAGAAACAAAACCCACCATAAATATAGTTACAAATAAAAATCTTAAAGATAACTTCATCTTATTTAACCAAACTTTTTTACATTTTTAATGGAAAGACACTGTCCTTTCTTTTTTATTTACTTCTTCCTATTTGATACTGTTACCTAAAATTACTATTTACTAACCTGTATTTTCTACAACTGTATAAAGGTAGCATAAGCTTGATGAAGATACAATTCATATTTCATCTTTCTGCCAAGGGGGTTGAAGCAGGGAGCCCAATAAATGCTTTGCCCAGGTTAGGTCAAAGGAATACATCTGTTACTATAATATCCTAAAATCCAATCTCTCCCAGACATAAAGACTTTGCCTATGAAACTAAAACAAAAAAAATTTACATTCCTTTGAAAAAATGTTATTTGGGGCCAGGCAAAGTGGCCCTCGCCTGTAATCCCAACATTTTGGGGAGGCCAAGGCGGGAGGGCCAGGAGTTCAAGATCAGCCTGAGCAACACAGGGAGACCCCACTTCTATAAAAAAATTGGTAAGTTAGCGAGGCATGGTGACACGCACCTGTAGCCCTAGCTACTCAGAAAGTTGAGGCAGAAATGTCACTTAAGCCCAGGAGTTTGAGGTTACAGTGAGCTATAATCACACCACTGCACTCCAGCCTGGGCAACAGAGGTCCTGTCTCTTCAAAGAATTTTTTTTCTTTTTTTTTTTAGTATTTTTGCTCAAAAATCTGAAGTGACAGTCAAATCTGAAAGCCAATGATAAATCACTACAATCCAAACATTCTGAAGAATTATACTTTTGCCTTACATCTCCAAACTTGAGAAATCCACTGCTGAGTTATGAAGATGAGGGACAGATAACAGCAAAGACTAAATGAAAAAATAAATGCATGAAATGATCCCTATGGTAGAAATTTCTACTGAGCCCTTAGAAATACTTATTTTATGCATTGAATTCCCCTTTCCCCTCCCACCGCCCATGAAACAAAAACAATTGATGAACAGAATTCAGTTAAAGGGAATCAAAAGGGTAGACCTTGTGGAGGCCTGCCGTCAAAGCCTAGCTGTGTCAGTTGCACAGGAAGACACCCCTTTTCTTCCTATTACAAGCAATCAACATAATGGAACATTATGATTAATATCAGGTAGTGTTAACATCTTTAAAGAAAAAAAAATGATTGCATAAAAGCCAAATGTCATAGTGCATAAATTTAGCACCAAATCATTTGTAATTTATGTAAATTGAAGAATTCTTTACCTGTTGCTTTCTTTCTGTTCCTCTAATCATCTCATTTTTCACAAGACAAATTTGAGTTTTTAAAAATACTGTTGATAAATCAACTTAAACATTAGTAATGTCTGTCAGTATAAAAAGCAAAATTTACCAGGCAAGCAAACAGGCAAACACTGTTATGTTACTTAAGGTTAGCACTTTGAGGAAGTTCTGGACTGTATTTTTGACCTAAAATTTACAAGATGTCAAAACTAATTAATATTTTAAAACTGTTAATTAACAAAGTCTGGTTTCAGAAACAGATGTGAATATGGCTATCTTCTGTTTTAACACAATGTATATCAAGTGGAAACCTTTCGTGTATTAAACAGAATGCCATAGTATTTATTACTTTAAGGCAGTTTAAAGAGAAGCGTGAATCATCAAGCCTAAAACAGACAAAACACATTTTGATCAACCCTTCTGTTCAAACTTAAAAAAGGACCAGAATTATAACATTTTCCATTGTAAATAAAAACTGAGTGCTGTCCCATTAGAAGCCCAATGCCATGGAGTAGGGTTTTAAGCTGTCCACACAACTTGGTGTCAGAGGTGCCTGGCCTGTATTATATTGATTACTTGCCCAAAATAATTCCTTAATGTTATGTTTAATCTCTGAATAACATTCAGAATTTATGCTACTTAGACCTGTATACATATACTAAAAAGAAAAAAACAAAATCAGACAACCAAAAAAGCCACCTTGCATACTAGTCCCATTACAAAACTTCATTCATAATTCTTAGGACTATTTGCAAGAATTAATTATATGCTTAAGACTAAATTTTGAAACAAATTAACAATATAAAATAATTTGAGATAACAAATGCTAATACTAAAAATGAGATACCTTCCTCAAAGTTTATGACTGGAAGAAAAGAAATAACAGATTTTAAAACCACCACTTGCTTACTTTCGTATTCATATTCTGAGAAAATTCCAAAATTGTGTCGACTCTTGTCCAAGCATCAGGATGCTCCTTTAAATGTGTCAGTACTTCTTGAGCCATTCTTTGCTAAAATATTATTAAAAAAAACAAAACTTAAGCTAATGTATTCTTTTGAATCATTCATTAAAATGAAAACTACTGAGCAAGGCACAAATTCTAATTGGACAGAGATTCTATTATTGATGTTCAGAAATACTCAAAAATTAGACCTTACAGAAATAGAAATAAAATTATATAAATATGACTCCCAATTTTTTTTTTTTTTTTTTGAGACAGAGTCTTGGCTCTATCACCCAGGCTGGACTGCAGTGGTGCGATCTCAGCACCCTGCAACCTCTGCCTCCTGGGTTCAAGCGATTCTCCCGCCTCAGCCTCCTGAGTAGCTGGGATTATAGGCAGGTGCCACCACAGCCAGCTAATTTTTGTATTTTTAGTAGAGATGGGGTTTCACCATGTTGGCCAGGCTGGTCTTGAACTCCTGACCTCAGGTGATCTGCCTGCCTTGGCCTCCCAAAGTGCTGAGATTATAGGAGTGAGCCACCATGCCCAGCCAACTCCTAATCTTTAAAGGTGCAAATATTTTACTTATTTGAAACAGTAACATTTTTGGGAGTAAATCTGGTTTATTTTTTAGTCTCAAAACTGAACTGCATTTCAACCAAAGATCTATTCTGAAGCAAATAAGTTCTCAGCACTTAAATCAACCAAAAACAATATAAAAATTCTTATCTAGGCCAGTAGCAGTGTTTCATGCCTGTAATCCCAATACTTTGGGAGACTGAGGCAGGAGGACCACTTGAGGCCAGGGGTTCAAGACCAGCTGGCCAGTCTAGGTGACAGGCAATGTAACGAGGCCATGACTCTCCAAAAAAAAAAAAAAAAGAAAGCTGCACATGGTGGCTTGCACCTATAGTCCTAACTACTCAGGAGACCGAGATGGGAGGATCACTTGAGCCCTGGAAATCAAGGTTGCACCGAGCTATGATGGTGCCACTACACTTCAGCCTGGGTGAAAGAGCAGAGACCCTGTCTCTAGAAAAACAAAAAAAAGCACACCTACTTAGGTAAGTTATGTAATGTAGCAGGACACTCTGCTTTACAAGAGTTACCAAGATCTCTCTAAATACAAAAATACATTTCATGGAAAGACTGCTGAAAACTAGGTCTAATTAAACCACAAATCCCAAATACTTACATACCATTTGAGCTCTTTAAAGAGGGCTCCTAACATTTATTGTAACCATCCTTTCTCCATTCTGAAATTTCACTAATTTCATATATAAAATCTTTGTTTTGGAAACTATTTCCGTTTTTATTTTCATATTTTTAACATGCAACCCAGAAATACTAATCTACGTAGTCATCATCTTGTGCTTGTATCAGATTTTCTTTTAGCATAAAATAACTAAAGTTTATGGAAGTCATCTTTGTGCCTTTCCCTAGTGCCATTTCCTTCCTTTATTCCTTTTTTCTCTCTTTTTTTTTTTTAAAGTTGGAGTCTTGCTCTGTCACCCAGGCTGGAGTGCAATGGCAGGATCTCGACTCACTGCAACCTTCACCTCCCGGGTTCAAGCAATTCTCCTGCCTCAGCCTCCCAAGTAGCTGGGACTACAGGCACCTGCCACCACGCCTGGCTAA
This sequence comes from Homo sapiens, assembly GCF_000001405.40. Lineage (NCBI taxonomy): Eukaryota > Metazoa > Chordata > Mammalia > Primates > Hominidae > Homo > Homo sapiens. The sequence goes on from NC_000002.12 coordinate 61,528,094, forward strand.
TTTTTGTATTTTCAGTAGAGACAGGGTTTCACTGTATTGGCCAGGCTGGTCTTGAACTCCTGACCTCGTGACCCGCCTGCCTCAGCCTCCCCAAAGTGCTGGGATTACACCTTTGTTCCTTCTTTAAAAAGTAATGGCTTTCATCATGAACTTAGTGTGTCTTTTCCTGTCCACATTTTCACGGCATGTGTGTAAATTTCATGAATAGGGTTGTACGGCTACCAAATTTTATGTTAATAGTATACTTAAAAATCTTTTAGGCTGGGCACGGTGGCTTACGCCTGTAATCCTGGCACTATGGGAGGCCGAGGTGAGCAGATCACAAGGTCAGGAGTTCAAGACCATCCTGACCAATATGGCGAAACCCCATCTCTACTAAAAATACAAAAACTAGCCGGGAATGGTGGCGTGCGCCTATAGTCCCAGCTACTCGGGAGGCTGAGGCAGGAGAATCGCTTGAATCCAGGAGCGGAGGTTGCAGTGAGCCAAGATTCCCCAAGAATCAGGAAGATTGCCCCAGTGCACTCCAACCTGGGTTGACTGCGTGAGACTCCCTCTCAAAAAAAAAAAAAAAATCTTTCCTGCAATTAGTTTTTTTCATTTGACAGTTTTTAAGATCCAGCCATGTCGACATTTTATTTATATATATATATATATATATATATATATATATATATATATATATATAGTTTTTTCATTTCAATAAGTTTTTCATACATTAATATTTTTACCAACAGCTTTTAATTCTATTGACAAAAAGCAATGGCTTAATCTTTTTCACTTTTGTATCTTTAAAGGTTGTTTTATAACTCAATTAGATCCTTCCTATTTCTTTTACCTATTTCTATTAAAAGTTGTAAGCAAAAAGTTTGGACCAGGTGTGGTGGCTCATGTCTGTAATCCCAGGAGTTCAAGACCAGCCTGGGCAACAAAGAAAAATTAATAATGAGCCAGGTGTGGTGGGACACGCACTTATGGTCCCAGCTACTCAGGAGGCTGAGGTGGGAAGATTGAGCCTGGGAAGTCAAGGCTGCAGTGAGCTGTGATCAAGCCATTGTGCTCCAGCCTGTGTGACAGAGCAAGAAAAAAGTTTGATGACTTTAAAATCTGTCAGTTATCTTTCTCTTATACTTTACTTTATCATGGGTTTAATTCTATGGTTATAAACAATAAAGCATCAAAAACAGGGTAGGAAGCACTCTCACAACCATTTCTGACAAAGATACCTTATAATCTTTAGCTTGGCTTTTATTCTAGTCTTTTTTAAAACAATCGTATGCTCGGGTGGGCACCGTGGCTCACGCCTGTAATCCCAACACTTTGGGTGGCCAAGGTGGGTGGATCACGAGGTCAGAAGTTCAAGACCAGCCTGGCCAACATGGTGAAACCCCGTCTCTACTAAAAATTCAAAAATTAGCTGGGCATGGTGGGGCGTACTTGTAATCCCAGTTACTCAGGAGGCTGAGGCAGGAGAATTGCTTGAACCAGGACCCGGAAGGCGGAGGTTGCAGTGATTTGAGATCACACCACTGCACTCCAGCCTGGGCTACAGAGTGAGACTCTGTCTCATTACAAAAAAAAAAAAAAAGAAAGAAATTATATGCTTATCCTGGCTTTGATGCTTTATTTTAATCATGACCTTTTCCTCAGGTAGGAAATACAATACCACATTCATGACTATCCCATACATCAATCAGGAAAACACACTGCTACACACTCAATAACTTATATGGTTGTTCTCTACCCAGAAACCCACCAGAACCACTGTGGTTGCCTGAAAAGATCAGACGCCTGCTTCCATTGTGAGTCTGTGGTTACAAGAGTTAATGTGTATACTTTAAAATACAATCATACACATTTCTATTTGATTTCATTAAAGGACTGATGGGCATAATGTGTCATATGAGAAATGACAGAAGGCCGAAAGAATAATGATGTGGCTTATCTAGGGCCAAAGCACATTTTAGCAGTGTTTTGGTCTTCTCCCTGAGAATATCTAGCTAGATAACCTTATCTAACTAGAGGAAAAGTTGTATCAAAGATCCTCACACAGTAAAAGTTACTTGGTCAAGTTACCATTTTGTCAGATGCTTTGAAGTGATAAGCATTCTACACAGAATCAAATACTTCCCACACTATCACCACTCACATCAATCGCTACATAAATAATATTCTTTCCTGTTAGTTGTAATTTTACTCTCTGATGCTACTTCTAGTATTTGCATTCTGATTTATTCTAATCCCACCATTCTTACATAATGTTCTTTATAAACTTAAAACCCCAGCAGGGGTTTAAAAAAAAAAGACACAAAAGCAAACTAAAGAGAGAAAACCTAGCATCTCCCTTGTACTACTAACTGAATGGTGAAAGCATTTTAGTTGCTAAGCAATAGAGTTCAAGATCTTTAACAGAACACAATATTGGAGAAAACATCCAACTCTTCCCGCATCTTTTTTCTAGCTGTCTACTTGGCTAAAAATAGAAAAATGCTGATAACAGAGGGTAGAGGGTAGTCCTAATGTTACACTGCTAAATATCCTACTATACTAACCATGTATGCAGAAGTTCTGTCTACAGATTAAAAGTCACCCTTGTAAATAATTTCTTCCCCTCCCCCAAGTTACACATTCCTTTAAAAAAAAAAAAACCTACCTACAGCTTTTTTTCCCAGTTGACTTTAAAAGCTTAATTAGCATAATAAATTTTTCTTGTCATTAGTGCATATTTTATGAGTAGCAAAAAAAAAATTTTTTTAATTTTAAGCAATGAGTATCACATATGCTAAATCATTTTCATTATACTGCTAAATGTACCCTTTAAGCTGAGTGCCTTCTACCTATCAAGCACTGTAATAGGTGCTTTTAAACCTCATAACTAACCCTCCAATCTCTTGTAGGACAGGTCATATTTGTACATGGGACTTAAGCAATGACTAGAGAGAGCTTCCAAGAATCAAATTAAGACGTCTAACACTAAAAATCATGTTTTCCACTATAGCAGCTCGCTGCTACTACTACTCCTTTTCCTTTGAAATAAGACCCCCAAGGAGGTGGTAAACGAAAAGTAGACTGAACTAACGACATAGGACTTTTAGAGACCAAAAGGACTCCTTAACCAGCTTTAAGCTCTAAATCTTGTTTCTTCATTTATAATACAAAATAAGTTTGCTAGTTATTTCTACGCAACTGATTTTGTCACATGATCTATTAACTACTGCAGACAAAATCCTTTTACTTTGGGAAAGTTAACCTATTGTCCTTACAAACAAAAAAATTTAGAAACACTTTTCTTAATCTACTTTTTATTAACAAGTCAATTTTAAAACAAACCATTAAATTTCTTAATACTATGAAACATTATTAAAAGCAGTATTGCTGTAATATATTCTCAATTACAAAAATTGCCACTAATTCTGTTACAAGCCATGAAGAACACTGCTCTATGTTGGTTTATTTATCATACCTTTAGATGTAGTGAACTAGTTTAGTGTGAAGATTAAACAGTATTAGTAGCTGAATCTATGCGGAAAAAATTAAATGCCCTTTTTCCCAATGGCTACAGACCTGTGCTTCCAATATTACATTCAGAGTTGAACCCAACCTTACTTTCATAGCTTCCTCCAAAAGCAGCTGCTTTCTATGCATCCATGCTAGAAGAAATGAAGCTTAAAGCTTCATGTTGAATGTATAGCATGAGTAACAACTAAATGACAGGGATAATAAATACGGATGGTTAATTTTTTCAAGAATGCTTTAGGAGATAATATACTGATCAAAACGCCCTAAAAGTATAAACCTGGGCTAACAAGCTTACAGAATCACTGCAAGAGTAATTTTTTCTACTTTTAGCGTTTCCATGGACCTTTTTCAAGTTTCTACTATAGTAAAAGCAGTACTGTTGCATTTCATAAGGGAATGGAAACATTTATACATGATGCTTTTTGGACTACTATAAAAGATAGTACTGTATCCACCTTATATATTTTCAGAAAGTGTAATGGCACTCAGGTTTAGGTTTTTTTATTTTATTTTATTTATTTATTTTTATTTTTGAGACGAAGTCTCATGCCGTTGCCCAGGCTGGAGTGCAGTGGCGCAACCTCGGCTCACTGCAAGCTCCGCCTCCCGGGTTCACGCCATTCTCCTGCCTCAGCCTCCCGAGTAGCTGGGACTACAGGCGCCCGCCACCACGCCTGGCTAATTTTTTGTGTTTTTAGTAGAGACGGGGTTTCACCGTGTTAGCCAGGATGGTCTCGATCTCCTGACCTCGTCATCCGCCGGCGTCGGCCTCTCAAAGTGCTGGGATTACAGGCGTGAGCCACCGCGCCCGGCCGGCACTCAGTTTCTTAATTATGCAAATATAAATATCTTGACAATATAAGTAACCTCCCATCTACTAGCTGAACATTTATCTAACCAGAAATCTACTGTTCTGGCAACAAAACTACCATAAAAGATTTCTGGCCAGGCGCGGTGGCTCATGCCTGTCATCTCCACACTTTGGGAGGCCAAGGCAGGCGGATCACGAGGTCAGGAGATGGAGACCATCCTGGCCAATATGATGAAACCCATCTCTACTAAAATACAAAAAATTAGCTGGGCATGGTGGCGCGTCTGTAGTCCCAGCTACTCGGGAGGCTAAGGCAGGTGAATTGCTTGAAAACCTGGGAGGCAGAGGTTGCAGTGAGCCGAGACTGTGCCACTGCACTCAGGCCTGGTGACAGAGCAAGACTCCATCTGAAAAAAAAAAAAGATTTCTGACCCAACTGCAAAACTTTTTACTCATTCAAAAACATGTTTGGGCCAGCACGCGGTGGCTCATGCCTGTAATCCCAGCACTTTGGGAGGCCGAGTCAGGTGGATCACCTGAGGTCAGGAGTTCCAAGACCAGCCTGGCCAACACGGTGAAACCCCATCTCTACTAAAAATACAAAAATTAGCCAGGCATGGTGGCGTGTGCCTGTAATCCCAGCTACCAGGGAGGCTGAGGCAAGACAATCGCTTGAACCCAGGAGGCAGGGGTTGCAGTGAGCTGAGATAGCGCCACTGCACTCCTGCCTGGACCACAGAGCGAGACTGTCTCAAAAAAAAGTTTGGCCCCACAGGTAAAAAATCAAGTTTTTTTTCTTGTGACATATACAATTTAAAATTGTACACACATTTCTGTTTCACCTTTTAGTTGGGTTCAAAAAAACCAAAAATCTTAAACTGATCAAAATTTGGTTTATGTTTAAGATAATTCCCTACATTAACAGTACCACTTTGAAAAGTGCACAAAATTCAACTAACATAAAAATACTTGGTATTCCTGTTTTTATTTAAACAAACATATCTGTGAAGTACTTCTGTAAATGTTTTAAAAGTAGAAGAATCGTATTAGTGCCAAACATATTAAGTATATATAAAAGTACAGAGAACCTTTAATACCTACAAAGTATTTAATAACATTTGGCTCTTAAGGACAAAACAAGTATAATATTCCAAAACAACCCACTCTAACCATGTCAAACATGCAATTTCTTTCTCCAAACCAATTTTCATTATGGTTAATACAGAATTCCAAATTAATGCAAACTATGGAATATCTTTTTTAAAGGTGATAATTTAAAATTTTATTCTAAACCCAACAACTCTGTTACACTGTCATAATGTTATAAAGTTTTGGTTGGCTACTTTACCTGGGCTCCTTCTCCATGGTATAAGCAATTCACCACATTATCTAATAAGTTGATATCCAGTTTTTGGCTGAAATCAAGCAGCTGACGAGCTGCATGGTCTGCTAACATTGTCATAATTGCTGGCATAGATTACTGAAAATAAAGAAAAAAAATTGAAGCTGCCTATCAAGTTTTGGTATTATCAAAAACTTCCTACAAGTTATTTTACTTCAACCATGTTATTACAAATATTTTAATGAATACTTTAGAGACTTTAATTACAGAAAACTGAGATAGTAAAAGCAAGTAACAAAAGCTGAAATTACTTAGCTATTTGATAATTACATAAATTATTATGGTCCATTCAACTTTTCTAGTGTTTAGTTTATACACCAGGAAGACTTTCCTATTCTACTAACATTTATAAAGTATGCTAACCTATTATTTAAACGCATCCACTATTAGGATTTTATGGTCCTAAAACGTGATACAGTTCAGTATCTTGATGTCAAAACTTTTTAAGCAAGTAGGATTAAGTTCAAGTGAATGTGATTTTCTTTTCTTCCCAAGTAGGGTCTTCTGAATAACTCAGTAAAAGCTCACTTCACATTATCTTAACTTTATAAAAATAATGCTATAAAGACAGAATGGGCCGAGCGTGGTGGCTCACACCTGTAATCCCAGCACTTTGGGAGGCCGAGGTGGGCGAATCACTTGAGGTCAGGAGTTCCAGACCAGCCTGGCCAACATGGCAAAACCCCGTCTCTACTAAAAATACAAAAATCAGCCAGGCATGGAGGCGGGCACCTGTAATCCCAGCTACTTGGGAAGCTGAGGCAGGAGAACTGCTTGAACCCAGGAGACGGAGTTTGCAGTAAGCCGAGATGCACCACCACACTCTAGCCTGGGCAAGAGAATGAGACTCCATCTCAAAAACAAACAAACAAAGACAGAATGATGTTAAAAATTAAAATGTGGATATACAGTAATTCCTATTGTCTACAGCAATGGTTAGCAGGAACCACAAGTCTAACATATCTTGGTATAAATGCCCTTAGCCTCTACAGAAATAACTTAGCTTCTACACTCAAACCATTCAAATTGTTTCAACCCTCAATGAATTGGGGGATTGAAATAAAGCTACAAACATATTTACTGAATATATGATCTAGGAAAAAAAACTTTATGGGCAATATGCCTAACAAGATTTTTTAAATTCCAGGTATTCATTGGCAAGGTAAAAGCTGTAAAAGCTTGCCCATTCCCAAATAAAAAAGAATTCTAACAGAAAAATGAGCTACTTCGCCTAAATATGCACTGGTTAAAACCTACTAGTTCATATGCAGTGCTATCCTTTTAAGAGGATTCTACTCTAAGATGCTGGCACACATCCACTTTTTTGTTGCCCAGAATTATAAAATATATCTTTCCTCTGCTTTTCTTCAAAGCCAATGCCACTCAAACCTAATTGGTTAAGTCAGTAGTCCTTAACCTTTTTGGGGGTCTAAGATGCCTGAGACTCTGAGGAACCAATAGCTCTAACCCAGTTTTTAAAAACTCACGATTTTGTATACAATTATAGAGGATTCAGGACATCCTGAAAGCCATCCATGGCACTCCCAGTTTAGTGTATTTAGAACTAACAAGGTCAGATCTCCACTTCTTCCCATTTTAGGAACTTTCGTGGACCAGAAAATGAGTAGCTAATTTCTTTACATTATATTTAGACAAACTAGCTTGGCAGGGCGGAAAAAAAGTCATTAATTCCTGGCTATTTTATAACAGCTTAAAAATGTCCATAACAATAATGGCAGCAAATTCTATTTTAATGCAATTGTCTTATTTAAATATAACGTCTGTTACAACAGATTAGAACTCCAAAAGATGAGTCACCTATGATTGATATGATGTAAAAATAATGTAAAACTCAAGAAATTAGGAGTTCAAGAATTGGTCCATTATTGACAAAACTGATGAGACTTCAAAACGTTTCGTAGTAGGCATTAAACAAACGTTTTTAAACAGCAGAATACTTGTTACACACCACAAAAAAACCTTAAGATCTAAATACTGAGAGGAAATATATATTCCACAAATGAATGTGTAAACTCTCCTCCACCTTCAAGTACCATAAAATTTAAAAGATCAGAACAATCTTAATTATTTGAGGCTTAAAAGCAATGTCCACAAAGCACCAAGATCCATGTATCAAAAGTTTTCAAATATTTCGGTTAAATATTGAACAAACTTTTCACCTATTTACTACCATAGTTGAATGCTAAAACAAAAAAGGATTAAGAAAATGACTCTTACAAGTTTCATTTTCAAATACACTGTTCTTATAAAATTCTCCGAACTAGACTGATGTGAAAAACGAGATTTAGAATAGAAGGATTTAAATACAGTAGTTTGCCATCCTTAGAACTAGCGGCTATCTTCGAAATCACCTACCTATTCCTGAACTGTACATAGTACAGAAATGGCGGCTTTGTGGTCAATGCCAAGCACATTTAGTCCCCCAAATCAAACCGCTTCCAAAACATTCTTTCCACTAACAGCAGTGTCCCACACTTAAGATATACAATCAGACAGCAAACAAGCCATAGTGCGAGAGGTGTAACCACGAACGCTCATTCCCATTGGGCTCTTCAATCCTAAAATCCACTCACTGGATAACATACACTAGGGATTATCCAGCTTAATGGATAATGTGACTCTACAAGTGACACCCAATGCCAATTCCTAAACAAAACCCAGAAAATCATAACCGTTGCTTAATAACTTCACACTAGGTGAAAAACAAGTCGCTACAAGGCGAAAGACTGCTCCTTAGGTTGTGTGGGCAATCGCCCGCTTCATTCAGGAAAAACACACCTCATTAGGGCCCGCCCTCCCCTCGCTTCCCACCCGAACCGATTTGCAGCCCTTCTAACTATAGCACACAGGAGCACGCACTCACCCCGCCCTTACTCGGAGGAGGCATTTAGACCAGGCGCCTTAAGTTCACCGCCCCTTTCTCTATGCAGCATGGCCTCGGCGTGATCAGAGGAGGTCCGGGCTGAGCCAGTACTGAATGCTTCCTCTACTACACCACTTCCTCCCACCCAACCCAAACTCACAGACATCGGAATGAAGGAGAATCAGGGCATCCTCCACTGTACAAGGCCAACAGTAAATGGTTTAACCAACTTATCACATTCAAACCCCTGAAAAGGAACTACAAGACGGAATCCCATGTGCAGGCCCCTGAAAAACTGATCTTTCCTACTTCACATGCCACTCTGCAAAACCGGAGAGCTTTCGAGTTTCCTTGCTGGAGGAACAGGGAGTCGGCAGCCCCTCCCTCCCCCATCCCAAGCTCTCCACCGAGGGGGCCACGTGATGCAGGCGGACGTTTCAATGCTGCTGCACTAAATATTTCTGGAAACTTCCACTCCTAATAATTTACAGAGATGTTCCTGAAATCACCCCAACTTCTCCCCAGCCCCAGGGGCTGGGGAACCCCTCCCACCCCGCGCGGGGCCCCGCTTCACTATCACACTCCTCGCCTTCCTCCACCGCCACCCGCACACGCGAATGACCCAGCAAGCGCTCCCCTCCCGAGGCCGCCTCCCCGCCTCCATCCCCCAGCGGCAAAAGCGGCTCCATTCAATCGCAGGCTCCGCTGTGGGCCCGCCGCGCCCCCGGCCCGCCCGCCGCCTCCCGGGCTCGCTTCCCGCGGCCGCCGCCGCCGCGCCCCACGCCGGCCTCCTCCCGCCCGCCCGGCCGCGCCGCCGCCCGACCCTCGGCCCCGAAGACACAGTCGACTTACCCAGAGATTGAACCAACTGCTCCTTCCTTCCTCGTTGGGGGATTAGGGCGAGGGAAGGTGGGGAGGGGGGAGAGGGGACGAATCAAGGTGGGTTTCAGTTTTCCCACCTCAAAAAAGGAAATTAAAAAAACGGACAGGAAAAGGGCAAAAAGAGCTCAATAATATTTACTATTTCAGGGACGCTTCCCCCAACACACACACACACACACACACACACACACACCCGCCCCCCCCCAAAAGGGGAATTAATCTGGGGAATAAATGCTCCCGCCCGGCTGGGGAGTGAGGGAAGGGGGAGGGAACGGGGTCAAGTCCCAAAGATTCAGCCCCAGGGGGACCCTCCAGCCACAGGCAGCAGCAGAAGCGGCAGGAGTAGGGGGTGTAGAGTCCACACGGCCGGGGAGACGCTCTGCTGCCAGTTGCAGTCCGACTCCCCCCTACCAAAACACGGCTCCCTCTCTCACGCGGCTCCGGCGCTGGCCCCCCCCCCCCCAAGGCTCGCCTAAACTTTCCCCCCTTCTCTTGTTCCTCAGCGACTGGTGGTTCCCCCCTCCCCCTCTGGGTGGTTGCACGGACTGCAGCAGCAAAGACTGGAACAGGCACCGCCGCCGGGGCTGTAGCTACTGTTGCTCTTGCTGATGCTGTAGCTCCCGCTGCTCCTGCCGCGGCCGCTGCAGCCGCTTCTCCCCCTCCTCCTAGTGCCTCAAACTCGGAACCGGTTGAAACCGGTTCAGACTGGGAGATTCCATCTCGGTTGAGTTTTCAGCCCATGGCGCCGCGGAGCGTTTGGAACCTGGGCCTCCGCCCCCAGCCCGCCCTCCTATTGGTCAGTTCCAGCTACAGCCGCGCCATGAGCCTATCTCTCATTGGCCCGAGCGCCAGTCAATCCCGCCTCACGGCTCCACACGAGCCCGCCGCTTCGGCCCCTACCTCTTTTCAGCAGCGATTTGCCCGCAGAGTGGGGGAGGGGAAGTGGGGAGGGTCGAAAGGCAAGAGGAGAGGGGTGGAGGAGGAGGAGGTGGGACGAAGAGCAGGGATGAGTAGAAAAGAGAGCGAAGGAAAGCCGCGTGGAGGATTCGTTCGAACGAGCTGTCAATCAAGAGCAGCCCGCCCTCGAGCTCTCGACTTCCCTTCCCCCTGCGGCCCTCTCCCTCCCGGTGCCTAGTTCGCAGGCCCGGCCTTTCTCGCCCGCTCATTGGCTGGGCCTCTTCGGTGACGGAGAGGGTGGGGCGCAGCTCGTGAGCTGGTGGCGGCGCGAGTTTGATCGGGGCGCGCGGCAGCGTTCTCTTTGCTTCCCCCGGACTCGGCCGGCCCGCCCCCACCGGCTCCCGCCAACCTGCGGGGGCCTGAGCCCGCGGGAATCAGGATCCGCCCTTCGGATGGGGGCTGCGTTCGGAAAAGGGAGGGCACACCCAGTTTTGAACTCTGGAAGGGGTGGAGAAAAGAGGGAAAAAGAACGCTTCCGAGGCCAATTTTAGGCCCCAGACCTCTCTAATCCATTTTAGAGGCCTGGTTTTGGGGCCAGGTAGCTGAGAGAGGGGTTGGGGTGAGGCGCAGGGCGTGCATTCTTGGCGCCTCGTGATCTTCTCAGGGTGTCGGAAAAGATATCGAAATACTTCTTGGGAAAGTCTCCTTAAAATTTCAACTCTGTCTCTCCAGGCTGGAATTTGGCTGCTTCAACAAGCAACCTTTCCTGAAAACCAAAACATTGTAATCCCAAGTGATTGGTTTGACAGCGCATGTTTTGGCTGGCTGAGCTTGCATGCCAACTGCGTCCCACCTGGTGCCCTTGATCTGCAACACTCAGATTTTCCTTTTACCCTAGCTGCACTTCACGTACTAAATCATCATCAAATAGTATTTTCTGTGAAAGTCACATGCACGTTGCCTTTCACGTGGTTGCCTCTCGTTTGTTCCCAAGCGTCCTCCAAATCAGCTTTACAGATTGTTCTTTGCTTAAGAGCAAATAGCCCACCAAAATTTACTAGGCCCTTTGTGCCACCAAGAGGTAGATAAATGATTTATTGAATTAATAACAATTTTCTTTAGCAAATGTTCATCCACGATGGACTATGGCTAACCTCAAAGCACCACTTATTCTAACTCCCCCTCCAATAAAGAAAAACGCAACAACTCAATGTTTAGATGTACCAGAATTATTTTGGATGATTTTCAGACCTAAGTTTTTATTCATTACATAAATGAATAATATCAAGCCATTTTATATACATATATAATACATATATAATGTACTATGTATGATATATGATGTGCAGTGGGCCCTCTGTATCCTGGGTTCCCCATCCTCAGTTTCAACCAGCCCTGGGTGGAAAACATTAAAAAACAACAACAACAATAAAAATAATACAAAATAAAACGCAATGCAGTATATTTACATAGCATTTACATTGTATAAGGCATTATAAGCAATGTAGAGATGATTTAAAGTTTACATCGTATAAGGTATTATAAGCAATCTAGAGATGAAAGTAACGGGAAGTTTACAAATACAGTATATGCAAATACAGTAAATCCTCACTTAACATGGTCATGGAGAGGATCTTGGAAACTGCGACTTTAAACACAAGGATAGGCCAGGCATGGTGGTTCATGCCTTTAATCCCAGCACTTTGGGAGGCCGAGGCAGGCAGATCACTTGAGGTCAGGAGTTCGAGACCAGCCTGGCCACATGGTGAAACCCCTCTCTACTGAAGATACAAAAATTAACCTGGCGTGGTGGTGGGCACTTGTAATCCCAGCTACTCGGGAGGCTAAGCGGGGAGAATGGCTGGAACCCGGGAGGCAGAGGCTGCAGTGAGCGGAGATCACGCTACTGCAGTCCAGCCTGGGCAACAGAACGGGACTCGTTCTCAAAACAAACAAACAACAATAAAAAAAACCTACAAGGACATATAACAAAATCAATTTTACCATAGGCCTGTAATCCCAGCATTTTGGGAGGCAAAGGTGGGAGGATCACTTGAGCCCAGAAGTTCAAGACCAGCCTGGGCAACATGGCAAAACCTGGTCTCTACCAAAAATACAATAATTAGCTGGGCATGGTGGCATGCGCCTGTAGTCCCAACTACTCGGGAGGCTGAGGTGAAAGGATCACTTGAGCCTGAGAGGTTGAGGCTGCATGAGCTGTGATGATGCCATCATGCAGACTGTACACTCCAGCCTGGGTGACAGAGTGAGACACTGTCTCAAAAAAAATTACCAATCTAACTCTGACAAAAGTGTGATTGTGTATGATGCTAAAACAGGGTGAGAGAGAAAGGATCTTTTTTTTTTTTTTTTTTTGGAAAAAGTATCTCACTGTGTCTCTCCCAGGCTGAAAGGATCCTCCCTGACTCAGCCATCTGAGCAGCTGGAACTGTAGATGCATGCCACCATGCCTAGCTAGTTTTTTGTAAATAAATATATATATATATAATATATATTATACATTATAAATATATACATATATGTAATACATATATATGTAAATATATACATATAAATGTAAATATATGTGTGTGTGTATATATATATATATATATATATATTTTTTTTTTTTTTTTGTAGAAAGGGGTTTTGCCATGTTACCCAGGCTGATCTCAAACTCCTGTAGGCGAGTGATCCTCCTGCCTCAGCCTCCCAAAGTGCTGGGATTATAGGCCTGAGCCACCTTGCCCAGTCAGGATACTCATTTCAAGAAAAAATTGACCTGGGAAGATAAAGTATGGGTTGCACCCCTATTTCCATCAAGCTCAATTTAGTGTGGAGAATATTTATGGAAAATTATGAGTATTCTGTCTGTGATGTTAAGACCCCAGTGAATAATCTACGTAGAGTCTGTGAAGCCTCAAATCAATCAGGAGCAGAATCAGCAGTTGCCTGCAGGTGAGTTGCTACCTTTTGAGAACATAGTGAAAAAGTAGGTGACAAGGCTGCTAAATCTAGGAGTTACAGTTTGATAGTCTGAGAAATCTGTACAGTTCTTCTATGAGGTGACATTGAACAATGGGTCCCAAGAATCTCTTACTCATGGAGAAATGAGAGAAGTGTATCACTTAACTTGGACCATTCTCAGACAGGACAGAGGAAGCTATAGCTGTTTTGGTTGAAGTACTTCTAGGCCAAAAATAAAAATAATGAGATAGGGTTATAGGTCTGCTGTAACAGTCAGTTTAGGCTGCTGTAACAAAGTACCATAGTCTGGGTGGCTTAAACAACATTTATTTCTCACAGTACTGGAGGCTGGAAGTCTGAGGCCAGGGCGTCAGCATGGTTTAGGTTCTGGCAAAGGCCCTCTTCGGGTTGCAGACCGGTGACTTCTTCCTGTACTCTCTTGTGAAGGGGGAAAAAAGGCTAGAGAGCTTTCTGGGGTGTCTTTTATAAGAACGCTAATTTCATTCATGAGGACCCTACCCTCGTTATCTACTGACTCCCAAAGGCCTTATCTCCTCATACCATCACATTAGGGTTTAGGATTTCAACATACTGATTTTCAGGGGACACAAATATTCTGTCCGTTGCAATATATAAGAAGCAAAATAGAGTAGGGAAACTAAAGTTGGTATCTGTGGATTGAAAAGATATGCCATTTCTTTCTTGCACAAAAACATCTCATTATGGGCCAGGCATGGTGGTGGCTGATGCCTGTAATCCCAGCCTTTGGGAGGTCAAAGCAGGTGGATCACAAGGTCAGGAGATCGAGACCATCTGGGCCAACATGGTGAAACCCCATCTCTACTAAAAATACAAAAATTAGCTGGGCGTGATGGTACATGCCTGTAATCCCAGCTACTCGGGACGCTGAGGCAGGAGAATCGCTTGAACCAGGGAGTCAGAGGATGCAGTGAGCCGAGATCATGCCACTGCACTCCAGCCTGGTGACAGAGTGAGACTCCATCTCAAAATAAATAAATAAATAAAAATAAAATGAGCTGGGCGAGGTGGCTCATGCCTGTAATCCTAGCACTTTGGGAGGCTGAGGCGGGCAGATTACTTGAGGTCAGGAGTTTGAGACCAGCCTGGCCAACATGGCGAAATCCCATCTCTACAAAAATACAAAAAATTAGCCAGACGTGGTAGTGCACGCCTGGAATACCAGTGCTTTGGGAGACTACTGTGGGAGAATCACTTGAGGCCAGGAGTTCAAGACCAGCCTGGGCAACATAAATGAGAGTTTGGCTCTACAAAACTAAAAAAATTAACCCAGGCATGATGACACATATCTGTGTCTTAGCTACTCAAGAGGCTTAGGCAGGAGGATCCCGTGAGCCCAGGATTCAGGCTACAATGAGCTGTGATCAAGCCACTGCACTCCAGCCTGGGCAGCAGAGCAAGACTGTCTTTAAAAAAAAGAAAAATTATATATGGAGTCATGGAAAAATGTGAAAAATAAACGAAAATTTAAAAAAAAAGAAAAATCAGAAAAAAAACCAAAAAACCTATTTTATCAGGTGCTCTGACTAGAAAAAAATGAAGAACCTAGCAAAGTCAGTGAATCTATTTCAGTAGTTCTCAAACTGAGGGCACTTCCCCAACAAGACATTTAGCAATTAAGTGTTGGCTATCAAAACAACACTGTCAGCTAATGTCAGAATCAGAGCACATTACAGGTAAATCAGAAGGTGAAGTATATCAGAAGTATGATAATGGAAACACTTTTGGTTGTTGCAACTGGTTGGGGAGGGGGTGCCATAGACATCTAGTGGCAGAGGCCAGGAGTGCCATGAAACATCTTGCAATGCACAGGATAGCCCCCTATATCAAAGAATGAGAAGCCCACAATGTCAATATACAGAGATTGAGAAACCCTGATCTACTTATAAATATTTTAAATTATCCTAGCCCAATAAAGGGGAGAAGAGAGAGCGAGAGAAAACGAGTACATGAGCAAGTATACTGTACCTCAACAAGGTCAGTGCTTCTTTTATTTTTATTTTTATATATTTATTTTTGAGACAGGGGCTCGTTCTGTCACCCAGGCTGGAGTACAGTGGCACAATCACAATTCGCTGAAGCCTCAACCTCCCTGGCTCCAAGTGGTCCTACTGCTTCAGCCTCCTGAGTAGCTGAGACTACAGGTGTGCGTCACTGCACCCAGCTACTTTGTTTTATTTTCTGTAGCAACAGGGTCTCACCATGTTGCTGAGGCTGGTCTCAAACTCTTGAGTTCAAGCAGTCCTCCAGCCTTGGCCTCCCAAAGTGCTGGGATTATAGGCACAAGCCCCAGTGCCCAGCCCTGGGAGATGTTTTAAAATGTATTTTTAGAGCAGAAGAAATTCCTCTCTGAAGAGATCAAATTATCATCTTAAGTGCATTAATAGCAAATTCTCAGTACTTCCCCTGCTTTCAGGTGGTATCATGTTTAAACCATTTCAAGCTGGTTTCTGCATGCTTATTGAGAATGTCAGAACAAACAGCAGATAAACCATAAGCCCAGACAGAAGAGGTGAAGGTAATTATAATAGCTAACATTTACTGAGCACTTATTATGTGCCAGGAAGTTTTCTTTTTTTTTTTTTTTTTGAGTTGGGGTCTTGCCATGTCGCCCAGGCTGGAGTGCAGTGGCGCAATCTCAGCTCACTGCAAGTTCCGCTTCCTGGGTTCACACCATTCTCCTGCCTCAGCCTCCTGAGTAGCTGGGACTACAGGCACCCGCCACCACGCCTAGCTAATTTTTTGTATTTTTTAGTAGAGACAGGGTTTCACTGCGTTAGCCAGGATGGTCTTGATCTCCTGACCTCGTGATCCACCCACCTCAGCCTCCCAAAATGCTGGGATTAGAGGCGTGAGCCACTGTGCCCAGCCTGTGCCGGGAACTTTTCTAAACATGTTATGATATCTAGTCATTTAATTTTCACAACAGTCCAATGAGGTGGTCATTATTATTGCCATTTTAAGATGGGGAAATAAATACAGAAAGTTAAGGTATTTGAAAATAAAATGAAAAGAATTCAAGGATATCCCAAAAAATAATTAATAACTTAATTGAATGAATGAAATGTGAAGAAGTTTCCTAGAAGGAATAAACTCTTTTAGTTTTTATTTCTTTCCCTTCCTTTTTATTCGAATATAAATTCCAGAATATTGAGTAAAAGAAAGAAAGACTATCCCCTACTACTTATTTATTTAATATTTAACCATTCTATTTTCTTTCTTTTTTTTTTTTTTTTGAGATGGGGGTCTCACTCTGTCGACCAGGCTGGGAATGCTGTGACACAACCGCAGCTCACTGCAGCCTCAACTCCCAGGCTCAAGCAATCCTCCCACCTCAGCCTCCCAAGTAGCTGGGACTACAGGTGCATGCCATCACACTCAGTTAATTTTTGTATTTTTTGTACAGATAGGGTTTTGCCATGTTGCCCAGACTGGTCTCAAACTCCTGGGCTCAAGGAGTCCCCCCACTTGGGCCTCCCAAAGTGCTGGGATTACAGGCATGAGTCATTGTGCTCAATCCTATTATCTTTACCTAGAGAAATGTAAAAGTAAAACATTTATTTCAATAACCGGTATAACATTTGCCCAGGCACTGAAAATTGCCACAGCTCGTGAAATATTTTCTTAAGAGTGGTCTAGCATGATTTGGCAGTACAACTCTTTTTTCATGATGTAACCAGAATCTGAAGATTTTCAAGTGAATAATATTTAAAACACTTTTAATATGAAAAGTGAAGTGAAAAATATTACATAAATATATGAGCCATTACAGTCATAATTTCAGCAGTTCTAATCCCTGTAGATGAAAGTGCATGTCATTTAGCTAAAAAAATGTGAAATTATATATACGTACAAAGGATCCCTGACCCTAACTTTGGAAGGTGTGACACAATTTTTCACCTCTATGATGGGGTATAGAAGTAATTTCCATTCAGTAGAAACTGTACTTTGAGTCCCCATACAGTATTCAATAAATTACATGACATATTCAACAGTTTTTTATTTTTATTTTTTTCAGACGGAGTCTCCCTCTGTCGCCCAGGCTGGAGTGCAGTGGCACGATCTTGGCTCACTGAAACCTCCACCTCCCGGGTTCAAGTGACTCTCCTGCCTCAGCCTCCCGAGTAGCTGGAATTACAGGCAAGCGCCACTACTGCCTGGCTAATTTTTGTATTTTTAGTAGAGACGGGGTTTCACCATATTGGTCATGCTGGTCTTGAACTCCTGACCTCGTGATCCACCTGCCTTGGCCTCCCAACGTGCTGGGATTACAGGCGTTAGCCACCACAGCTGGCCGATATATTCAACACTTTATTATAAGATAGGCTTTGTGTTAGATGATCTTGATCTTGCCCAACTATAGGCTATTGTAAGTGTTCTGAGTGCCTTTACTATAGGCTGGCCTAAGCTATGATGTTCGGTAGGTTATGTGTTTTTTGTTTGTTTGTTTGTTTTTTGAGATGGAGTTTTGCTCTTGTAGTCCAAGCTGGAGTGCAGTGGTGGGGTCTTGGCCCACTGCAACCTCCGCCCCCTGGGTTCGAGAAATTCTCCTGCCTCAGCCTCCCAAGTAGCTGGGATTACAGGCACCTGCCACCATGCCCGGCTAATTTTTTGTATTTTTAGTAGAGACAGGTTTTCGCCACTTTGGGCGGCTGGTCTCGAACTCCTGACCTCAGGTGATCTGCCCGCCTCAGCCTTCCAAAGTGCTGGGATTATAGATGTGAGCCACCGCGCCCAGCCTGGTTATGTGTGTTAAATACATTTTCGACTTACTTGGTTGGGCGCGGTGGCTCACGCCTGTAATTCCTGCATTTTGGGAGGCTGATGTGGGCGGATCACAAGGTCAGGAGTTCGAGACCAGCCTGGCCAACATGGTAAAACCCTGTCTGTACTGAAAATACAAAAATTAGCCAGGCTTGGTGGTGCATGCCTGTAATCCCAGCTACTCAGGAAGCTGAGGCAGGAGAATCGCTTGAAGCACGGAGGCGGAGGTTGCAGTGAGCCGAGAATGCGCCACTACACTCCAGCCTGGGTGACAGAGTGAAACTCCATCTCAAAAAAAAAATAAAATTTTCAGCTCCTAAGTTGAAATGGGTTTATTGGGATGTAATCCATTGTTTAAGTCCAGGAGCATCTGTATAAGATCATAATATCCTTCTTTACCAGCTCTTTTTATAATAATTATTCAATTCCATGGGTATGTAAAACATTTTTTGTTTATACATACATTCATTCCTCTTCTCCCTTTTTCTTTTTCTTTTTTTTTTTTCTTTTTAATTTTTTTTTTTAATACAGAGTCTTATTCTGTCACCCAGGCTGGAGTGCAGTGGTATGATCTTGGCTCACTACAACCTCTGCCTCCTGGGTTCAAGGTCCTGATTCTCGTGCCTTAGCCTCCTGAGTAACTGGGATTACAAGTGCCCACCACCACACCTGGCTAATTTTTGTGTTTTTGGTAGAGATGGGGTTTCGCCATGTTACCCAGGCTGGTCTTGAACTCCTGGCCTCAAGTGATCCACTCATCTCAGCTTCCCGAAGTGCTGGAATTACAGGTGTAAGCCACCATGCCCAGCTTCACTTTTTCTTTTGACTTTGGGAATATTAAAAAGAAAAAAGGAGGGCTCTTGGAATTGAAGAAATCAAGGAAAATTCTCTTCTCACTCAACACTTTCCCCCAAAAAACATTGTGAAGGTTGTCAAAGGGGCTTTTTTAAAACTAGGCTCTGAATCTTGGATACTTACTCTTTTCTAGATGGATACAATAATCTGCTGGATATCAAGTAGTAGTTGTTGTTGCTTATAAGAAAACAACTGAATTTACCATTTATCAGTATCTACTACTTTCCAGATGCTATATATATATAAAGAGAGAGAGAGAGAGAGAGTCATAAATAACTAAGAAATAGGGCCAAAGTCATTTTAAATTTCTAAATGTTTGAATGTCTAATAAAATTAAAAGTGAGATTTAAAAAATCTTGTGTACAGCCAGGCACAGTGGCTCACACCTGTAATCCCAGCACTTTGGGAGGCCAAGGCAGGTGGATCACGAGGTCAGGAGATCGAGACCATCCTGGCTAACACGGTGAAACCCCGTCTCTACTAAAAGTACAAAAAATTAGCCGGGCGTGGTGGCAGGCGCCTGTAATCCCAGCTACTCGGGAGGCTGAGGCAGGAGAATGGTGTGAACCCGGGAAGCGAAGCTTGCAGTGAGCCGAGATCGCGCCACTGCACTCCAGCCTGGGTGACTGAGTGAGACTCCGTCTCAAAAAACAACAACAACAACAAAAAAGTCTTGTGTACAGTGAAATCTTGCTTATGCCATAACACCATGAATCCAGAGAATGTATGATTTTATAAATTTAAACTAAAATATTTTCCTGATTTATCCAGATAAGTATTTCATGACACTTTTTTTTTTTTTTTTTTTTTTTTGAGGCAGAGACTCACTCTGTTGCCCAGGCTGGAGTATAATGGCGCGGTCTCGACTCACTGCGACCTCTGCCTCCCAGGTTCAAGCCATTCTTCTGCCCTTAGCCTCCCAGGTAGCTGAGATTACAGGTGTGCGCCACCACGCCTGGCTAGTTTTTATTATTTATTTATTTGTTTTTGAGATGGCGTCTCGCTCTGTTGCCCAGGCTGGAGTGCAGTGGTGTGACATCGGCTCACTGCAAGCTCCACCTCCCGGGTTCAGGCCATTTTCCTGCCTCAGCCTCCCGAGTAGCTGGGACTACAGGTGCCCGCCACCACTCCCGGCTAGTTTTTTAGTATTTTTAGTAGAGACAGGGTTTCACTGTGTTAGCTAGGATGGTCTCGATCTCCTGACCTCGTGATCTGCCTGCCTCAGCCTCCCAAAGTGTTGGGATTACAGGCGTGAGCCACCGCGCCCGGCCACGCCCGGCTAGTTTTTGTATTTTTAGTGGAGACAGGGTTTCACCATGTTGGCCAGGCTGGTCTTGAACTCCTGACCTCAGGTGGTCCACCTGCCTTGGCCTCCCAAAGTGCTGGGATTACAGGCATGAGCCACTGGCGCCCGGCCTTTTTGTTTTTTGTTTTTGTTTGTTTGTTTGTTTTGAGACAGTGTCTTGCATTGTCGCTCAGGCTGGAGTGCAGTGGTGCGAACATGGCTCACTGCAGCCTCAACCTCTCTGGGCTCAGGTAATCCTCCCACCTCAGTCTCCCAAGTAGCTGGGACTGCAGGTATGCATCACCATGCCTGGCTAATTTTTGTATTTCTTGTAGAGATGGGGTTTCACTATATTGCCCAGGCTAGTCTCAAACTTCTTCTTGTTAGAAACCGTGTTGTCCAGACTGGTCTAGAACTCCTGAGCTCAACCAATCTGTCCGCCTCAGCCTCCCAAAGTGGTGGGATTACAGGTAAGAGCCACCATCCCCGGGCTCATGACACTTTTCTTTGCCTACCAAGATCCAGTTCATTGGACCCTTAAAAAAAGTATTTTAATATATTTTAATTATTTTTAAACCTACTCTGAGATTGATGAAGGCTGAAGTATTTGAAAATATTTCATAAGTCTTTCCTGCATATACCAAATTATACCAAAGAACACATTGAAAGTAATTTGCCTAATAATTTAACTATAAGTTTTCCGTAGAACCTAAATATAATTGCTAATGCACTGCACAGTCTTTTCTTTCCAGATTGTGTTTACACCATGACAAGCAGCGCTTCTTTCTCTTTACAAGGTAACAGTAGAATTCCCCAACAAGAGTTTGACAGTGGGCCGGGCTCGGTGGCTCACGCCTGTAATCCCAGCACTTTGGGAGGCCGAGGCAGGCGGATCACGAGGTGTGGAGATCGAGACCATCCTGGCTAACATGGTGAAACCCCAAACCCCGCCTCTGCTAAAAAAAAATTGGCCAGGCGTGTTGGCGGGCGCCTGTAGTCCCAGCTACTCGGGAGGCTAAGGCAGGAGAATCGCTTGAACCCGGGAGGTGGAGGTTGTAGTGAACCGAGATCGCGCCACCGTACTCCAGCCTGGGTGACAGATAATCCGTCTCAAAAAAAAAAAAAAAAAAAAAGAGTTTGACAGTGAATTTGGGAAAAGGAGAGCACAAAATGAGCACATAAGATGGGTAAGGGCGCATGAAGCTGAGGCTGAGGCAGAATGGCAGCACTGAAACAACTGGGCCACCTCTGCGGCTGGAGGGGCTGTGTAGTTGCAGGCTGGGTGGCTCAGGCTTAGTGGAAGCCATATGCTATCCAGAAGGCTGAGTCAAAACAAGCAGACATGCCAGGCTGAGGAAATAGAAAACACTGCAGGGTTGGCCTTCAGAGGCAATTAAGTGGGAGACAATTAAGATCACAGACTTAATTACCCAGGTGGTATTTGCATTCCTCCAGGCAGAAGCATCATTGTTGTGATAGACCAGTAGGCTCAACTCAAGGAAGCTATGGAGAAGAACTAAGAAGATTTTATGAATGACACCAGTATAAACAGTTTCAGCCTCTTCCTCCCTTACCGGGATACAAACCTCCCTATCACATGCAAACTTTTCAGATTTCCAATTGAAAATAGAGTGGGCCAGGAGGCCAAGAAACCCATGCTATACACAGATGAGTCCAAAGGTTTAGAGAGCTCCCATCCACTGACTCTTTCTAGCATTTTCAAAATCCAGGATGGTCCACAATGGCCTGTCTTCTAAGTTCATGCTTCCGCTCCATGGCTAGAAAAGACTGGAGGCAAGTCAATGGAGTTCTTCACCCAGTCATGTACAGTCTTTTCTAGTAGGGTCAGCTCTGATGCTAGAGAAAGATACAAAGAGACAAAAGGTAGTCCTTGAAATAAGTAAGCCTGGGAAAGACCAGCAAGGGGTCGTTGAACGTTTAAACAGCTCTTCATCACCTTTCCATCAAAAGAGTTTACTTGTTCCTAATACCCCATTGAAAATGTAGAATGTGGCCTGTTGGGGCTTCCAGCTTCCTATTATCCTGTTACAGAGCTCAGCACAGCTATCTGGATGCTCTGGCTGAATCCTCGTCATGAGAGATGTGAGTGCCCTTCCATGAACTGGAACCAAGAAGGGAAGAACAAGCCTTCCCTTTCCTTTCTGCCATGGTCTTTTCACACTCCAAAGCAGTTCTCTCCAGAGAGGACCCAGAGGACTGTAGGCAGCCCTAAGGCCATCAGGGGCAACTCCTAGAAGAATTATCTTCTGGTCTCTTCCTTTAGGGAAGCAAAACTGAGGATGAAGCCAGTGTTTTTTCTCCCTTATAGTTTTTCTAATAGATGAATGGTGTGGGTAAGAAGAGTGCTTTCAGGCATTTAAGCTTTAGTGGGACTGAAAGATTTGCAAGTGAAAGATACATTGCCAGGTGAGGGTGGGGGTTAGGGGGAAGGGTAGCTAAGGGAGGAAAAGAGGACCACTAAAGGACCCTAAAGGGTCAAAAAGAGAGCCAGTAAGGAAGACAGAGTAAATGGAGCTTCCAGGACAAACTCTGCCTGTCCTGGAATCTAGAGAAAGAAGTAGAATCACATGCAGATCTAAAAAGGCAACCAGCCGGACGTCATAATGAGGTTCTCGGTAGGAGAGCATGAGAGAATTTGCTTTTATTGGCCCCAGCAAACATGAAACCCCCAAGGTCTTATGCATAACGTAACTTCATTGGTTGTTGAAGGCTCAAGCAAACAACTTATACTGTGGAAATAACTGGCATACAGAAAAACACACAAGATTTACTCAGGGGACAAGAACACCTTTATTTATGAATTCCACATCTATATTTCAAATTCTGCTCCTACAGGGGACATATGACTCTGCAATAACTCCACATGTGGAGAGACAGGTTTGAGCTGTACCAAAAAAAGTGAATTTCACAGGACCAAACAATATTTGTATAAATGCTGCCACATTTTTAAAAAATTGGAGTAGTAAAATGGGACAGAGAAAAATGTTTGGAATCAGAAGATGTGGATTCTCCTCCCAGTTCTGCCCTTATTAGAGCTCTTTGCCATTATGATCAAACTACTAGAAGGTTCCTAAGATCTTTTCTGGCTCAATGATAGTACTTCTGTGTATTCTTTTCTTCTTGAAGATGAAAGCGTATACAGAGAAGTGCAGACATATTTTTTTCACTAGGAATTTTGTGAATGTGAAGCTTAAGGAAGTTTAAGGAAGCATTCTCCATACTAATTCAGTCAATTATTCACTTAAATAATATTTTTTTGAGTCCCACGATGTTTTATGTGCTGTGCTGGGGCTGGGAAGACAATGATTATTTCCATAGGCAGAAAAGGACCAAACAATAACAATGTTTTTTCAATACTTGGATCTATAATAAAGTAATCACACATCGTTTCATAAATTTAATGTTTAGATTTGTTAAAATTTAATTCTTTAAATTTTAAAGTTTTATCCTTAACAACTGGGGGGTTCATTTACTTGTATTGTTGGATTTTTTGTTGTTAAATACCTGGGAGTTGTTATTTATGTATTTATTGATTGATTTATTCTTTGAGACAGGGTCTTACTCTGTCTCCCAGCTGGAGTGCAGTAGCATGATCTTGGCTCACCGCATTCTCTGCCTCCTGGGTCCAAGGGATTCTCATACCTCAGCTTCCCAAGTAGCTGGGATTGCAGGTGTGCACCACCACACCTGGCTAATTTTTTTTTTTTTTTTTTGAGATGGAGTCTTGCTCTGTCTCCCAGGCTGGAGTGCAGTGGTGCCATCTTGGCTCACTGCAGCCTCTGCCCTCAGGGTTCCAGTGATTCTCCTGCCTCAGCCTCCTGAGTAGCTGGGATTACAGGCACATGCCACCACACCCGGCTAATTTTTGTATGTAATTTAGAAATGAGGTTTTGCCATGTTGGACAGGCTGGTCTCGAACACCTGACCTCAGGTGATCCACTTGCCTCGGCCTCCCAAAGTGCTGGGATTACAGGTTTGTGCCACCACACCCAGCCAAATGTTTTAATTTTTAGTAGAGACAGGGTCTCACCATGTTGGCCAGGTTGGTCTCGAACTCCTTACCTCAAGTGATCCATCGGCCTTGGCAAGGCTGGTCTCAAACTCTTGACCTCAATTGATCCACCCACCTTGGCCTCCCAAAGTGCTGGGATTACAGGCATGAGCCACCACACCTGGCCTGTTTTGTTTTTTTTGTTTTTTTTTTTTTTTTGGGTGGTGAGTAGGGGGACAAGGTCTTGCTTGGTCTCCCAGGCTGGAGTGCAGTGGTATGATCATGACACACTGCAGCCTTGACCATCTGGGCTCAAGCCATCTTCCAGCCTCAGCCTCCCAAGTAGCTAGGATCACAAACATGCACCACCACGCCTGGCTAATTTAAAAAATTATGTGTAGAGATGAGGTCTCATCGCATTACCCAGGTTGGTCTTGAACTTCTGAGCTTAAAGGATCTTTCCACCTTGACCTCCCAAAGTGCTGGGATTGCAGGCATGAGCCACCATGCCTAGCCACCAGGGAGTTTTTTCATTGAATAATCTTGAAAGAAGTCTTCGAAGAGAGTTCAGAATCACTTGGTTAAAAATATGTATTGATAATCCACTCCGTGCCATGCTCTGTTGTAGGTGGTGAGGATAGGGTAGGAAATAAGTCAGGCAGAGCCCCTGCCCTCCAAGAACTCATACTTTTGGGTCCATTAAAATATGATAATTTTGGCGGGGCATGGTGGCTCATGCCTATAATCCCAGCACTTTGGGAGGCTGAGGCCGGCAGATCACGAGGTCAGGAGTTTGAGACCAGCCTAACCAACATGGTGAAACCCCGTCTCTACTAAAAATACAAAAATTAGCCAGGCGTGGTGGTGTGCACCTGTAATCTCAGCTACTTGGGAGGCTGAGGAGGGAGCATTGCTTGAACCTGGGAGGTGGAGGTTGTGGTGAGCTGAGATCGTGCCATTGCACTCCAGCCTGGGCAATAAGAGGGAAACTCTGTCTCAAAAAAAAAAAAAAAAAAAAAAAAAGATAATTTTAAGGCCGGGTGTGGTGGCTCACGCCTGTAATCCCAGCACTTTGGGAGGCTGAGGCGGGAGGATCACAAGGTCAGGAGATTGAGACCATCCTGGCTAACACAGTGAAACCCCATCTCTACTAAAAATACAAAAAATTAGCCAGGTGTGGTGGTGGGCGCCAGTAGTCCCACCTGCTGGGTAGGCTAAGGCAGGAGAATGGCACGAACCCGGGAGGCGGAGCTTGCAGTAAGCCGAGATTGCGCCACTGTACTCCAGCCTGGGCGACAGAGCGAGACTCTGTCTCAAAAAAAAAAAAAAAAAAAAAAATTATAATTTTAAACTAATATGCATTTATGCAATTAAAATTCTGTAGCATGCTAGTCAATTGCCCAAGCTTCATTAGAAGGGCCTGAAATTTTAAAAGTGATTTTTAAAAATAATTTAAGACTGTTTTTTTATTTAAACAATTTGTGACAAATCGCCACTTTTTCTAGCACTGCTGTTAGAGTGTTCATTTTAAGAAAATCAATGTGACCATGCCATTTTCTCTTCCCTTCCCCAGCAATTCATCCCTCCCTCCCACTAACCCCTGCCCTGCCAAAAAAAAAAAAAATCCTTCTTCCAGGCATGGTGGCTCATGCCTGTAATCCTGTCACTTTTGGAGGCTGAGGTGAATGGATTACTTGAGGCCAAGAGTTCAAGACCAGCCTGGGCAGCATAGCAAGACTCCCATTTCTACAAAAAATACAAAAATTAGCTGGGTGTAATGGTGTGCCTGTAGCCAGCTACTGGAGAGGCTGAGGCAGGAGGATCACTTGAGCCCTGGAATCCCAGGAGGCAGCAGTGAGCTATGATTTTGCCACTGCACTCCAGCCTGGGCAACAGAGTGAGACCCCATCTTAAAAAATAATCCCAGCCAGGCATGGTGGCTCACACCTGTAATCCCAGCACTTTGGGAGGCCGAGGCAGGCGGATCATGAGGTCAAGAGATTGAGACCATTCTGGCCAACGTGGTGAAACACCACCTCTACTAAAAATACAAAAAATTAGCTGGGTTTGGCGGCGCGTGCCTGTAGTCCCAGCTATTCCGGAGGCTGAGTCAGGAGAATCGCTTGAACCAGGAGGCGGAGGTTGCAGTGAGCTGAGATCACAAGACTGCACTCCAGCCTGGAGACAGAATGAAACTGTCTCAAAAAAACAAAAACAAAAACAAAAACAAAAAAAAATCCTTCAGTGGCTACTCATTACCTTAAAAGAAAAGAAACCCCAACTCCCTAACAAATCAGACAAGGTGCTTGGTGACTGGGCACTGGTTCCCTCAGTCCTGCTCATGCTGTCCACTTAGGCCACACTGATTGCTGTTTCCCAGAGTAACATGCTCTCCAGCTCTGGGCCTTTAAGCATTCTGCTCCCTCAATCCAGGATGTTCTTCACCCCATCCCTCCAGTGTCTTTGCTGATTCCCTGGACTTGATTCATCCATCCATGACCCCCACCGTTATTGTGCCTACATCCATCCTGGGACTTGCCTGCTGCAGTGCAATGGCCCACTTAAGCATCCATCCCCTGACTACAGGGTGGTGCATAGGCCCTAACATGAAGATGTCTTTAATAAAAGATATTTTGAGGAAATAAATGAAGTAATGAATATATTTCTTCAGATAACACTCCAAGCAGGGTGAACAGCATGAGGGAAGGCAAGCAAGGCGAACTGGGGACTCTAAAAGGATTTCAGAATGGCTGGGAACATTCAGAGATGCGACAAAAAGGAGAAGCAAGGATACTTTCAGCCAGTTAGACAACTTAGACTTCATCCTGAGTTCAATGGTGATTTATTAAAGGGCTTTAAAAAAGCGAGAAATTAGATTAGCATTTTAGAAAAAACATTCTGGGCCAGGTGTGGTGGTGTGCAGCTGTAGTCCCTGCTAATCGGCAGGCTGAGGTGGGAGGATTGCTTGAGTCTGGGAGGTCAAGGGTGCAGTGAGATGTGACCATACCACTGCACTCCAGCCTGGGTGACAGAGCAAGACCCTGTCTCGTGTTAGGGGGGAAAAAACATTCTGAAGAATAGATTTGAAGAAAATAAGACTGAGGACAAGGAGATATGTTATAGCAACTATTACAGAAAACCAAGGGAGAGCTGGGGCTGCCTTGAAGTAATGGAGCAGCCTTGAGGATGGCAGGAAGTGGAAAGATTCAAGAAATGTTAAGGGATCAGAATTGTCAGAACTTGGTGGTTCATTTGCTGTGCATCTTCCCTCCCAGTTTTTTTTTTTTTTTTAGATTGAGTCTCGCTCTGTCTCCCAGGCTGGAGTGCAGTGGCACGATCTCGGCTCACTGCAACCTCTGCCTGCCGGCTTCAAACGATTCTCCTGCCTCAGCCCCACAAGTAGCAGGGACTACAGGTGCCCGCCACCATGCCCGGCTAATTTTTTGTATTTTTAGTAGAGATGGGGTTTCACCGTGTTAGCCAGGATGGTCTCGATCTCCTGACCTTGTGATCCACCCGCCTCGGCCTCCCAAAGTGCTAGGATTACAGGCATGAGCCACCACGCCCAGCCCTTCCCTCCCCAGTTGAGTGATAAACTTCTGAAGAGCAGAAATTCTGCAGTTTATGTCTTTGTATCCTATTGAGTTACCTATAGTGCCTACCTATAGATGAGGTATTCAATAAATATTTGTTGAATTACTGAATGAATGAAACTTTATGGCTGCATGCAAGACACCTGATAAATTCTTACTCTTAAAAATAAAACTGGCCGGGCACAGTGGCTCATGCCTGTAATCCAAGCACTTTGGGAGGCCAAGGCGGGTGGATCACTTGAGGCCAGGGGTTCAAGACCAGCCTGGCCAACATGGTGAAACCCTGTCTCTGCTAAAAATACAAAAATTAGCCGGGCATGGTGGTGCATGCCTGTAGTCCTAGCTACTTGGGAGGCTGAGGCAGGAGAATCACTTGAACCCGGGAAGCAGAGGTTGCGTGAGCAGAAATCTGCACTCCAGCCTGGGCAACAGAGCAAGACTGTCTCCAAAATAAATAAATAAATAAATAAATAAATAAATAAATAAAACCAGATGCAGTGGTTCATGCCTGTAATCCCAGCACTTTCGGAGGCCAAGGAAGGAGGATCACTTGAACCTAGGAGTTCAAGACCAGCCTGGCAACATAGTGAGACCCCCATCTCTACCAAAACATAAAAAAAATTAGCCATCCATGGTGGTGTGCACCTGTATTCCTGGCTACTTGGGAGGCTGAGGCAGGAGGATCCTTTGAGCCTAGGAATGTGAGGTTACAATGAGCTATAATCATGTCATTGCACTCCAGCCTGGACAACAGAGCAAGACCCTGTCTCTAAAAGAAAAGCAACTTAAAAAACTTTTTTTTCCAGGTTAGGCAGGGTGGCTCATGCCTGTAATCCTAGCACTTTGGGAGGCCGAGGCAGGCAGATCACTTGAGGTCAGGAGTTCGAGACTAGCCTGGCCAACATGGTGAAACCCTGTCTCTGCTAAAAATACAAAAATTAGCTGGGCATGGTGGCACGTGCCTGTAGTCCCATCTACTCATGAGGCTGAGTCAGGAGAATCACTTGAACCCGGGAGGAGAAGGTTACAGTGAGCCGAGATTGTGCCACTGCACTCCAGCCTGGGGAACAGAGCAAGGCTCCATCTTTGGAGGAAAGGAGACTTTTATTATAAAGTAAATGCTTAAACGGATCCTATTTCACTCAGTTTGTACAAAGAGAAAAGTCTGTACAACCAGCCACTTAGAATTATGTTATGTAGAGATCCCTTGTCCAATTCAATATAAAAGTATATATATTTTAAAAATATGTTTTAAAATATATTATATATTATAAATATAGAAAAGTATATGTATTTACAAGTATATATATTAAAATACATACATATAATATATATTTGGAGACAGAGTCTCACTCTGTCACCCTGGCTGGAGTTCAGTGGCATGATCTTGGCTCACTGCAACCCCCGTCTCCCGGGTTCAAGCCATGCTCATGCCTCAGCTTCCCAAGTAGCTGGGATTACAGGCATGTACCGCCACGCCTGGCAAATTTTTTCTATTTTTAGTAGAGACTGTGTTTCACTATGTTGGCCAGGCTGGTCTCAATCTCCTGGCCTCAAGTGATCCACCCACCCGGGGCTTCCCAAAGTGCTGGGGTTACAGGCGTGAGTCACCATGCCTGGCCTGCAATATAAAAGTATATTATATGGTACATATGTTTTGAGAAATCTTGTCACTTAGATATGTCAGAAATGTCAGAAGCAGTGTTCTGTGCTTTCTGTACAGAAAAATTCTGTATGTTTTTCAGATTCCCTCTGCAAATATTGTAACTCATAAAATATTGAACTGTGATTCCTGAAGTTATAGGGCAAACCAACCCACAAAAAGATGTGCCAGGTATGGTGGAGGAGGTCATTATAGTTAATCAATAACCCATTAGTGGAAATCAGCAATAATCTTAACAGTTAACCTAATAAACACAGTTAGCCTACATAATGAATGCTTTGATTCATTCTTCAACTTTTACTTAATTATTTCCACAATCAAAGAAGTGATGGCAAAATTTTAAATTTTGAATTTCAATATCCTGTCAAAACATCTTCAAACAAGGTCATGATTAATCATATACACAAAAAAGAAACAAAATCATGAAGACTAATTCATCTTCCATTTGCAGAACTCTTGGTAGTAAACTGGAAAATGAGTATCATTATGATTATTATTATTTTTGTTGTTGTTTGGAGACAGGGTCTTGAGCTGGAGTGCAGTGGCTCAATCACAATTCACTGTAACCTTGAACTCCTGGGAGCAAGCGATTCTCCCACCTCAGCCTCTCAAGTAGCTGGAACTACATGCATGCACCACCATGTCTGGCCATTATTATTTTTTTTTTTGAGACAGGGTCTTGCTCTGTTGCCCTGGTTGGAGTGCAGTGGCACAAACATGGCGGCTCACTGCAGCCTTGACCTTCTGGGGTCAAGGGATCCTCCTGCCTCAGCCTCCCGTGTAGCTAGGACCACAGATACAAGCCACCACGCCTAGCTAATTTTTAATTTTTGTAGACATGGGGTCTCACTTTGTATCCCAGGCTGGTCTCAGTCTCCCGGTCTTGGTCCTCCCACCTCAGCCTCTCACGGAGCTTAATTGCAGGTGTGAGCCACTGCTCTTGGCTTGTGCTTTCTTGAAAATATTGAAAGGCACAAGAAGAACCAAAGATGGAAACAATTTTAAACTATGAAACTTAAATTTTATTTATTTTTTTTTCTGAGACAGAGTCTCACTCTGTTGCCCAGGCTGGAGTGCAATGGGGCAATCTCGGCTCACTGCAACCTCTGCCTCCTGGGTTCAAGCAATTCTCCTGCCTCAGTCTTCTGAGTAGCTGGGATTACAGGCGTGTGCCACCACACCTGGCTAATTTTTGTATTTTTAGTAGAGACGGGGTTTCACCGTGTTGGCCAGGCTGGTCTTGAACTCCTGACCTCAGGTGATCCACCAGCCTCAGCCTCCCAAAGTGCTGGGATTACAGGTGTGAGCCACCATGACCGGCCAATTTTATTTGATTTTTAATTGACGCATAATTATACATATTTATGGAGAACAATGTGATGTTTTAATACATATATCATTGTATGATGATCAAATCAGGGTAATTAGCATATCTCTCACCTCAAACATTTATTGTTTCTTTGTGGTGAGAACATTCAAAATCCTCCCAAGTACTTGGGAGGCTAAGGTGGGAGGATCACTTTAGCCCAGGAATTTGAGAACAGCCCAGGAATATGAGCAACATAGTGAGATAACATTTTTTTATTTTTTTGAGACAGGGTAGTGCTCTATTGCCCAGTCTGGAGTATAGTGGCTCGATCAGAGCTCACTGCAGCCTTGATCTCCTGGGCTCCAGCTATCCTCCCACCTCAGCCTCCTAAGAAGCTGGGACCACAGGCATGTACCGCCACACCTGGCTAATTTATTTTTTATTTTTTGTAGAGACAGGATCTCCCTATGTCACCCAGGTTGGGCAAGATAACATTTCAAGCAGCAGCAGCAGCAGCATCGTGATTTAAAACTCTGGAGATCGGGCCGGGCACGATGGCTCACACCTGTAATCCCAGCACTTTGGGAAGCCGAGGTGGGCAGATCATGAAGTCAGGAGTCCAGACCATCCTGGCTAACATGGTGAAATCCTGTCTGTACTAAAAATACAAAAAATTATCCGGGTGTGATGGCGGGTGCCTGTAATCCCAGCTACTCGGGAGGCTGAGGCAGGAGAATCGCTTGAACCCGGGAGGTGGAGGTTGCAGTGAGCTGAGATTGTGCCACTGTACTCCAGCCTGGGCGACAGAGCAAGACTCCCTCTCAAAAAAACAAACAAACAGGCTGAGCGTGGTGGCTCACACCTGTAATCCCAGCACTTTGGGAGGCCCAGGTGGGCAGATCACAAGGTCAGGAGATCAAGACCATCCTGGCTAACACGGTGAAACCCCATCTCTACTAAAACTACAAAAAATTAGCCGGGCATGGTGGGCATGTGCCTGTTGTCCCAGTTACTTGGGAGGCTGAGGCAGGACGATGGCGTGAACCTGGGAGGTGCAGCTTGCAGTGAGCCAAGATCGTGCCACTGCACTCCAGCCTGGGCGACAGAGCAAGACTCTGTCTTAAAAAAAAAAAAAAAAAAAAACAACCTCTGGAGGTCAGTGTGTGATTTTGAGTCCCACCTCCCCTATTCCTTCCTCTATGACCTTGTGCAAATTATCCACCCTCTCTGTGGCCCAGCCTCCCCATCTGTAAAATGAGGATAACAACATGACCTATTTCATAGTATTGTTGTGAGGATTGTTAGTTAATACACGTAATACTGGTATTGCTTATATGAAACTGCCTACTACTTGGTAAGCACCCAATATTAAGCATTGTTATTAACACTATCAGTCACTAAGTGTTTTTTGGTTGTCTATGTCTATGTCCATAGTGCCAGGCACTCTCAGGCATTCTGAAGATACGCTGCTTTCATGATTCGGCTTTTATTTGACTGATAAATAATAACCATGACATACACTATTCAGATATTAACAAGATATTATATTTGTCACTTGACCAATATGCACAGTGTTTTCCTTGGTTTAAAAACAACAACAAAAAAATCTAAAAACCTGTGAAAATAAGGTAGCAAAACAAAAAAACAAACAAACAAAACAAGAAAATGAAGTTCTACATGATTACCAAATAGGTGGGGCACCGTGGCTCACGCCTGTAATCTCAGCACTTTGGGAGGCTGAGGCAGGTGCATTGCTTGAGCCCAGAAGTTCAAGACCAGCCTGGGCAACATGGCAAAACCTTGTCTCTACAAAAATACACCCATGGTGGTGGGTGCCTGTAGTCCTAGCTATTCAGGAGGCTGAGGTGGGAGGATTATCTCCTGAGTCCAGGAGGTTGAGGCTGCGGTGAACCATGATTGTGCCACTGCATTCCCACCTCAATGATAGTGAGACTCTGTCTCAAAAAAAAAAATTTTTTTTCAAAAAAGATTACCAAATAATTACCCCTCAAGGTCAAAGAATAATTTTGTCATTGGGAGTGCTTTTCACTCTCATCAAGTCACTCTGAAAGGAGATCCTAGTATTTGAGATTCATTTTCAGATGGTGTTTACAGTCTCTCCCTCTGGTGAGGAAATGTGTTTTAAGAAGACATTTAAAATCTTGATCATTGTCTTTAGAATTTTTATTGATTCAGATTTACACAGCTTGAAGCACCACATTTGATATCTACAGCACTAATTATATTATTAAACAATGGCTTCTTTCCTTTTTTTAGAATGTCACAGGAAGAAAAAAGTATTTTTCCTGTAAAGTCATAACCTTCTATTCAGAGATTCAGAACTTTATTACTCAGCACCTGTATCAGCAATAATGTTAAATTCTTTACAAGATGAAGAACAGACTAAAAGTAATTCCAGAGTTTTAAGTTGTGTATTTGTATTGCTATTTTTATTTTGGTAAGACAATAAAATCTGTTGCTATATCATTTCATTTATTTATTTATTTTTGTAGAGATGAGGTCTCCCTATGTTGCCCAGGCTAGTCTCAAACTCCTGGCCTCAAGCAATCCTCCCTCCTCGATCTCCGAAAGCGTTGGGATTACCTGTGTGAGCCATCAAGCCTGCCCTATCATTTTAATTCTCTTAACTTTGGCCAACAATATTAGATAGCTGTTGATGGACTAGAAACTCCCTAATGATATGATAATTCCAAGAGTACCACTTTCTGAACTGTTACTCAAATTGATTTCTAGAGGCTTAAAGCAGGCAAGGAGTTACTGTTGTAATCATACTAATTAAGATAAAAACTATGTCAGTCTTGGCCAGGTGTGGTGGCTCACGCCTATAATCCCAGCACTTTGGGAGGTCAAGGTGGGCAGATCACTTGAGGTCAGGAGTTCAAGACCAGCCTGACCAACATGGTGAAACCCCGTCTCTACTAAAAATACAAAAAATTAGCTGGGCGTGGTGGCAGGTGCCTGTAATCCCAGCTACTCGGGAGGCTGAGGCAGGAGAATTGCTTGAACCTGGGAGGCAGAGGTTGCAGTGAGCCGAAATCACGCCACTGCACTACAACTGGGCGACAGAGTGAGACTCTGTCTCAAGAAAAAAACAAACAAACAACAAAAAACTCTGTCAGTCTTCATCCCAGGAATAAAAAAATAAATAAATAAAAACAAAGATAAAAACTAGCTTTATTCTGGTATTCCCCAGTTTCCATATTTGCTTTTGCTCCCCTGCCAGAATCACACAGTTGCATAATTTTTGGTAAAGTTCTTCGATGCTTCTCCTAAGTAGAGTAATTATGTGATGTTTGAGCAGTGAGCCATGTTGTGGCACTTGGGGTAGGGTGGAATGAAGACTGTGTGGTCTACCTGCATGTGTATGATGGAGAAGTCTCTCCAGAGCTTCAAGATCTGATTATCTTCTACAGCATAATGATATCTACAGGTAATTGGATGTAATCATCCTAAAAATAGTTAATAATCTGTAGCTGAAGAGAGCTGTGAATTCCTAGATCTAAAGCAAAAATTCCTAGATCTAAAGTAAAGAGGATATAGTCTCAGGGAAATATAAAGGAATGTGCCAACTAAGTAAATAAGTAAGTATTATAGACTACTTGAAGACAATTGGTGATGAATTATTTGGGGTTTATCTATTCACCATCATTATCTGAAACTATTGCAAAAGTCTCCTAACCTTTCTAGAGCAACTAGAAAGCCTCTTTTCTTTTCTCTTCTCTTCTTTTTGAGATAGGGTCTTGCTCTATTGCCCAGGCTGGAGTGCAATGGCACCATCACGGCTCAACTGCAGCCTCAACCTCCCAGGTTCTCCCACCTCAGCCTCCTAAGTATCTAGGACTACAAGGCACATGCCACCACACCTGGCTAACTTTTTTTTTTTGTTGGTAGAGATGGGATCTCACTATATTGCCCAGGATGGTCTCAAACTCTTGAAATGAAGGGATCCTCTCTCCTTAGCCTCCCAAAGTGCTGGGATTACAGGCATGAGCCAACACGCCAGACTCAGAAAGATTTTAAGAAATCCAAATCTAGTCAATAATTTCTCCTACCTAAAACCCTTTAGTGGAAATCCGTTGTTCTTATCAGCCCACCCATGTTAACAAGTTTTGTCCGGTCAGCCTTCAAACTGCAGACATTTGTCCCCTCATTCCTAGCGGTCAGCCATGTGAGCCTTGTGGCTCCCCAAAGGTATGAAGCCTGTTGTTTGGGTAGGCAGTTGCCTCTGCCTGCAACACTTTCTTCATAATCTTGGCTACAGTCATTTTGTTTACCTTCAATTCTCACTTTATTTATTTTATTTTATTTCTTTTGAGATGAAGTGTCGCTCTTGTCCCCCAGGCTGGAGTGCAATGGTGCGATCTCAGCTCACAGCAAACCCTACCTCCTGGGTTCAAGCGATTCTCTTGCCTCAGCCTCCCGCGTAGCTGGGATTACAGGTGCCTGCCACCACACCCAGCTAATTTTTGTATTTTCAGTAGAGACGGGGTTTCACCATGTTGGCCAGGCTGGTCTTGAACTCCTGACCTCAGGTGATCTGCCCACCTCGGTCTCCCAAAGTGCTGGGATAACAGGGGTGAGCCACCGTGCCTGGCCCAATTCTCACTTTAAAAGCCACTTCCTAAGGGAGATTTTCCCAGATTAGCACCTCTGCAGAGTCTTATACTTTACTATTTCTTCACTCATCCCACTGCAGTCAAGTATCGGGTCAATGTCTGTCTCTTCTCCTAGACCGTTAACAACGGCCATGTGTCTATTCAATGTGCAACCCCAAGCAGAGTACCTGGCCAAATAGTAGGTGCTCAGTGAATCTTTTGTGGAATGAATGAACACATTTATTACGCATCCACTGCAGCCTGCTACATGCCAAGGCATCTGTGCTGGGCATCATGGGCAGGGGACGGAGAGGAGCCAGACAGAGTGTTTGCCTTCGCAAGGATCAGACTTGCATGCTACTACCACGAGCAGAAGGGCTTAGAAGGGAAGTGGGCATAGGCCGGGCGTGGTGGCTCATGCCTGTAATCCCAGCACTTTGGGAGGCCAAGGCGGGCAGATCATGAGGTCAGGAGATCACGACCATCCTGGCTAACATGGTGAAACCCCATCTCTACCGAAAATACAAAAAATTAGCCGGGCGTGGTGGCGGGTGCCTGCAGTCCCAGCTACTCGGGAGGCTGAGGCAGGACAATGGCGTGAACCCGGGAGGTGGAGCTTGCAGTGAGCCGAAATCACACCACTGCACTCCAGCCTGGACGACAGAGTGAGACTCTGTCTCCAAAACAAAACAAAACGAAAAAACAACCAAAAAAGAAAACAAAAGAAGGGAAGTGGTCACGAGGTGCCTCGGGAAGAGGTAGGAGCAAAGTGCCAAGTCTCAGAAAACACAAAAACAAGCATTTCCACTTACCATGTATCAGTCTCTGAAACACAACCTGTCTAACATTATCTTCCTTATTCCATCCTCCTGACCATCTCTAGTGGTTGGTATTCTTTTAGGGATGGTAAAGGAACTTGCCCAAGGCCACAGGCAGTATCTGAATCCATTTTATCCAGGTCTTCAAGCTCCAAAGCAGAAAGCAGACACACACTTTGTCATGCTCTGTTAACAATTTCAGGGGAGACCAAAATGGCCAAAAAATGTTTTTCCCACTTCTTTTTTTAACTTTTTTTTCTGAGACGGAGTTTCACTCTGTCCCCCAGGCTGGAGTGCAGTGGTTTGATCTCAGCTCACTGCAACCTCTGCCTCCCCGGTTCAAGCAATTCTCCTGCCTCAGCCTCCTGAGCAGCTAGGATTACAGGTGGGTGCCAGCATGCCCAGCTAACTTTTGTATTTTTAGTAGAGATGGGGTTTCACCATGTTGGCCAGGCTGGTCTCGAACTCTTGACCTCATGATCTGCCTGCCTTGGCCTCCCAAAGTGCTGGGATTACAGGCTTGAACCACCGAGCGCAGCCCCAAGTTCTTTTTTTAATAGGTCATTTTAAGGACTTTATTTCTGCCGGGTTTTTTTTTTTTTTTGAGACAGGGTCTCACTCTCACCCAGGCTGGAGTGCAGTGGCACAATTTCAGCTCACTGCAGCCTCAATTTCTCCAGCTCAAGTGATCCTCCTACCTCACCATCCTACCTGGCCCCCTGCCCCAGGAGCTGGGACAACAGGTGTGCATCACCATGTCCAGCTAAGTTTTTAAAAATGTCTTTGTAGAGACAGAGTCTCACTGTTACCTAGGCTGATCTCAAAGTCCTGGGCTCAAGCAATCCTCCCACCTCCACCTCCCAAAGTGCCTGGGTGACAGAGTGAGACCCTGTCTCAATTTTAGAAACTAACATACAAACAAAATCTGTCTATCTATCACTCTATATTCTTATTTTGCCTCATTTTTTTCACACAAAAGTTAGCATACCATACACAATGTTCTGCATCTTGTTTTTTCCAGTTAGTGATACATCTTGAAGATCTTTGTTTATCAGCACATCATTTTTTTTTGTTTCAGACTGCAACCTCTGCCTCCCAGGTTCAAGAATTTCTCCCTGCCTCAGCCTCCCGAGCAGCTGGGATTACAGGCGCCCGCCATTACGCCCAGCTAATTTTTTTTTTTTTTTTTTTTTTGAGATGGAGTTTTGCTCTTGTTGCCCAGGCTGGAGTGCAATGGGGCCATCTTGGCTCACTGCAACCTCTGCCTCCCGGGTTCAAGCTATTCTCCTGCCTCAGCCTCCCAAGTAGCTGGGATTACAGACGCGCGCCACCATACCCGGCTAATTTTTTATTTTTAGTAGAGATGGGGTTTCTCCGTGTTGGCCAGGCTGGTCTCGAACTCCCGACCTCAGGTGATTTGCCCACCTCGGTCTACCAAAGTGCTGGGATTACAGGCGTGAGCCACCATGCCCAGACAGCATCTGACTAATTTTTATATTATATTATATTATATTATTTATTTCTTTTTGAGACAGAGTCTTGCTCTATCGCCCAGGCTGGAGTGCAGTGGCGCGATCTCGGCTCACCGCAACCTCTGCCTCCCAGGTTCAAGTGATTATCTTCCCTCAGCCTCCCAGTAGCTGAGATTACAGGCATGTGCCACCACGCCCGGCTAACTTTTTGTATTTTTAGTAGAGATGAGGTTTCACTGTGTTA
This sequence comes from Homo sapiens, assembly GCF_000001405.40. Classification (NCBI taxonomy): domain Eukaryota; kingdom Metazoa; phylum Chordata; class Mammalia; order Primates; family Hominidae; genus Homo; species Homo sapiens. The sequence continues at coordinate 61,566,126 of NC_000002.12, forward strand.
GCCAGTATGGTCATGACCTCCTGACCTCGTGATCCGTGGTGGCATGAGCCACCGTGCCCAGCCTAATTTTTATATATATATATATTTTTTGTTTGTTTGTTTCGGATTGAGTCTCGCTCTGTTTCCCAGGCTGCAGTGCAGTGGCGAGATCTCAGCTCACTGCAAGCTCCGTCTCCTGGGTTCATGCCATTCTCCTGCCTCAGCCTCCCTAGTAGCTGGGACTACAGGCGCCCGCCACCACGCCCGGCTAATTTTTTTGTATTTTTAGTAGAGTCGGTCACCGTGTTAGCCAGGATGGTCTTGATCTCCTGACCTCGTGATCCACCCACCTCAGCCTCCCAAAGTGCAGAGATTACAGGCGTGAGCCACCACGCCCGGCCAATTTTTATATTTTTAGTAGAGACTGGTTTTCACCATGTTGGCCAGACTGGTCTTGAACTCCGGACTTCAGGTGATCCGCCCACCTTGGCCTCCCAAAGTGCTGGATTACAGGGGTGAGCCACTGTGCCCGGACCACATCATTCTTTTTGGTGGCACAGTATTTCATTTGATGGATATACTACAGTTTATTTAACCAGTTCCCTATTGAGGAATGTTTGGGTTGTTTCCAATTTTTTGCTATTACAAACAATGCTGCAATGAATAGTCTCGTACGTAGGTCAATTAACACGTGTGCAATAAATCCATGGGATACATTTCTAGGAGTGGTAGTGCTGGGTCAAGGGGTATATGCATTTGTAATTTTTTTTTTTTTTTGAGATGAAGTCTTGCTCTGTCCCCCAGGCTGGAGTGCAGTGGCGCAGTCTTGGCTCATTGCAACCTCCACCTCCCAGGTTCAAGTGATTCTCCTGCTTCAGCCTCCTGAGTAGCTGGGATTACAAGCAGGTGCCACCACGCCCAGCTAATTTTTGTGTGTTTAGTAGAGATGGGGGTTTTACCATGTTGGCCAGGCTGGTCTCGAACTCTTGACCTCAGGTGATCCACCCACCTTGGCCTCCCAAAGTGCTGAGATTACAGGTGTGAACCACCACATCCTGCCACATTTGTAATTTTGACAGACAGTGCCAAATTGTTCTCCCTAGGGATTAACTCAATGTACATTCCTACCAGCAGTGGATGACAGCATCTGTTTTTCCACAGCCTCTCAACACAGGGTTAACAAACATCTAGTTATTTGCCAATCTGATGAGTGAAAAATGGCACCACAGCATTTTTACATTATTAGTCAGGTTGAACACTTTTTTTCATGTTTAAGAGTTTATATTTTCTTCTGTCTGAACTGTCTATTCATATCCTTTGTTCATTTTTCTCTTGTTGGTCTTTTTCCCTGGGTTTGGTAGAAGCTTTTTCTATATCAGGAAGATTAGCTTTTGCTTGTAAAGTAAGCAGCAGCTACTTTCCTATAATACTGTTTTAGAAATGCTGATCAACACAACAAAACATGTATTAAATATGATGAAAAATACACAAATGGAGAAAGTTCCTGGTCAACAGGGTGAAAGGCAAAAAACAAAACAAAACAGCCTGGGCGCGGTGGCTCACGCCTGTAATCCCAGCACTTTGAGGCCGAGGCGGGCAGATCACGAGGTCAGGAGATCGAGACCATCCTGGCTAATACAGTGAAACCCTGTCTCTACTAAAAACACAAAAAAATTAGCCGGGCTTGGTGGTGGGCCCCTGTAGTCCCAGCTACTCGGGAGGCAGGATAGTGGCATGAATCCGGGAGGCGCAGCTTGCAGTGAGCCCAGATCGCGCCAATGCACTCCAGCCTGGGCGACAGAGTGAGACTCTATCTCAAAAAACAGAACAAAACAAAACAAAACCAACCCAGGCTGGGTGCTGTGGCTCACACCTGTCATCCTAACACTTTGGGAGGCTGAGGTGAGATCGCTTGAGCTCAGGAGTTAGAGGCCAGCCTGGGCAACATGGTGAAACCCTGTCTCTATTTTTTTTTAAAAGAAAAAAATTTAATTTAATTTAAAAAATTAAAGTAAAAAGGAGAAGGCCATAATATCATTATTCGAACCTGATTATATAGCTAATTACTTTAAAATTGATTCAAATTAATAGAATTAATTGAATGCCTCCAGACAAATGAAAGATACTGCTGAGTCCAATAAGAAGATGCAAGATAATACACTCTTTAAGACCAATTTGATATTAGCAATTAGAACATATGATGAAAAATGGGGAGGCGTGGTGGCTCACAACTGTAATCCCAGCACTTTGGGAGGCCGAGGCAGGTGCATCAGTTGAGGTTAGGAATTTGAGATCAGCCCGGCCAACGTGGCAAAACCCTGTCTCTACAAAAAATACAAAATTAGCCGGGTGTAGTGGTGCATGCCTGTAACCCCAGCTACTCGGGAGGCTGAGGCAGGGAGAATCGCTCGAACCTGGGAGGTGGAGGCTGCAGTGAGCTGAGATCATGCCACTGCACTCCAGCCTGGGTGACAGAGCAAGACACTGTCTGGAAAAAACAAAAAACAAATATGCATCATTATAGTATTTTTTTCCTATATTCATATTTTTTTCCTTTCTACAAATTAGTAACTAGTTGTTCTAATTACAAATCGTTAAGACTACAGACCCAGTGGTTTATTTTAAGTCCTACTCTGTTACTTCCCTGTCTCTACAAAAATAAATAAATAAATGAATAAATAAATAAAATAAATACAAAAATTATCTGGGCATGGTGGCGTAGGTCTGTAATCCCAGCTACTCTGAAGGCTGAGGTAGGAGGACAGCTTGAGCGCAGTAGGCAGAGGTTGCAGTGAGCTGAGATCGTGCCAGTGCACTCCAGCCTGGGACACAGAGTCAGATCCTGTCTCAAAATAAAGAAACAAAAACAAAAACAAAAAACCTCCGGCATGGGTCTGGACAGTACAGTAGTTATAGTTAAAATTAAAATCTGAAATGAAAACGATACCCCATACATTACATGTTCGGTTGTGGGATAGAAATGTCTCTTAAATTATTTTTTGTTTTAATTTTTCCTTTTTTTTTGTTTTTTGAGAGAGTCTCACTCTGTCACCCAGGCTGGAGTGCAGCGGCATAATCTTGGCTCACTGTGACCTCCACCTGCTGGGCTCAAGCGATTCTCCTGCCTCAGCCTCCTGAGTAGCTGGGACTACAGGTGCACACCACCACGCCTGGCTAATTGTTTTTTTTGAAATGGAGTCTCACTCTGTCTCCCAGGCTGGAGTGCAGTGGTGCAATCTCAGCTCACTGCAACTTCCGCCTCCCGGGTTCAAGCGATTCTCCTGTCTCAGTCTCCCGAGTAGCTGGGATTACAGGCATATGCCACCATGCCCGGCTAATTTTTTTGTATTTTTAGTAGAGAGGAGGTTTCGCCATTTTGGTCAGGCTGGTCTCAAACTCCTGGGCTCGAGTGACCCACCTGACTTGGTCTCCCAAAGTGCTGGGATTACAGGCATGAGCCACCACACCTGGCCAATTTTTTCTTTTCTTCTCTCTCTTTTTTTTTTTTGAGATGGAGTCTTGCTCTTGTTGCCCAGGCTGGAGTGCAATGGCACTAACTCAGCTCACTGCAACCTCTGCCTCCTGGGTTCAAGCGATTCTCCTGCCTCAGCCTCTCGAGTAGCTGGGATTATAGGTGCGTGGCACCATGCCTGGCTAATTTTTGTATTTTTAGTAGAGATGGGGTTTTGCCGTGTTGGCCAGGCTGGTCTCAAACTCCTGACCTTGTAATCTGCCTGCCTCAGCCTCCCAAAGTGCTGGGATTACTGGCATGAGCCACCATGCCCAGCCCCAATTTTTTCTTTTTTAATGTTTAGAGACAAGATCGGCTTGGTCACCCCAGCTGGAGTATGTTGGGAACAAGCCCCCCAAAATCTGGCCATAAACTGGCCCCAAAACTGGCCATAAACAAAATCTCTGCAGCACTGTGACATGTTCATGATGGCCATAACACCCACGCTGGAAGGTTGTGGGTTTACTGGAATGAGGGCAAGGAACACCTGGCCCGCGCAGGGCAGAAAACCGCTTAAAGGCATTCTTTATTTTATTTTTATTTATTTATTTATTTATTTTCTTGAGATGGCATCTCACTCTGTCGCCCAGGCTGGAGTGCAATGGCGTGATCTCGGCTCACTGCAACCTCCACCTCCCGGGTTCAAGCGATTCTCCTGCCTCAGCCTCCTGAGTAGCTGGGACTACGGGCGCCCACCACCACGCCCAGCTAATTTTTATACTTTTAATAGAGATGGGGTTTCACCATGTTGGCCAGGATGGTCTCTATCTCTTGACCTTGTGATCCGCCCACCTCAGCCTCCCAAAGTGCTGGGATTACAGGCATGAGCCACCGTGCCCAGGCCTAAAGGCATTCTTAAGCCACAAACAATAGCATGAGAGATCTGCGCCTTAAGGACATGCTCCTCCAGCAGTTAACTAACCCAACCTATTGCTTTAATTCAGCCCATCCCTTCGTTTCCCATAAGGGATACTTTTAGTTAATCGAATATCTATAGCAACAATGCTAATGACTGGCTTGCTGTTAATAAATACGTGGGTAAATCTCTGTTCGGGGCTCTCAGCTCTGAAGGCTGTGAGACCCCTGGTTTCCCACTTCACACCTCTATATTTCTGTGTGTGTGTCTTCAATTCCTCCAGCGCCACTGGGTTAGGGTCTACCCCACCGAGCTGGTCTCGGCAGGAGTACAGCAGCAAGATCATAGCACACCGTAGCCTATCAGTGACTGGTGACTATCTGTGAAAGGTATATGATTATTCATTGTATTATTCTTGCAACTTTTCTATAGATTTGAACTTTTTTTTTTTTTTTTTTGAGACAGTTTCACTCTTCTTGCCCAGGCTGGAGTGTGGCACAGTCTCGGCTCACTGCAACCTCTGCCTCCTGGGTTCAAGCAATTCTCCTGCCTCAGCCTTCAGAGTAGCTGGGATTACAGGCATGTGCCACCATGCCCGGCTAATTTTTTTGTATTTTTAGTAGAGAGGGGGTTTCGCCATTTTGGTCAGGCTGGTCTCGAACTCCCGACCTCGGGTGATCCGCCCACCTTGGCCTCCCAAAGTGCTGGGATTACAGGCGTGAGCCACCGTACCTGGTGAAAATTTTTTAAAGTTAAAAGATATGCCGGGCGTGGTGGCTCACACCTGTAATCCCAGCACTTTGGGAGGCCGGATCACTAGGTCTGGAGTTCACGACAAGCCTGGCCAAGATGGTAAAACCCCACCTCTACTAAAAATACAAAAATTAGCCAGGCATGGTGGCGGGTGCCTGTAATCCCAGCTACTCGGAAGGCTGAGGAAGGAGAATCGCTTGAAACCGGGAGGCGGAGGTTGCAGTGAGCTGAGATCACGCCACTGCACTCCAGCCTGGGCGACAGAGTGCGACTCTGTCTCAAAAATAAATAAATAAATAAATAAATAAAAGATATGCCCAGCATGGTGGCTTTGGGAGGGGCAGGTGTGAGGATCACTTGAGGCCAGGAGTTTTCGACTAGCCTGGGCAAACTAGTGAGACTCCATCTGTACAAAAAAAAAAAAAATTTAAAAATTAGCCAGGTGTGGCTAATTTGTAATGCTAACTACCTGGGAATGTGAGGCAGGAAGATTGCCTGAGCCCAACAGTTCCAGGCTACAGTCAACTATAATCTCACCACTGCACTCCAGCCTGGGCAACAAAGGAGTCCCTGTCTCAAAACAACTTCAAAAGACAAAGCAGGCCGGGCGCGGTGGCTCACGCCTGTAATCCCAGCACTTTGGGAGGCCGAGGCGGGCGGATCACGAGGTCAGGAGATCGAGACCATCCTGGCTAACATTTTGTCTCTACTAAAAATACAAAAAATTAGCTGGGCGTGGTGGCGGGCGCCTGTAGCTACCGGGGAGGCTGAAGCAGGAGAATGGCGTGAACCCGGGAGGCGGAGCTTGCAGTGAGCCGAGATTGCACCACTGCACTCCAGCCTGGGTGACAGAGCGAGACTCCGTCTCAGAAAAAAAAAAAGACAAAGCATATGTGTATTTTTATTTTAATCTTACTAACTTTTCTATTTTATAGATATTGTTACATTATTTTTAGAAGGCTCTAGTAATACACACATAGACGCATACACACACACACACACACACACACACACAATAAATTTTACAGTGCCCGGGCTGGTCAAGGTGGCTCACACCTGTAATCCCAGCACATTGGTAGGCCAAGGCAGGTAAATTACCTGAGGTCAGGAGTTCAAGACCAGCCTAGCCAACGTGGTGAAACCCCATCTCTACTAAAAAATACAAAAAATAGCTGGGTGTGGTGGTGAGCACCTGTAATTCCAGCTACTTGGGAGGCTGAGGCAGGAGAATCACTTGAACCCAGGAGGTGGAGGTTGCAGTGAGCTGAGATCGCGCCACTGCACTCCAGCCTGGGCGACAAGAGCGAAACTCCGAAAAAAAAATTTAGAATGACCATTTCCACAATTCTCCCTCCAGCATGGGTTGTTATTTTTATTTTTATTTTCCTGACTACTATTTTCATATATTTGCTGATCACTTGGATTTCCTCTTTTGTGGGTATGTTTCCTCTTCTGTTCATATTCTTTGCCTCCTTCTCTTGCTTTACTTGTCTTTTTTTTTTTTTTTTTTTTTTGAGGCAGAGTCTCGCTCTGTCGCCAGGCTGGAGTGCAGTGGCTTGATCTCGCCTCACTGCAACCTCTGCCTCCCAGGTTTAAGTGATTCTCCTGTCTCAGACTCCTAACTAGCTGGGATTATAGGCACGTGCCACCATGCACAGCTAACTTTTGTATTTTTAGTAGAGATGGGATTTCATCATGTTGGCCAGGATGGTCTCAATCTCCTGACCTTGTGATCCACCCGTCTTGGCCTCCCAGAATGCTGGCATTACAGGCGTGAGCCACCATGCCCTGCCAATAAATCTTTTTCTTTTCTTTTCTTTTTTTTTTTAAGACGAAGTTTCGCTCTTGTAGCCCAAGCTGGAGTGCAATGGTGCAATCTTGGCTCACTGCAACCTCTGCCTCCCGGGTTCAATTCTCTTCCCTCAGCCTCCCAAATAGCTGGGATTATAGGTGCCCGCCACCACGCCACCATGCCCAGCTAATTTTTGTATTTTAGTAGAGATGGGGTTTCACCATGTTGAAGGCTGGTCTCGAACTCCTGACCTCAAGTGATCCGCCCATCTCGGCCTCCCAAAGTGCAGGGATTACAGACGTGAGCCACAGCGCCCATCCCAATTAAATCTTAAAAAAAATTTTTTTAAGAGATGGAGTCTTGTTACATTGCCCTCCAACTCCTGGCCTAAAGCAGTCTTCCTGCCTCAGACTCCCAAGTAGGTGGGACACCAACTATTGTAGTATTGTACTCTTAATATAATATAAAGAGAGAAGACAGAAAACTTACTTTAGTTCTGGGACTGTATACCACCACACCCAGCATTCTTTTTCTTCTTGGACTTCTGAGTTGGGCAGCTGCTTAGGTTTCTCTAACCATAAATTGATATAAAAATTTTTTGCCTGTAACCCTAGCACTTTGTGAGGGTGAGGGGTGAGGATTGCTTCAGGCTAAGAGTTCAAGCCCAGCCTGGGCAACAGACTGAGACCCCATTTCTTTCTTTCTTCTTCTTCTTTTTTTTTTTTTTTTTTTGAGACAGCATCTTGTTCTGACACCCAGACTGGAGTGCAGTGGCACAGTCACGGCTCACTGCAACCTGGAAGTTTTAGGCTCAAGTGATCCTCTGCTTCAGTCTCCTGAGTAGCTGGGATTACAGGCATGAGCCGCCGTGCTTGGCCTAATTTTCTTTATGTTTTGTAGAGATGGGGGTCTTGCTATCTTTCCCAGGCTGGTCTCAAACTCCTGGGCTCAAGCAATCCCGCCTTGGCCTCCCAAAGTGCTGGGATTACAGGTGTGAGCCACTGCTGACTATCATGCTTCTTTTTAACAACAACAACAAATATATATATAATATATATATGTATATATATACACACACGTATGTATGTGTATATATATGTATGTGTGTGTGTATATATATATATATAAATTAAAAATAAAAAGGCTTGAAACTACAATCTGTAAATAAAACCAATGTTTAAATGCAAGATTACAAAACTGCAGCTGGGGCCAGGTGCGGTGGCTCACGCCTGTAATCCCAGCACTTTGGGAGGCTGAAGCAGGTGGATCTCTTGAGGCCAGGAGTTCGAGACCAGCCTGGCCAACATGGCAAAACCCCATATCTACTAAAAATACAAAAAATTAGCTGGGTGTGGTGGCGCATGCCTGTAATCCCAGTTACTAGGGTGGCTGAGGCATAAGAATCCCTTGAACCAGGGAGGCAGAGGTTGCAGTGAGCCAATTGTGCCACTGCACTCCAGCCTGGGCGACAAAACGAGACTCCATCTCAAAAAAAAGAAAGAAAAATTAAAGACAAACAAAACTATGGCTGGGCATGGTGGTTCACACCTGTGATCCCAACACTTTGGGAGGCTGAGGCAGGAGGATCACTTGAGCCCAGGAGTTTGAGACCAGCCTTGGGCAACGTAGTAAGACCCTGTCTCTACAAAAAAATACAAAAATTGGGTCAGGCATGGTGGCTCACATCTGTAATCCCAACATTTTGGGAGGCTGAGGCAGGCAGATCACTTGAGGTCAGGAGTTCGAGACCAGCCTGGCCAACATGGCGAAGCCCCGTCTCTATTAAAAATACAAAAATTAGCTGGGCATGGTGGCACACGCCTGTAGTCCTAGCTACTCAGAAGGCTGAGGCAGGAGAATCGCTTGAACATGGGAGGCAGAGGTTGCGGTGAGCCGAGATTGTGCCACTGCACTCTAGCCTGGGTGACAGAGTAAGACCCTATCTCAGAAAAACAACAACAACAACAACAACCCCACAGAAAACGAAAAATACAAAAATTAGCCGAGCATGGTGGCATAGGTAGGCCTGCATTCCCGGCTACTTAGGAGGCTGAGGTGGGAGGATCACTTGAGCCTGGGGAGGTCAAAGCTGCAGTGAGCAGTGATTATGTCACTGTACTCCAGCCTGGCCAACAATGAGAGACCCTGTCTCAAAAAAAATTGCATTATATTTAATTTTGTTTTAAGGTGATACTGTTTGTTGAACTTAAAATGACAAGCAGAATTTGGACACCCCACCCTTTGCCCAAACTTTCTCCCACTCTGCCCTTTCCTCAATTGCTCTTTGTACTCGGGTATTTGGGCCCTTCTCCTTTCTCCCTTTGGAGTCCCTTCTGCCTTCATCTCTTCCTTCTTCATCCTATACCTCTTGGCCCATCACCTTGCTCATTCCTTTGCCTTTTCACCTGTAAAGAGGCCCAGGCTAAGCCAGTGCTTCCCATTATCCACCACAGCCATTTCAAATCTCCACAAACCTCTGACCCACCCACCCCTCCCTCCAAGAATGACCTCACCTCCAACTTTAGAGAAAACAGAAGTCTTTGAAAGGAACTCCCCCAACTTCCTGCCTCCAAAATAACACCCTTCCTTTCACCTATTAAGGCTATTTTTTCTACCTATGCTGTGGATCACACTCTCTCCACCCCCGTCCTCTTGGGCTCTGTGCAATTAATCATTCTGTCTCTCAGAATCTTGAACCTCTCTGGCTCACTAGTCTTTAAATAGTCAGTTTATAACTCAGCAGTTCGATCGGGTCTGCACAAAGGCTCCTATCTGTCTATACCCAAGCACTTCTGTGATGCTCCTGTACTCATGACCCAGCTGTTTTTCTTGTCATCCTGGCTCCTCTTTGGCAAGAAGATTAAGTTTACTGAATAAGCAGTGATAAAAAGCTAGAAGAAGTTTCTAGGCATATAGTTCTTTGCAAGCTTTTTTTTTTTTTTTAATCACCATGGAGTTGATGCTTTGGGCCATATTTGTGGAATGGAAGTAAGAAAAGATTCTTGAGAATTTTTCAACTGATGTTTTGAGAATTTTTCAACTGATGTTTTGAGAATTTTTCAACTGATGTTTTTGGTTACACAGAGAAAGGCGTGGAAGGAAAAGGTAGAAAGACTTAATCAAGTCACTGAAAATAATATTGGAATCATTATCAAGTATTATACCAGGACGACAATGGAGAGGATGGCTTCACTTTCTGGATTTGTTGATGAGTCAGATGCATCTCTCGAAGCTTGTAATTATTAAGACTAGTCGGCAAGAATGAACAATTTCCAGAGACCCAAGGATCCAAAGAACCTACCAAATGACAGGGCTCAGAAACTGAACGTGCAGTCATCGACATCTTATAGACAAAGAAGAGATGATACATCATCTACAATGAGGACCTTGATGTCCTTAATCTTTTTGAGACGGCATTCAAACTAGAATCCATAAAAATCGACTTAGCACGGGTGCCTGGTAATTTTTTCCCTCTATTCTCAACTCCTTTGTCCAAAATTTAAAAGATACATGATTTTTTTTTTTTTGAGACAGAGTCTCGCTCTGTTGCCCAGGCTGGAGTGCAGTGGCGTGATTGCAGCTCATCGCAATCTCTGCCTCCGAAGTTCAAGTGATTCTCCTGCCTCGGCCTCCTGAGTAGCTGGGACTACAGGCGCATGCCACCATGTCCGGCTAATTTTTGTATTTTTAGTAGAGACAGGGTTTCACTATGTTGGCCGGGCTGGTCTTGAATTCTGCCTCAGGTGATCCACCTGCCTTGGCCTTCCAAAGTGCTGGGATTACAGGCGTAAGCCACTGTGCCCGGCCGATGAATGAAAATATTTAAGGCCTTTCTGGCCTTTAAGTTCCCTAGGTTTCATTCCCTAGATTGCTCATATTAGCAAACCATTCATATTCACTTGCTGTTTCCTCCATTTAAGTGCACTTAAGATTTGTCTTTGTAACTATTCCTTGACACCCTTGTAATAAGAAATGTTGGAAAGCAAGATACCTTGTTGATATTGAACTAGTCTCCTGCCAAAGGCCTTTGCTAAGTTAAGATTTAATCTTATGCCCTTAGCTTCCATACAAAGGTGATTATAAAACATGTCCTTTCAGCCAGGCCCCATGGCTCATGCCTTTGGGAGGCTCACCAGCACTTTGGGAGGTGGTGGATCACCTGAGGTCAGGAGTTCAAGACCAGCCCGGCCAACATGGCAAAACCCCGTCTCTACTAAAAGTCTCTACTAAAAGTAACAAAAATTAGCTGGGTGTGATGGCAGGCACCGGTAATCCCAGCGACTAGGGGGCTGAGGCAGGAGAATCACTTGAACCCTGGAGGTGGAGGTTGCAGTGAGCCAAGATCTCGCCATTGCACTCCAGCCTGGGCAACAAGAGCAAAACTCCGTCTCAAAAAAAAAAAGGTCTTTGAAATAAATGTTTCCTCTTTTTTTTTTTTTTTTTTTGAGACGGAGTCTCGCTCTGTCGCCCAGGCTGGACTGCAGTGGCGCGATCTCAGCTCACTTTCTCCTGCCTCAGCCTCCCGAGTAGCTGGGACTACAGGCGCCCGCCACCACGCCCGGCTAATTTTTTTTATTTTTTATTTTTAGTAGAGACAGGGTTTCACCATGTTAGCCAGGATGGTCTCGATCTCCTGACCTGGTGATCATCCGCCTCGGCCTCCCAAAGTGCTGGGATTATAGGCGTGAGCCACCGCCCCCGGCCCTGTTTCCTCTATCTTTTGCAAAGTCAAATCAAAGACATCCATTTATTCATTCACTTAACAAATACTTATTGAATCCTGATTACATGCCAGGCTGGGGATACAAACATGAATGAAACTTAGCTCTTGCCCCAAAGGAGAACACAACCTAGTGAGAAGCAGACACCTAAATAAATCATGATATAGTGTTAGAATGTCTATAATTAGACGCATAAATAAAGTGCTATGGGAGCAAAGAAGAGAGAATGAGTAGTTCCGCCTCAGGGTAGAGGACGCTTCTCATAGGCCTCATAAAAAGGTTGATGGCCGGGCCTGGTGGCTCACGCCTGTAATCCCAGCACTATGGGAGGCCGAGGCAGGTGGATCACTTGAGGTCAGGCGTTCAAGACCAGCCTGGCCAATATGGTGTAACCCTGTCTCCACTAAAAATACAAAAATTAGCCAGGTGTGGTGGTGCACACCTGTAATCCCAGCTACTCAGGAGGCTGAGGCAAGAGAATCACTTGAACCTGGGATGTGGATGTTGCAGTGAGCCAAGATTGCACCATTGCACTTCAGCCTGGGCAACAAGAGCGAAAGTGGGTTTCAAAAATAGTAATAATAATAATAATAATAATCAAAACAGGCCGGGCACCATAGCTCATGCCTGTAATCCCAGCACTTTGGGAAGCCCATGTCAGGGGATCACCTGAGGTCAGGAGTTCAAGACCAGCCTGGCCAATATGGTGAAACCTCATCTCTACTAAAAATACAAAAATTAGTCGGGCATGGTGGCACACACCTGTAATCTCAGCTACTCAGGAGACTGAGGCAAGATAATCACTTGAACCCGGGAGGCAGAGGTTGCAGTGAGCCAAGATTGCACCACTGCGCTCCAGCCTGGGCGACAGAGCGAGACTCCTTCTTAAAAAAATAATAAAAATAAAAATAAAAAACAGGCCAGGAGTGGTGGCTAGCGTCTGTAATCCCAGCACTTTGGGAGGCCGAGGTGGGGGCGGATCACTTGTGGTCAGGAACTCGAGACCAGCCTGACCAAATAGCGAAACCCCGTCTCTACAAAAATACAAAAATTAGCTGGGTGTGTTGGCATGCGCCTGTAGTTCTAGCTACTCGGGAGGCTGAGGCAGAAGAGTTGCTTGAACCCGGGAGGCAGAGGCTGTAGTGAGCCGAGATCAAGCCACTGCACTCCAGCCTGGATACTGAAGATTGAGAAGAAGTTACCTAACCAAGAGGGAAGGAGAGAAAGGCATTCCAGGCCTGAGAGCCAGAATAAAGATGAACAAGTATGAACTAGATTGGTAAATTCAGAGAACAGTCACTAGGATAGAAAATGGACAAAAGTATCCAGACATGAGGCCAGAGAAGTAGGTTAGGGCCAGGTAAGGTGGCTCACGCCTGTAATCCCAGTACTTTGGGAAGCTAAGGTGGGCGGATCATCTGAGGTCAAGAGTTCAAGACTACCCTGGACAACATGGTGAAACCCCGTCTCTACAAAAATACAAAAATTAGCTGGGTGTGGTGGCACATGCCTGTAATCCCAGCTACTCGGGAGGCTGAGGCAGGAGAATCACTCAAACCTGGGAGGTGGAGGTTGCAGTGAGTCGAGATCACACCACTGCACTCCAGCCTGGGTGACAGAGTAAGACTCCATCTCAAAAAAAAAGAAAAAAAAAAATTAGCCAGGAGGGGTGGTGTGCGCCTGTAGTCCCAGCTGCTTGGGAGGCTGAGGCAGGAGGATAGCTTGAGACCAGGAGTTCAAGGTCAAGGTTGCAGTGAGCCATGATGGCACCACTGCACTCCAGCCTGGGTGACAGAGTGAGATCCTGTCTCAGAAAAAAAGAAAAAATAAAAGAAAAGTAGGTTAGGGTATGATATGATCTTAAAGAGCCTTGAGGTTTCATGGAAAATGCTTGTAGGCCCTGGAGACAGACTGTTCTGTGTAACTTCTTTACCATTTACTAGCTATGAAACACTGGGTAACTTAATGTCCTAAGCCACATTTCCCAACTCTAAAAGAGGAATGCTCTCATTTAATAGTATTCATTGAGCATCTACTATGGGCCAAGCACATAATGATAATAATGCCACTTTATAGGGTTGTTGGGAGGACAAGTTAATAAATAAAAAGCATCTTGAGGCCAGGCGCGGTGGTTCACGCCTGTAATCCCAGCACTTTGGGAGGCCGAGGTGGATGGATCACGAGGTCAGGAGATCAAGACCATCCTGGCTAACATGGTTTTTAGCACAGTCATCACAGATGAACAAATCCTTAAATATATTAGTAGAGTTTCCAAAAGCACTTCACAGAACATTTAGGCCCTTGAGGGAGACCTGTCTCCTCTAGGACAGTCTTTCTTCTAGGAGGGTATTTCTAGGAATTAGGAGCAGGAATTTGGCCAACCTGGGTTCCAGATATTTCTATCGCCTGTAATAGAGTTAAGGGGAGAAGGAAAACAGTTTAGAAAGGGTGATAATAGGGAGCTGTTCTATTTTATTCTATTTTTGAGACAGGGTCTCACTCTGTTGCCTAGGCTGGAGTGCAGCGCCTACTTCTATTTTAGGAAGTCAGAATTTGAAGTGATGGAAATACATCTGAATGGAGATATATTTTTGGCTGCAGAAATTATTTTATGTACATGTCTGAAGACTTGTATACATGTTCCAACCCTTTGACCTTATAATTATTCTGTTAGAAGTTTTTCATATGGAAATGACCCAAAAGAGAAGGAAAACTGGAAAAGCAGAATAATAAAAAAGGAAACAATCTAATTGTCAATAATATGAATACAGCTAAGTAAATTATCTGCTTGATATAATAGATTATTATGTAACTATCAAAATATAGTTATGGGCTAGGTGCAGTGGCTCATGCCCGTAATCCCAGCTCTTTGCAAATCCCAGCCCTTGGCTAAATCTGGGAGGCCAAGGAGGGTGGATCACTTGAGGCCAGAAATTCGAGACCAGCCTGGGCAACATAGCAAAACCCCATCTCTACAAAAAGATACAAAATTAGCCAGGCAGCTGGGCGTGGCGGCTCATGCCTGTAATCCCAGCACTTTGGGAGGCCGAGGCAGGTGGATCACCTGAGGTCGGGAGTTCGATACCAGCCTGACCAACATGGAGAAACCCCGCCCACCGCCCCCCCCCCGCCACTAAAAATACAAAATTAGCCTGGTGTGGTGGCATATGCCTATAATCCCAGCTACTCAGGAGGCTGAGGCAGGAGCATCGCTTGAACCCGGGAGGCAGGGGTTGTAGTGAGGTGAGATTGTGTCATTGCACTCCAGCCTGGGCAACAGGAGCAAAACTCCATCTCAAAAAAAAAAAAAAAAAAAAAATTAGCCAGGCATTGTGGCATGCGCCTGTAGTCTCAGCTACTCAGGAAGTTGAGGTGGGAGGATCAATTGAGCCCTAGAGGTAGAGGTTGCAGCGAGCTGTGATTGCACCACTGCACTTTAGCCTGGATGACAAAGTGAGGCCCTGTCTCAAAGAAAAAATAATAAATAAATAAATAAATAAATAGCCGGGCACGGTGGCTCACACCTGTAATCCCAGCACTTTGGGAGGCCGAGGCGGGCGGATCATGAGGTCAGGGGATCGAGATCATCCTGGCTAACACGGTGAAACCCCGTCTCTACTAAAAATACAAAAAATTAGCCGGGCGAGGTGGCAGGTGCCTGTAGTCTCAGCTACTCGGGAGGCTGAGGCAGGAGAATGGCGTGAACCCGGGGGGTGGAGCTTGCAGTGAGCCAAGATCGCGCCACTGCACTCCAGCCTGGGTGACAGAGCGAGACTCCGTCTCAAAAAAAAAAAAAAAAAAAACTTAAAATAAAATATAAATAAATTGCACCAACTTAAATCCCACCAGCAGTGTATAACATATCCTTACCAGCATGTGTTGTTATATGATTTTTTTTCCTTTTTGACTATCTGAAGGTTATAAAGTGGTGTTTCCTTTTGGTTTAAATTTTCAGTTCTCTGATTACTAATAAAGTTGTGTGCATTTTTTCATATGTTTATTGACCATTCAAGTCCCTTCTATGAAATGCCTCTTTATATCTTTTGCCTTACTTGGTTATAAATCTCTTGTTTAAGCCTTTCGTAACTGCTAGGCATGGGGGCTAAAGGGTTTTGCATAGGTTATGTTATGAATCCTTACAATCTACTGCCTTGAGTCCTTTTTTAGAGCAAGATATTTATACATGTTAATGAGTCTTTGCTACTGTATAAGGTATCTGTCTACAGATTTAAAGAAAAAGAAACACTTCTAAGTTTCCTAACCTTTAGCAAAGTGTAATGCCTCCACACTCAACACATTTATTTTAGGAAAGACCTTAATTCTGACTCTATTTCACAAATGTTATTTGAAAGCAGCATTAGCTTTATCAGTTAAAGAGTTTTTTTAAATCAAAAATAGCGTGCATTTGAAAAAGAAGACAGTGAGCTGCTAGTAGTTTAGCCCCCTTGCCACTTTAAGTGTGAAACAGAGACCAGCAGCATCACCATCCACCCGGAACTTGTTAGAAATGTAGAATCTTGAGCCTCACCCTAGATCTACTGAATCAGAATGTACATTTTAAAAAGGTCTCCAGGTGACTCACTGGTACTTTTCAATTTGAAAAGGGCTGGTTAGCTAAACGGTGGTAGACACTACATGTAGGATCTGGTTGGGACTGGGGCTGAAGGAATGTCTTTGTTTTTTCAGTGTATTTGGAGCCTGACATTGTTAGGTGTAAGTGCTTGAATCTCTGGGGGGCCCATCTAGGTGAAATGGAGCTGAGAACACGCAAGTTACTTGGATCTGTCAGGTAGTTTCTGGTCTTACAGCCCCAGAAAAATAAAATAGACTAAACAATGTGGCCTGAAATATATCTAATTGAGGTCTAACTAATTTTTTATTTTTTTTCTAGAATGATCTATACAATTGATCCAACTCTTCACTTCATTTTGAGTGTATGATTCAGTCTGACAGTCTTACATTAACTAGATGGGTTTGACTAATAGATTTTTGAACCTCAGAACCTTAGAAATCGTTTGTACCAACACTTCCATTTTACAGATGAGGCAAATGAAGCATCATGCAATTAAGGGAGAGATCACACAGCATTCAGTGGCAGGATGACAGTCCCAGTCTTGGGCTTTTGCCATTTAATCAGAGGCCCAGATTAGGAATTTCCCAATTCTCTAGATACATCTGGCCCGAGGTGGGTAAACTCAGTATTTTTTTTTATATAATTAAAGGAATGAATTAATATCTTGTGAAAATAGCCTGGTAATGTAAAAACGACATAAAAAGCAACTTTTTTTTTTTTTTTTGAGACAGGGTCTTGCTGTCACCCAGGCTGGAATGCAGTGGCACTATCACAATCCGCTGCAGCCTCAACCTCCTCAGCTCAAGCCATCCTCCCACTTCAGCCTTCCCAGTAGCTTGGACTACAGGTGTGCAACACCACACCCAGCTAATTTTTGTATTTTTTTGTAAAGGCAGGGTTTTGCTATGTTGTCCGGCTGGTCTTGAACTCCTGGGCTTGAGTAATCTGCCCACCTTGGCCTCCCAAGGTGCTGGGATTACAGGCATGGGCCACTGTGCCTGGCATAAAGCAACTTTCTTAGTGAAAATATTCTATAACAGGCCAGGTGTGGTGGTTTACACCCGTAATCCCAGGACTTGAGGAGCCCGAAGTGGGAGGATAGCTTGAGGCCAGGAGTTCCAGATCAGCCTGGAGTATCCAGGCTGGAGTATCCAGAACATAGTGAGACCCTGTCTCTACAAACGAACAGACAAAAAAAGATTCTATAACATTCACCCAATAGCAATTGTTAAGTAGCAAAATAACTTAAATGCCACCATCTTCAGGGCTCCTTTCTAGCTCCAGTGCAGTTAGAAAGTTTGGATCTAAAGAAACATCTGAGGCCGGGCACGGTGGCTCACGCCTGTATTCCCAGCACTTTGGGAGGCCGAAGGGGGCGGATCACGAGGTCAGGAGTTCAAGACCAGCCTGACCAACATGGTAAAACCCCGTTTCTACTAAAAATACAAAAATTAGCTGGGCGTGGTGGCACGCACCTGTAATTCCAGGTACTCAGGAGGCTGAGGCAGGAGAATTGCTTGAACCCAGGAGGCAGAGGTTGCAGTGAGCCGAGATCTTGCCATTGCACTCCAGCCTGCGCGACAGAGCAAGACTCAGTCTCAAAAAAAAAAAAAAAAAAAAGCAGCATCTCATAGGCCAGGCGTGGTAGCTCATGCCAGTAAGCCCAGCACGTTGGGAGGCCAAGAGTAGGGGCTGGATCACTTGAGGCCAGGAGTTCAAGACCAGCCTGGCCAACATGGCGAAATCCTGTCTCTACTAAAAATGCAAAATTAAAAAAAAAAAATTAGCCGGAGATGGTGGTGCATGCCTGTAGTTCCAGCTACTTGGGAGGCTGAGGCAGGAGAATTGCTTGAACCTGGGAGGAGGAGGCTGCAGTGAGCCAAGATCACGCCATTCCACTCCAGCCTGGGTGACAGAGTAAGACTCTATCTCAATAAATAAATAAATAGGCCAGATGCAGGGGCTCATGCCTGTAATCCCAGCACTTTGGGAGGCTGAGGCGGGCTTATCATGAGGTCAAGATATCAAGGCCATTCTGGCCAACATGGTGAAACCACGTCTTCACTGAAAATACAAAAAATTAGCTGGGCATGGTGGCGTGGGCCTGTAGTCCCAGCTACTCAGGAAGCTGAGGCAGGAGAATCGCTCGAACCCGGAAGGCAGAGGTTGTAGTGAGCCAAGATTGTGCCACTGCACTCCAGCCTGGTGACACAGTGAGACTCTGTCTAAAAATAAAATAAAATAAAATAAAATAAAATAAAATAAAATAAAATAAAATAAAATAAAATAAAATAAAGAAGCATCTGACACTCAGACTTCTCTGCTCTTCTTACCGTATCCTATCCTATAATTAAAAGTAAAAATAGGCCGGGCACGGTGGCTCACACCTGTAATCCCAGCACTTTAGGTGGCCGAAGTGGGTGGATTACCTGAGGTCAGGAGTTCGAGACCAGCCTGACCAATAAGATGAAACCCCGTCTCTACTAAAAAAAAAAAAAAAAAAAAAAATATATATATATATATATATATACATACAACAAATTAGCTGGGCATGGTGGCGCATGCCTGTAATTCCAGCTACTTGGGAGGCTGAGGCAGGAGAATTTCTTGAACCCAGGAGGCAGGATTGCAGTGAGCCGAGATCGCACCATTGCACTCCAGCCTGGGCAACAAGAGTGAAACTCCATCTCAAAAAAAAAAAAAAAACAAAAAAACAGTAAAAACAATAAATAAATACATAATACAAAAAATTGGGGATGGTAGTAAGAGGAGTAAAATGCTGGGCGTGGTGGCTCATGCCTGTAATCTTAGCACTTTGGGAGGCCAAGGCGGAAGGATCCCTTGAGCCCAGGAGCTGGAGACCAGTCTTGTGCAACAGGGCATGGTGGCACACCTCTGTAGCTACTTGGGAGGCTGAGGCAGGAGGACTGCCTGAGCCCAAGAAGTCAAGGCTGCAGTGAGCTGTGATCTCACCAGTGCACTCCAGCCTGGGTGACAGAACGAGACCCCATCTCAAAAAAAAAAAAAGTAAAAATAAAATAAAAGAGTTCAAAGTAAAGATTTAAAAGTTTAACCCTGGTGACTTCCTAATCCCTAAATTATACTGACTTAAACTAATTCCACACTTACTGCCGCAGCCCCACCTCCAGAAGGGCAGTCATGGAAGGACCCTATTGTTCTGGGCTTCCTTTCTTTGTCCACTCCCAGCCTCTGAACAGTCACATTAAGCTATCCTTCTCCTGCTCTTTGAGATCTAAAAAAGACCTGGGGTTTTCCCTGCCACTGGGCAAGTTTATGACAAATATTGTTGCTCCCCTATTTTAAAACTTCCCTTTCCCCATAAGAAGCATTTCTGTGGTCACTGGGGACTTTTACAACTAATAATAAACGCAGATTCAAGAAGCTCAAAGGGATTCACATACACTTTTTAACAATGATGAAAGAAAGATACAAATAAACGGCCAGAAGTGGTCATCTCCTGGGAGGGGAGTGGGACGGGGTGGAGGGAGGTCAAGGGCAATTTAATCTTATCTGAATTGTTAGAATGTTTTGCAGAGGCAGGCATGGTGGCTCACGCCTGTAATCCCAGCACTTTGGGAGGCGGCGGCAGGAGGGTCGCTTGAGCCCAGGAGTTGCCTTGGGCAACATGGCGAGACCTCATCTGTACAACAAACAAACCTACAAATTTAGCCAGGCATGGTGGCACAGACCTGCAGTGGTCCAAGCTACTTGGGAGGCTGAGGCATGAGGACCTCCTGATCCCAGGAGATCAAGTCTGCAGTGAGCTGTGATCGCGCCACTGCACTCCAGCCTGGGCAACAGAGCGAGACTCTTGTCTCAAAAAAAGGAAAAAAGAATATTTAGCAAATAAAATATATCAATGGGCCGAGCGCGGTGGCTCACGCCTGTAATCCCAGCACTTTGGGAGGCCAAGGCGGGGGGATCACGAGGTCAAGAAATCGAGAGCATCCTGGCTAACACGGTGAAACCCCGTCTGTACTAAAAATACAAACAAATAAGCCGGGCGCAATGGCGGGCGCCTGTAGTCCCAGCTACTCGAGAGGCTGAGGCAGGAGAATGGCGTGAACCCGGGAGGCGGAGCTTGCAGTCAGCCGAGATGGCGCCACTGCACTCCAGCCTGGGCGACAGAGGGAGACTCCGTCTCAAAAAAACAAAAAAACAAAAAAACAACAATAAAAAAAAGAAAATATATCAATGTATTACTTAATTAAAGCAAGGAATCATGAAAAAAATGGAAGAACTACATGCTCATATTAAAGTTTTAATCTATACAGCAAAGGAAGTAAAAGTTGCCCACTCCTCATTCTCTAAGCCACTCTCCAGAAGAAGCCTCTGTTGGGAGGTGTTTTTATGCCCTTCCATTAATGTTCTAAGCATATTTACACATACCCAATTCTTTTTCTCTCTCTCTCTTTCTATAAAGTAGAATCACAAAGCATGGTTTTGAGTTTCCTTTATCTACCCAACATTTACTATGTCTTGGGTGGGATGGCTCTTAGCAATGTGCTCTCTTTTTAAAAATAAAATTTTTGACTTTAATTTTAATTCTAATTTTCCAGGCTGGTTAACATAGAAGACCCCGTTTCTACAAAAAAAAAATTAAAAACTAACCGGGCATGGTGGCACACCTGTAGTCCCAGCTACTTGGAAGGCTGAGGCAGGAGGATCACTTGAACCCAGGGGGTCGAGGCTGCAGTGAGCCCTGATTGTGCCACTGCACTCCAGCTTGGGTGACAGAGCAAGACCCTGTCTCAAAAAATAATAATAGAATACACTTTTATTTATTTATTTATTTATTTATTTATTTATTTATTTTTGATACGGAGTCTTGCTCTGTTGCCCAGGCTGGAGTGCAGTGGCACAATCTTGGTTCACTGCAACCTCCACCTCCTGGATTCAAGCGATTCTCCTGCCTCAGCTTCCTGAGTAGCTGGGATTACAGGGATGTGCCACCACGCCCAGCTAATTTTTGTATTTTTTAGTGGAGATGGAGTTTCACCATGTTGGCCAGGCTGGCCTTCTTTTTTTTTTTTTTTTTTTGAGACAGAGTCGCTATTGCCCAGGCTGGAGTGCAATGGCACGATCTCGGATCACTGCAAACTTCGTCTCCCGGGTTCAAGTGATTCTCCTGCCTCAGCCTCCCAAGTAACTGGGGTTGCAGGAATGTGCCACCATGCCTGGCTAATTTTTGTGTTTTTAGTAGAGAAAGGGTTTTGCCATGTTGGCCAGGCTCGTCTCAAACTCCTGTCATCAAGGGATCCACCCTCCTCAGCCTCCCAAAGTGTTGGGATTACAGGCGCGAGCCACCACACCTGGCCATAAACTTTTATTTTTTAGAGCAATTTTAGGTTCACAGCAAAAAGTACAGAGTTCCTATTAATATTATAACCTCTATCCCCAAACATGCACAACCTTCTCCAGTATTAATATCCCCCAGCATAGTGGTATATTTGTTACAATTGATGAACCTACATTGACACATCATTGTCATCCAAAGTCTGTACTTTACATTAGGGTTCACTCTTGGTGTTGTGCCTTCTATACGTATAATAAACACATTTGGCCGGGTGCAGTGGCTCACGCCTGTAATCCCAGGACTCTGGGAAGTCAAGGTGGGTGGATCACCTGAGGTCAGGAGTTCGAGACTAGTCTGACCAATATGGTGAAACCTCATCTCTACTAAAAATACAAAAATTAGCTGGGTGTGGTGATGTGCGCCTCTAAGTCCCAGCTACTTGGGAGGCTGAGACAGGAGAATTGCTTGAACCTGGAAGCTTGAGGTTGCAGTGAGCTGAGATTGCACCACTGTCCTCCAGCCTGGGCAACAGAGCGAGACTCTGTCTCAAAAAAAACCAAAGCCAAAAACAAAAAACCCACATTTGTCCATCATTGTAGTATCATTCAGAGTAGTTGACTGCCCTAATGATCCCCTGTGCTCTGCCTATTCAACCCTACTTCCGCTTAGCCCTTGGCAACCACTAATCTTTTCACTGTCTCCATAGTTTCGCATTCTGTAGAATGTCATATAGCTGGAATTATACAGTATGTAGACTTTTCACGTTGGCTTCTTTCACTTGGTAGTCTGTGTTTAAAGGTCCTCCCTGGCTTTTCATGGCTCAATAGCTCATTTCCTTTCAGTGCTGAATAATATTACATTGTCTGATGTACCACAGTTTATCCATTCATCTACTTCAGGGCATCTTGATTACTTCCGAGTTTTGGCAATTATGAATAGAGCTGCTATAAATATAAACAAGTTTTCATATAGACATAAGTTCTCAATTAATTTGGGTAAATATAAAGGAGTGTGATTGGTGGATCATATGGTTAGAGTTATTTATTTATTTATTTTTTCATTTTTACTCCTGGGAACTCAGGACAGAGTATGCTCATTTTGTGAGAAACTGCCAACTGTCTTCCGAAGAGGCTGTGCCATTTTGCATCCCACCAGCAGTGAATGAGAGCTCTTATTGTTTCACTTCCCTGCTAGCATTTGGTGCTGTCGGTGTTCTGGATTTTGGCCCTGCTAATAGGTGTGTGGAGGTATCTTGTTTTCATTTGCAATACCCTAATGACTTAGGATGTTGGACATCTTTAATTTATTTTATTTTATTTTATTTTATTTTATTTTTTTGAGACGGAGTCTCACTCTGTCACCCAGGCTGGAGGGCAGTGGCGTGATCTCTGCTAACTGCAACTTCTGCCTCAGCCTCCTGAGTAGCTGGGATTACAGGCGCCTGCCACCACACCCAGCTAATTTTTGTGTTTTTAGTAGAGACTGGGTTTCACCATGTTGGTCAGGCTGGTCACGAACTTCTGACCTCGTGATCCGCCCGCCTCCCAGAGTGCTGGGATTACAGGCGTGAGCCACCACACCTGGCCTGGACATCTTTTAATATGCTTACTTGTCATCGTATTTCTTCCTAGGTGAGACGTTTGTTCAGGTTTTTTTGCCCGCTTTTAAAATCCAGTTGTTCATTTTCTCATTGTTGAGTTTTCAGGGTTCTTTGTATAGCTTGGATAACGGTCCTTTATGAAACGCGTTTTTTTGTTTTGTTTTGTTTTGTAGTTGTAGTTTTTAAATGTTTATTTTATGTACAAAGAGCAATCATGGTTTTTTATTGGGTGGATGCCTTGGATAATCCATTCAAGGAAGATCACTTAGTCCAACTTAATGAAACCTATATCCTTCGCATACCGATGGAAACACTGGAGGCACATATTGTGGCCATATTTCTGGATCAGACTGTGCAGGTCTGAGCAGATGCCATGAGAGCGAGAACCCTGGCCGAATTTTTGCAGGTGGCTCCAGTACAGCTGCGGGTGACCCATCTTGCTCTCAGGAATGCAACGACGTAAAAGGAAAGCCATGAAACATGTCTTTTGCAAATATTCTCTCCCAGTCTGTGGCTTATCTTGTTCTCTCCATTTTTTTTTCTTTTTTTTTTTTTTTTTTTCTGAGACGGAGTCTCGCTCTGTCGCCCAGGCTGGAGTGCAGTGGCACGATCTCGGCTGACTGCAAGCTCCGCCTCCCGGGTTCACGCCATTCTCCTGCCTCAGCCTCCGCAGTAGCTGGGACTGCAGGCGGCCCGCCACCGCGCCCGGCTAATTTTTTGTATTTTTAGTAGAGACGGGGTTTCACTGTGGTCTCGATCTCCTGACCTCGTGATCTGCCTGCCTCGGCCTCCCAAAGTGTTGGGATTACAGGCGTGAGCCACTCCGCCCGGCTCATCTTCTTGTTCTCTTGATGCCCCATCTTTTTAATGGGTGCATAGCATTTCATTGGGTGCCTTATTTAACTAGTCCCCTCTTAATGAACATTTATGTTGTTTTTTTCCAGTTTTTGCTATTAAATGTTACAATGGATAGTTTCTAGTAATCACATTTGAATATCTGTGTACATATGTGTGTGAAATAAATTTCTTGGCCCCGTGAAGTGGCTCACGCCTGTAATTCCAGCACCTTGGGAGTCAAAGGCAGGAGGGTTGCTTGAGGCCAGGAATTCAAGAGTAGTCTGAGCATAGTAGCCAGACCCTCTCTTTACAAAAAAATATTTTAAATTAGCTGAGTGTGCTTAACAATGGGGATAATAAAAGAGGAAGAAGAAAAGGAAGAGAAAGAGGAAAGAAGAAGGAAGAAGAAGGAAGAAGAAGAAGAGGAAGAAGAGGAAGAAGAAAAATTAGCTGAGCATGATGATGTATGCTCTAGTACCAGCTACTCCAGAGGCTGAGGCAGGAGAATGGTTTGAGCTCAGGAGTTCCAGACTGTAGTGAGTTATACTCATTCCACATGCCCCACACACCAGCCTGTGAATGTGAGACCTTGTCTCTAAAAAAACAAAAAATAAATTGTTGTAGCCAACTTGTTTTCCAAAACAAAGTAGCACCTTCAAATATAATTGATAATTTATTATTTATTTCTGAGCACTTCTGTGAGGTGGATAAATAACACATTCCAGTTAATTTTCAAGATTAACAATAGGCTAGAGATCACTTGTACATTATTATATATTTCACTATAACCTGAGACCCATAGTGGCTCAATCAAGAAATATTTATTAACTAGTCAACTATGGACACAGCTTCTAAAACTTCCTATAATTTGTATTCAATAAAAAGTGTGCTGGGCGCGGTGGCTCACGCATGTAATCCCAGCACTTTGGGAGGCTGAGGTGGGCAGATCACGAGGTCAGGAGATCGAGACCATACTGGCTAACATGGTGAAACCCCGTCTCTACTAAAAATACAAAAAATTAGCTGGGTGTGGTGGCAGGCGCCTGTAGTCCCAGCTACTCAGGAGGCAGGAGAATGGCGTGAACCTGGGAGGCGGAGCTTGCAGTGAGCGGAGATCGCACGACTGCACTCCAGCCTGGGCGACACAGCGAGACTCCATCTCAAAAAAAAAAAAAAAAAAAAGGAAGGGGGGCAACAGATATCACACCATTGCACGCCAGCCCAGGAAACAGAGTGTAACCGTGTGTGAAAAAAAAAAAAAGTGGGCTGCAAACCCCATGTAGAGTGATCATATAATTGGCTGGGTGCAGTGGTGCACACCTGTAATCCCAGCACTTTGGGAGGCTGAGGCAGGTGGATCACCTGCAGTCAGGAGTTTGAGACCAGCCTAGCCAACATGGCAAAAACCCATCTCTACTAAAAATACAAAAATTAGCCAGGTATGGTGGCACATGCCTGTAATCCCAGCTACTCAGGAGGCTGAGGTAGGAGAATTGCTTGAACCCAGGAGGCAGAGGTTGCAGTGAGCCAAGATTGTTCTACTGCACTCTAGCCTGGGTGACAGAGTCAGACTGTGTCACAAAAAAAAAAAACAAAAAGAAAAGGACAGTGCTCCAGCTCTGCTAAGGGACAGACTGCTTCCTCAAGTGGGTCCCTGGCCCTGGTGCCTCCTGACTGGGAGACACCTCCCAACAGGGGTCGACAGACATTTCATAAAGAAGAGCTCCGTCTGGCCTCAGGCCAGTGCCCCTCTAGGAAGAAACTACTTCCAGAGGAAGGAGCAGTCAGCAATCTTTGCTGTTCTGCAGCCTCCACTGGTGATACCCACGTGAATAGGGTCTGGAATAGACCTCCAGCAAACTGTAGCAGACCTGCAGAACAGGGGCCTGACTATTAGAAGAAAAACTAACAGACAGAAAGCACAACACCAACATCAACAAAAAAGACCCTCACAAAAAATCCCCATCCAAAGGTCATCAGCCTCAAAAATCAAAGGTAGATAAATCCACGAAGATGAGGAAAAACCAGCCCCAAAACACTGAAAATTCCAAAAACCAGAATGCCTCTTCTCCAAATGATTGCAACTCCTTTCCTCTCTAGCAAGGGCACAAAACTGGACCGAGAATGAGATTGACAAATTGACAGAAGTAGGCTTCAGAAGGTGGGTAATAACAAACTCCTCTGAGCTAAAGGAGCATGTTCTAACCCAATGCAAGGAAGCTAAGAACCTTGATGAAAGGTTATAGGAACTGCTAACTAGAATAACCAGTTTAGAGAAGAACATAAATGACCTGATGGAGCTGAAAAACACAGCATGAGAACTTCATAAAGCATACACAAATATCAATAGCCAAATCGATCAAGCGGAAGAAAGGATATCAGAGATTGAAGATCACCTCACTGAAATAAGGTGTGAAGACAAGATTAGAGAAAAAAGAATGAAAAAGAACGAACAAAGCCTCCAAGCAATATGGGACTATGTGAAAAAACCAAACCTACGATTGACTAGGGTACCTGAAACTGACGGGGAGAATGGAGCCAAGCTGAAAAACACACTTCAGGATATTATCCAGGAGAACTTCCCCAACCTAACAAGACAGGCCAACATTCGAATTCAGGAAATACAGAAACACCACTAAGATACTCCTGAAGAAGAGCAACCCCAAGACACATAATAGTCAGATTCTCCAAGGTTGAAATGAAGGAAAAAATGTTAAGGGCAGCCAGAGAGGAAGGTCAGGTTACCTACAAAGGGAAGCCCATCAGACTAACAGCAGATCTGTCTGCAGAAACCCTACACGCCAGAAGAGAGTGGGGGCCAATATTCAACATTCTTAAAGAAAAGAATTTTCAGGCTGGGCGTGGTGGCTCATGTCTGTAATCCCAGCACTTTGGGAGGTCGAGGCGGGTGGATTATGAGGTCATGAGTTTGAGACCAGCCTGGCCAAGATGGTGAAACCCCTTCTCTACTAAAGATACAAAAAAATGGCTATACTGCCCAAAGTAATTTAAAGATTCAATGCTATTCCCATCAAGCTACCTTTGACTTTCTTTGTAGAGTTAGAAAAAACTACTTTAAATTTCATATGGGACCAAAAAAGAACCTGTATAGCCAAGACAATTCTAAGCAAAAAGCACAAAGCTGGAGGCATCACGTATCTGACTTCAAACTATACTACAAGGCTACAGTAACCAAAACAGAATGGTACTGATACCAAAACAGATATATAGAACAATGGAGCAAAACAGAGACCTCAGAAATAACACCACACATCTGCAACCATCTGATCTTTGGCAAACCTAACAAAAATAAGCAATGGGGGAAAGGAGTCCGTATTTAAGAAATGATGCTGGGAAAACTGGCTAGCCACTTGCAGAAAACAGAAACTGGACCTCTTCCTTACACCTTATACAAAAATTAACTCAAGATGGATTAAAGACTTAAATGTAAAACCCAAAACCATAAAAACCCTAGAAGAAAACCTAGGCAATCCCATTCAGGACATAGGCATGGGCAAAGGCTTCATGACTAAAACATCAAAAGCAATTGCAAGAAAAGCCAAAATTGACAAAGGGGATCTAATTAAACTAAAGAGCTTCTGCACAACGAAGAAACTATCATCAGAGTGAACAGGCAACCTAAGAATGGAAGAAAAGTTTTGCAATCTACCTATCTGACAAAAGTCCAATATCCAGACTCTACAAGGAACTTTAACAAATTTACAAGGAAAAAAACAAACAACCTTATCAAAAAGTGGGCGAAGGATATGAACAGACACTTCTCAACAGAAGACATTTATGCAGCCAACAAACGTGAAAAAAAGCTCATCATCACTGGTCATTAGATAAATGCAAATCAAAACCACAATGAGATACCATCTCATGCCAGTTAGAATGGTGATTATTAAAAAGTCAGGAAACAACAGATGCTGGCAAGGCTGTGGAGAAATAGGAAAGCTTTTACACTGTTGATGGGAGTGTAAATTAGTTCAACCATTGTGGGAGACAATGTGGCGATTCCTCAAGGATCTAGAACCAGAAATACCATTTGACCCAGCAGCCCTATTACTGGGTATATACCCAAAGGATTATGAATCGTTCTACTATAAAGACGCATGCACACATATGTTTATTGCAGCACTATTTACAATAGCAAAGACTTGGAACCAACTCAAATGCCCATCAATGATAGGCTGGATAAAGATAATGTGGCACATGTACACCATAGAATATTATACAGCCATAAAAAACAATGAGCTCATGTCCGTTGCAGGGACATGGATGAAACTGGAAACCATCATTCTCAGCAAATACAGGAACAGAAAACCAAACACCGCATGTTCTCACTCATAAGTGGGAGTTGAACAATGAGAACACGTGGTCACAGGAAGGGGAACATCACACATAGGTCGGGGGTAGGGGGCAAGGGGAGGGAGAGCATTAAGACAAATACCTAATGCATGCGGGGCTTAACACCTAGAGGATGGCTTGATAGGTGCGGCAAACCACGATGGCACATGTATACTTATGTAACAAACCTGTACATTCTGCACTTGTATCCCAGAACTAAGAGTAAAATAAAGAAAAAAAAGAGTGATCATATAATTTCTCAAACATTTAAAAAGCAGGCATAACACATAACAGGGTCTTTCCCAAACAAAACAGGACTTACGGTTACCTTATATGTAAAATGCCATTTTTTTTTTCTTTTTAGAGATAGGGACTTGTTCTGTCACCCAGACTGGAGTGCAGTGGCACAATCAGAGCTTACTGCAACCTCCACCTCTTGGGCTCAAGTGATCCCCCCACCTGAGTCTCCTGAGTAAATGGGACTACAGGTGTGCACCACTACGCCTGGATAATTTTTCTTGCTTTTGTAGAGACAGGGTCTTGCCATGTTGTGTGGGCTGATCTCTAACTCCCAGGCTTAAGCAATCCCCCTGCCTCAGCTTCCCAAAGTACTGGGATTACAAGCTTGAGCCACTGTACCTGGCCAAGGATGTATTTTTAAGTGAAAAAAGATGCAAAGTTCAAAACTTTTTAAGATGGTACGTTCTGTGTAAAAATGAGGAGAATTTTGCTTACATCTGCATAAGGAACTGCGGAAGCACACTCCAGAGAAACAAGGTAGAGTGCGAAATAGTGGGAAATCTTATGTTGTTTTTTTTTTTCTTTTTTGAGACAGAGTCACCCTCTGTCACCCAGGCAGGAGTGCAGTGGCACGATCTTGGCTCACTGCAACGTCTTCTTCCGGGGTTCAAGTGATTCTCCTGCCTCAGCCTCCTGAGTAGCTGGGACTACAGGTGCCTGCCACCATGCCGGGCTAATTTTTTGTATTTTAGTAGACACAGGGTCTCACCATGTTGGCCGGGCTGGTCTCAAACTCCTGAGCTCAAGCGATCTGAACATCTTGGCCTCCCAAAGTGCTGGGATTATAGGCCTGGCTGGAAATTTATGTATTCTATTTTTACTTTTTAAGATGGAGTCTTGCTCTGTTGCCCAGGCTGGAGTGCAGTGGCATGATCTCGGCTCACTGCAACCTCCGCCTCCCAGGTTCAAGCAATTCTTGGGTCTCAGCCTCCCCAGTAGCTAGGATTACAGGCATGCGCCACCACACCCAGCTAATTTTTGTATTTTTAGTAGAGACGGGGTTTTACCATGTTGGCCAGGCTGGTCTCGAACTCCTGACCTCAAGTGATCCACCCTCCTCGGCCTGCCACAGTGCTGGGATTACAGGCATGAGCCACCATGCCTGGCCTTATGTATTTTAGATTGTGAATGTATTATACTGGATGAAAAAAATTACTAGAGAAACTCTACAAATACAAGATTGAGGGGGACATCAAGGAATGACTGCTTAAAAAATAGCTGAGCATCGTGGTACACACCTGTAATTCCAGCTACTTGGGAGGCTGAGGCAGGAGGATCGCTTGAGCCAATGAGTTTGACGCTGCAGTGAGCTATGATAGTGCCTCTGCACTCCAGCCTGGTTGACAGAGCGGGACCTCATTTCTTAAAAAAAAAAAAAAAAAAATAGGCCAGGCGCGGTGGCTCACGCCTGTAATCCCAGCACTCTGGGAGGCCGAGGCGGGCAGATCACGAGGTCAGGAGATCGAGACCATCCTGCTAACATGGTAAAACCCCATCTCTACTAAAAATACAAAAAATTAGCCAGGCTTGGTGGCGGGCACCTGTAGTCCCAGCTATTCTGGAGGCTGAGGGAGGAAAATGTCATGAACCCGGGAGGCAGATCTTGCAGTGAGCCTAGATCATGCCACTGCACTCCAGCCTGGGTGACAGAGCGAGCGAGACTCCGTCTCAAAAAAAAAAAAAATAAAATAAAATAAATAAATAAATAAATAAAAATAAGCAACAAAAAAAATGAGTACCAGGATTCCAGTTGGGGTGATAAAAAAATTTCTGGAACTAGATAGTGATGGTTGGACAACATTGTATTTAAAGCCACTGAGCTGTACACTTTAAAATGGTAATCTGTATTTTATGTACATTTTGCCACAATAATAATAATAAAAATAATAACTAAAAATAAGTGCACAAAGGGCCGGGAACGGTGGTTCATACCTGTAATTCCAGCACTTTTAGAGGCCAAGGCAGGCAGATCACCTGAGGCCAGGAGCTCAATACCAGGCTGGCCAACATGGTGAAACACTGTCTCTGCTAAAAATACAAAAAATTAGCCAGGCCTGGTGGTGCATGCTTGTGATCCCAGCTACGTGGGAGGCTGAGGCATGAGAATCACTTGAGCTTGGGAGGCAGAGGTTGCAGCGAGCAGAGATCACGCCATTGACTCCAGCTTGGGCGACAGAGGGACACGCTGCCTCAAAAAACGATAAAAAATAATAATAAAAATAAGAGCACCAAACATACATACACATACACAAATATAGATTTGTTATCTTCAGACAGAAAGAATCCATCCTAGCCTAATCTATTATTTTGTAAATATCTCACTAATAGATTAAGGTGTGTCCACAAATCTCTTAAGCGAGCAGACAGGTTAAATTAGCTAGTATAGATAAAACTTAGTATTAGAAACATTCACAAGGGCTGGGCATGGTGGCTGACACCTATAATCCCAGCACTTTGGGAGGCTGAGGCAAGCAAATGGCTTAAGCCCAGGAGGTCTGAGGCTGCAGTGAGCCACTGCACTCTAGCCTGGGCAATAAATGGAGAGCCTGCTTTATCCGCCACTCCCCAACCCCCACAAAAGGAAAAAAAAAAAAAATCCACAGGTATATGACAAATGCAAACAGAAGTTTCAAGGTTTATAAAGAACCTTAAAAAAAAGAAAAGACTACGAAAGAGTCAGAATTTACCAGTTCTATTTGTACAGAAGAGGAAAGAAGTCATCGAAATGGAAATAGATCATGGCTGGGTCTGGTAGCTCACACCTGTAATCTCAGTACTTTGGGAGGCTAAGGCAGGTGGATGACTTGAGGCCAGGAGTTTGAGACCATGTTGGCCAACATGGCGAAATCTTGTCTCTACTAAAAATTAAAAAAACAAAAATAGATCCTGGTAGAAAAAGATAAAATAGTAGGCTATATTTATGTGACAGGACAGTTTTTTGTGATGTTAATTTATTAATTGTAGCAGTGTGTTTTGCTCACTACAGTATTTCTCAGCCCCCACACAACCCCGCTCGCCCCACTCTACACAGGTCCTTTGTGTCTAGGTCTTTTGTAATTCCCTTCCTAGGAATTTTGCAAGAGGGAAAGCCAATAGCCGCTTAAAGCCAAACGCTCTTCCGGTCTTTTGTAAAAGTGTTAAAACCAGTGGAGAAAGGGAGGGAAGAAAGAGAGAGCTATCTGCCTGGGAGAGGAATGAAGTGGGAGTGGGGAAGACAAGGAAGGGTCCTGGAGTCTCATGAACTTTATTACTATTTTGGGGACCCAGGGAGGGGTAAAGACTTTAGAGTGGATGCTGGTGTTTAGGACCTCAAGGTGTTCTGCTTGGGCAAAAATGCCCACACCCCATGGAATAGAGTACTATTGCATGGTAGGGGACCACATGGCCTAAGGCCGGGATTTTTGGGCATTACAGGCTAGAAATGTGAGCTCTTCTGGTATCCCAGGTACCACATAGGCTGCCCTCAACAGTGATTGATTATTACATTCCTATCACTTTAGTTGAATGGAAGCCCAAATTTGGGAATAAAAGTAATATTTTCTTATTTTACATATGTGCTAATATTCATACTCAATATATTAGCTTCCTATGAATATCTTTTTGGAAATTTGATTGTAGTAGGCAGAATAATGGCCTCCCAAAGATGTTCCTAGAATCTGTAGATATGCTGCTTTACATGGTGTTATAAATAAAGTTTCGGTGCCACAAAAGAAATAGCACTCGAATATAAAATTTTATTTTTAATTCTTAGCAAGGCAATGTACTTCTATAGAAGGGTGCGCCCTTACAGATGGAGCAATGGTGAGTGCACACTTGGACAAGGGAGGGGAAGGGGTTCTTATCCCTGACGCATGTGGCCCCTGCTGCTGCGTCATTCCCCTATTCGCCAGGGTTAGACTGCACAGGCTAAACTAATTCCGATTGGCTAATTTAAAGAGAGTGACAGGTTGAGTGGTTTGGTGGGAAAAATTGTTATGGCAGAGCAGGAAATTGGAATGAGTCAGGGTGGAGAATGAGTCAGGGTGGAGAATGAGTCAGGGCGGAGCAGGTAATCAGAAGAGTCAGGGTGGAGCAGGTAATCGAAAAAGGTTGCTTCACAAGGAAGTTAAGTTTAAAAGTAGAAGGCAAAGAATTGAACATACTGACATATTAATTCTTTGAAGAGAAATTTAGAACTCATATCTAACAATGGTAAAGAGACTTTACAGATGGCATTAAGAACCTTCATGGTCTTAATGGGGAGATATAGTTCAAAGGGTACAAAGCTACAGTTATGTGGGATGATAAATCTAGAGATCTAATATACAGCATGAAGACTGTAATAAATAATATTGTATACTGGAAGGCTGGTAAGCAATAGATTTTAGGTGACCTTACCACAAAAAAAAAGGTAAGTATGTGAGATGACGAATATGTTCATCAGCTTGACTATTGTTATCACTTTATTATGTATATGTATATTGAAACATCATGTTGTACATCATAAATACATACAACAAAAATAAATATTAACGGCCGGGTGTGGTGGCTCATCCCAGCACTTTGGGAGGCTGAGTGGGCAGGATCACTTGAGCTCAGGAAGTTCAAGACCAGTCTGGGCAACATAGTGAAATCTTGTCTCTACTAAACATTTTTAAAATTAGCTGAGTGTGTTGATGTGTGCCTGTAGTCCCAGCTATTCTGAAGGTTGAGGAGGAAGGAATGCTTGAGAGCCCAGGAAATCGAGGTTGCAGTGAACTATGATGATGCCATTACACTCCAGCCTAGACAACAGAGCCAGACTCTGCCTTTCCGCCCCCTCCCCCTCCCCTGCAAAATGTATATACAAACAAAAACAGGCTAGGTACGGTAGCTTATGCCCATAATCCCAGCGCTTTGGGAGGCAGAGGTGAGTGGATCATCTGACGTCAGGAGTTCAAGACCAGCCTGGCCAACATGGTGAAACCCCGACTCTACTAAAAATACAAAAAAGTTAGCTGGGTGCAGTGATGCGCACCTGTAATCCCACCTACTCGGGAGGCTGAGGCATGAGAATTGCTTGAACCCAGGAGGTGGAGGTTGCAGTGGGCTGAGATCGTGCCATTGCATGCCAGTCTGGGTAACAAAGTGAGACTCCGTCTCAAGAAACAAAAACAAAGCAAAATAATAAGTAAGAGCAGTGGCTTAAGCCTGTAGTTCCAGCTACTTGGGAGGTTGAAGCAGAAGGATCCCTTGAGGCCAGGAGTTTGAGACTGGCCTGGGCAACGTAATGAGACTGTCTCTAAAAAAAAAAAAATTAAAATTAATAAATAAAGGCAAGTGTGTGTGTGTGTATTCATATATATATGATTCATATATGTGTGGATTCATATATATGTATATCTATCTATCTATCTATCTATCTATATATATATACACACACACATATATATATGAATTCAAGATGGGTAGGGGGTTATCCTATATCATTCCAATAAGAATAATTTAATAACAAGGGTTTTGTTTGTCTGTTTGTTTTAAGACAGGGTCTTGTTCTGTCGCCCAGGCTGGAGTTCAGTGGCATGATCTTGGCTCACTGAAACCTCTGCCTCCCGGGTTCAAGCAATTCTCCTACCTCAGCCTCCCAAGTAGCTGGGACTACAGGCGTGTGCCACCACACCCAGCTAATTTTTGTATTTTTAGTAGAGACGTGGTTTCACCATGTTGGCCAGGATGGTCTTGAACTCCTGAACTCAAGTAATCCACCCGCCTCGGCCTCCCAAAATGCTGGGATTGCAGGTGTGAGCCACCGCACCTGGCCATAACAAGGGTTTTTAAAAGCAGATGAATTAAGGAAAAGTGGAGATCGGACAGATGTGATATATAATAAGAAGGACTCAAGGCTGGCTTTGAAGATAGGGGAAGAGGCCATGAGCTAGGGAGTGTGAGGGCCTGAGAAGCTGGGAAATGAAAGAAGCTGAGAGCCTCCAGAAAGGAACACAACCCTACCAACATCTTGATTTTAGTCCAGTGAGAATAAAATCAGACTTCTAACCTACATGGCTGTAAAAGAGTAAATTTACCCAGGCTTGCGAGGTCTGAGGAAAACAAGAAGAAAAAAAAGTAAATTTGTTCGTTGTTAGCCACTAAGGTTATAGTAATTTGTTACAGCAGCAATAGATCATGAGCACATGGTTATGGAGCCAATTCCTTTCTATCTTCTTGTCTCTGCTCACTAGAAATGTCTTTATCCGTAATTTGGTTTTCATTAGAAGGATAGTAGCGTATATAAATGGCCACTCCCACTGCAAAATAAGAACACATTCTGGTTTGTAAATCATCCTTGGGAGGTTTTGGTTAACATGATTCAGTCCCTTAAGTCTGAGCATGGTGTCATTTCTGGAAATTTTAAGATGCCACTCAGGTAATGGGAATGTACCAAATTGAATTTCTGACCCTACCTGGTGGTACATTGACCCATCTTGTGAAGATCAGCTAGCTGGTTCGTTCCACCTTCAGCGATGACATTTTCTACTTGCAAATACCAAATGCCAGATGAACACATGTAAAGGATGTTAACAATACAAGCCAGAAAAATAATAAGGGCCAAAAAAAGTGCAGAGTAAAAGCTATTCAGAAAAATTTGAAGGAGAGCTCTCAAAGTCTTCTGATAGGGAGGACCTGAGAAGATTGCAAGGGAAGGAGGACTTAAATTAGGCATTTATACGAGTAAAACACCAGAGGCAAATGCAGTTAAGGCAGAAGAGATTAATAAAAGATTGAAAGGGCAGATTGAAATTATCTTCTGTGGGAATGTGATGGTTGAGGAATTTGGATTGGGCAACCAGGAGCTAACAAAGGTTTTAGGGAAGGATCACGATGAAAAGTTTGGGGAGATATTCACCTAGATCTGTGGGTTCTGTGAACTAGGCTAGCACTTAAATACAGTCTGAATTCAAACATGAAATGCAAAAAGACAACAGGGATTATCTGGGAGAATGAAGGACATGCTTTTGGTCTTTATTGCTCAAACCATGTCATGGCTAGATGTTCCTCTCAATTTGTGTTGAATAGATAGGATTTCTGTCACATTAGAGTATGAAGAGCATGAGAGTAAACAGTGCCCTCTGAAAAGGAAAATCTTTTAGCTTGAGCAAATTTATTTTTATTATTTATTTATTTTTTGAGACAGAGTCTCACTTTGCCACCCAGGCTGGAGTGCGATGGCATGATCTCAGCTCACTACAACCGCTGCCTCCCAGGTTCAAGCCATTCCCCTGCCTCAGCCTCCCGAGTAGCTGGGACTACTGAAGTGCACTACCATGTCTGGCTAATTTTCGTATTTTTAGTAGAGACAGGATTTTGCCATGTTGGCCAGGCTGGTCTCGAACTCCTGACCTCAGGTGATCCACCCACCTCGGCCTCCCAAAATGCTGGGATTACAGATGTGAGCCACCACACCCAGAATTTTTTTTTTAATTTAAAGGTTAAGGATGCACCGTGACATAGTCTCAGGAGGTCCTGATGACCTGTGCTGAGCCAATTTTAAAAGGAGCTCAAATTCTGAGGCCTGCAGGTTTACTTATTCCAGTGCTTCAGAGGCTAAAGTCCCTCTGGATTCTTAGCTGCATACAAATATTTATTTTGAAATTGAGCAAATTTGTAGAAAAATCTTGTGCCGAGTACTAGTCTCTAAATTATTTATGACTCCAAATTTTCTGCCAGTCTTGACTGTGGTCTGACCATAGATTTTATTTTATTTACTCGTTATTTATTTATTTATTTTTTGGAGACAGAGTTTCGCTCTTGTTGCCCAGGTTGGAGTGCAATGGTGCAATCTCGGCTCACTGCAACCTCTACCTCCCAGGTTTAAGTGATTCTCCTGCCTCAGCCTCCCGAGTAGCTGGGATTATAGGCATGTGCCACCACACCTAGCTAATTTTTTTTTTTTTTTTTTTTTTTTTTGAGACAGAGTCTCGCTCTGTCACCCAGGCTGGAGTGCTGTGGCATGATCTCAGCTCACTGCAAGCTCCTTCTCCCGGGTTCACGCCATTCTCCTGCCTTAGCCTCCCAAGTAGCTGGGACTACAGGCACCCGCCACCATGCCCAGCTAATTTTTTTTTGTATTTTTAGTAGAGACGGGGTTTCATCGTGTTAGCCAGGATGGTCTCGATCTCCTGACCTCGTGATTTGCCTGCCTCAGCCTCTCAAAGTGCTGGGATTACAGGCGTGAGCCACCGCATCTGGCCAATTTTTTTTTTTTTTTTTTTGAGACAGAGTCTCACTCTTTAACCAGGCTGGAGTGCAGTGGCACGATCTTGGCTTACTGCAACCTCTGCCTCCCGGGTTCAAGTGATTCTCCTGCCTCAGCCTCCCGAGTATCTGGGACTACAGGGCACACCACCACACCCAGCTAATTTTTGTATTTTTAGTAGAGACGGGGTTTTGGGCAGGATGGTCTCGATCTCTTGACCTCCTGATCTGCCTCGGCCTCCCAAAGTGCTGGGATTACAGGCGTGAGCCACCGCACCCGGTCAGCTAATTTTTGTATTATTAGTAGAGACAGGATTTCACCATGTTGGCCAGGCTGGTCTCGAACTCCTGACCTCAGGTGATCCACCACCTCTGCCTCCCAAAGTGTTGGGATTACAGGCATAAGCCACCGTGCCCGACCAAAATTTCTATGTATTAAGATAATACATGTACTTAAAAAAAATAGATATGTACTGTCCCACAGATCTGAGGCACCACAGTTTGCTTAGTTATCCCTTATTGTAGGCCATTTTGTTTGTTGGTTCATTCATTCATTAGTGGTAAAACTACCCAGGCTTTGTGCTCATTCTCAGCATGTGGACATAAGTTATAGCTCTTGCTGTCAAGGAATATATAGTCTAGGAGAGACAGATGTGGAAAACAAGTATAGTACAGTTATATATAATCAAGATGAACCTCAGTGTTCCAGGAATATCTACCATGCTCCAGTTCTTCCTGAGAGATTACACATTCCCCACCTCACTGACAATGGCAGTGAGCCCGGGACTAGGTTCCTTTCCCAGGGGGCTGTGAGCATCAAGGCTATGGGGAGGAGCACTGGCACTGTTAGGCAGAGGCTGCATTTGACACTTCTGGAGGGTAACCAAGGGTGATGGGTGCCAAATCTCCTACGACCAGGGGTCTCCTATTGCACTGACACTGCTGCAACTCAGTTTCAGCCGGAATTTGGCTGACTAGTGAATAGGCGCTGAGTTCTGAGATGGAGGTTCTAGTAATCCCCTAGGCCAGCCTCCAGTCAGCTGTGAAGGTGGTGGGGAGAAAAGGAGGCCAGATCATGCCAGGCCCAAACAGGGCTGTCAAGGGCAACAGGAGATATGGTATGGCAGGCATGATAGATACCTTCTGGGTATCTGAGTGATGAATAGATGGAGGTGGGAATGAAGGTGGATTTTGGTATTTTCTTAGAATGAAAGACAGCTGAGAATCTGCACATATAGGGTTGCCTAAAATACAAGACACTTGGTTATATTTTAATTCTAGGTAAACAACAAATTTTTTCTTAGGCTGGGTGCAGTGGCTCATGCCTGTAATCCCAGCAACTTTGGGAGGCTAAGGTGGGTAAATCACCTGAGGAAAGGAGTTTGAGACCAGCCTGGCCAACATAGTGAAACTCTGTCTCTACTAAACATACAAAAATTAGCTGGGCATGGTGGCAAGCGCCTGTAACCACAGCTACTGGGGAGGCTGAGGCAGGAGAATCACTTGAACCTGGGAGGTGGAGGTAGCAGTGAGCTGAGATTGAGCCATTGCACTCCAGCCTGGGTGACAGGAGCGAAATTTCATCTTGGAAAAAAAAAAGAAGAAAATATTATGTATTTAATGGCATTGTATGGTACCCATTGTTTTTTCATTTTACAATATATCCTGAATATTTTCTGGGTTACTCACCAGTCTACTCATATCTTAATGGCTACATGTTACATTGATGCACTGAAATAAAAAAAATCTCCCTTATAGAATAGTTGTTTCTTCTTCGTGGAGTTTTAAGATACAAATTAATCACACAATACTTAGAGGTGATCTATATTTACTAAAATCCCATTTAAAAAATTTCAAAAGCAGTATTTTGAAAAATAGGATAAAATAATCTTATTGCCCTAACACAATTCTCTGGCAATGTAGCTCTCTCTCTCTCTCTCTCTCTCTCTCTCTCTCTCTGTGTGTGTGTGTGTGTGTGTGTGTGTGTGTGTGTGTGTGTATTTAGGTTAGCTCTAGTTGCTAATGCAGTTGAATTATGTTACCTGGATACCTCTTGGAGAACCTGAGGTCATTTTGGCCTGATGCATTAATATTTAACAAGCCTGTGATTGATGGATTGATGCTAGCAAAATTAATTCAATCCACCTAGGTTTCTATCTGTTGGTAAAACAACAAGGCCATCCAGGGGTTAGAAAGCAAAGACTTCTGGGAGGAAACGATTGAAAGTGGTTGTGACCTCTAGAATCTGGAATTGGGTACCAGCTCCTCCATTGACCTTCTTTCACCTTTGTTCTCAGAAAAATGTCTCTTGATTGGCTGCTGATGGATTGGGTTGCCTCCATCCCTTATCTTTAACTAAAGTCTTGAACTCTCAGTAAATTAATAGACTGGCAGAGAAAACCCCTTTTTAGTTAAGAAGTACTGTAGTGTGAAAACTCTGGTCTTAGATATGGTGTTTAGTATGCATTGCAGATAATTAGTGTATCAGATATATGGATTGACTGAATATTCTGCTGAATTGACTAAATTGGTCTGTGTCATTCCCCAGTGACGTGGGGCCACCGTTCCTCTCTCACCTCTTTGCCTTTGGGTTCTGTTAAAGGAGGGTATTCTGGCATCATTCCCCATGCCACAGATGGGTGGGTTTGCAATCCATGGATCTCTTTTTGACGTAAAAAACATCAGCTCTGGTGCTTGCTTTGGCAGCACATATACTAAAATTGGAACGATACAAAGAAGATTAGCATGGCCCCTGCACAAGGATGACATGCAAATTCATGAAGCATTCCATATTTTTCCAATTAAAAACAACCGGCTGGGCGCGGTGGCTCATGCCTATAATCCTAACACTTTTGAAGGCCAAGATGGGCAGATCACTTGAGGCCAGGAGTTCAAGACTAGCCTGGCCAACATGGTGAAACCCCATCTTTACTAAAAATACAAAAAAAAAAAAAAAAAATTAGCCAGTCGTGGTGGTGGGTGCCTGTAATCCCAGCTACTTGGGAGGCTGAAGCAGGAGGATCACACCACTGCACTCCAGCCTGGGCAACAGAAGGAGACTCCATCTAAAAAAAAAAAAAATTAAAACAAACAAACCATATTAACTCTGGGATGTGGGCCACACCTTAATTGACATCAGCCACATGATTTTGTTCCCAGAAAGATGGTTCAGAACAGAGATATTGGCCAGGCATGGTGGCATATGCCTGTAATCCTATCACTTTGTGGGGCCAAGGCAGGTAGATGACTTGAGCCCAGGAGTTCAAGAACAGCCGGGCAACATGGCAAAACCCCGTCTCTAATAAAAATACAAAAAATTAGCCGGGTGTAGTGGTGTGTGCCTGTATTCCCAAATACTTGGGAAGCTGAAGTGGGAGGATCACTTGATCTTGAGGAGGCGGAGGTTGCAGTGAGCTGAGATCATGCCACTGCACTCCAGCCTGGGTGACAGAGTGAGACCTTGTCTCAGAAAAAAAAAAAAAAAAGAAGTCTTGGAAAAGCTAACATGAGAAAGTGTTAATGGGAGGACATGTGTAAACATAGTCAATCAATAATCCTTCCACAATATTTGATATGTCTAATCCTTACTAAAATATCATGAACCAATTGTAAATCTACATTTTAAGAAAGATTTGGAGAGCTCAGAGAAGCCAGAATGATTGAACAGGTGCTATATTGGTATATGAGAGAAGGTTAAAGGTTGGGGTTATTCCACTGGTAAAAGGGAAGGCTGGGAGCCGGGGGGGTGGCGGGGGAGCGGGTGGTGGTCACAAATGACTTCAAGCATTTGGAAGGTTAAAATAAGGCCCCTAACCGCTTTTTGTTTGTTTTTTAGAGACAGGGTTTCACTGTGTTGCCCAGGCTGGAATGCAGTGGCTATTCACAGGCATGGTCATAGAGCATAGCCCCAAATTCCTGGGCCCAAGCAATCCTTCTGCCTTAGCCTTCCAAAGTTTTTGCTGGGATTAAAGGTGTGAGCCACTGAGCCCAGCCTAATGTTATGAATTTCTTGGGTTTCTTTTCAGAGATAGCCTATCAATATACAAGCAAATATATATTTTTTTCTTTCCCTCTCCTCTTACCCCCTACCTCCCACCTGTTTTTTACACAGTTGCTTGCCTTTTACACTTTCCAATGTATCATGGCAATTTTCCCTGTCAGTATAAATATCTTCCTTTTAAAGGACTGACTAGTATTCCATTGTACAGTGGAGCATAATTTATTTC
This sequence comes from Homo sapiens, assembly GCF_000001405.40. NCBI lineage: Eukaryota > Metazoa > Chordata > Mammalia > Primates > Hominidae > Homo > Homo sapiens. The sequence goes on from NC_000002.12 coordinate 61,607,152, forward strand.
ACGGGCCTCCTTCTGATGGACATGTGAGTCTAACCTTTTGTTAATACAAAAAAGATTGCTATTAATATTCTTGAAGACACATAATTTTCCACATATGTATATATGAATAGGATAAATATCTAGTTACAATGTTGAGTCAAAGGGTATGTCTATATGTCATTTAAAAAATGATTTGTTTTACATTGTGGTAAAAAAACACATATCATAAAATTTACTATCTTAACTTTTTTTACACGTACAGTTAGTATTAAGTGCACTATTATTGCAAATGTACATATATCATTTTGACAAACAATGCCAAATTGCCCTCCATGGTGACTGTACCTATTTATCTGTTTACTAACATCATATGAGAGACGGCCCCTCATGTAGATAGTATTGAAAAGTAGAGCACCTGTGATAACTAGGAGGTGATATAGCAGAGAAGAAGAGACACAGCTTCTGGAATCTAATCCTAGATCTGATGATGACCAGCTGTGTGTACTCTTGGGTATTACTTTAATTCTCTCAGGTTTAGTTTTTACCTAACCTCATAGAGTTGTCAAGTTCTTGACTATTCACAATAGTCAAGAAAGAAATGGAAGCAAACCAAAATGTCCATCTGTGGATGAATGGATAAACAAAATGTGGTATATACATGCAATGGAATGTTATTTAGCCTGAAAAAATAGAAGCAGCCTGGGCGAGATGGCTCATACCTGTAATCCTAGCACTTTGTGGGGCAGAGATGGGAGGAATGCTTGAGGCAAGAGTTCAAGACCAACCTGGCCCACATGATGAGATGCTGTCTCTATTGAAAAAAAGAAAATTAGGCTGGGCGCGGTGGTTCATGCCTGTAATCCTAGCACTTTGGGAGGCTGAGGCAGGCGGATTACTTGAGGTCAGGAGTTTGAGACCAGCCTGGCCAACATGGTGAAACCCCTGTCTCTACTAAAAATACAAAAATTAGCCAGGCCTGGTGGTGCACACCTGTAACTCCAGCTACTTGGGAGGCTGAGGCAGGAGAATCGCTTGAACCAGGGAGGCAGAAGTTGCAGTGAGCTGAGATTGCACCACTGCGCTCTAACCTGGGTGACAGAGCCAGATTCCGTCTCAAAAAAAAAAAAAAAAAAAAAGGCAGATCCTAAACGTGTCCTTATGTGGGGATTTAAAAAAAATAAAATTCAGCCTAACATAGGGAGATCTCCATCTCTAAACAAAGAAACAAACAAAAAAAAAATTAGCCAGGCGTGGTGGTGCGTGCCTGTACTCCTAGGCTAAGGCAGGATTGCTTGAGCCCAGAAGTTCAAGGTTTCAATGAGCTATGATTGCCCCATTGCACTTCAGCCTGGATGACAGAGCAAGACCCTATCTCTAAACAAACATAAAATAAAAAATAAAAAAATATGTATTTGCTGATAAGCACAGGCATAAAGAAACTCTGGAAAGTTACATAAGAATAAGTAATAAAGACTAGTTATTGGTGATGAGTTATTGGTGATTGAAGACATGGATGAGAGATAACTTTTTAGTTTATTCTAAAAATAATGAACCTGGGAGGCGGAGGTTGCAGTGAGCCGAGATCACGCCACTGCACTCCAGCCTGGGTGACAGAGCAAGACTCCGTCTAAAAAAAAAAAAAAAAAAAAGAAAGAAAGAAATTTAGATTTGGCCAGGCATGGTAGCTCACACCTGTAATCCTAGCACTTTGGGAGGCCGAGGTGGGCAGATCACTTGAGACCAGGAATTCGAGAACAGCCTTGCCAACAGGGCGAAACCTCATCGTCTTTTTTTTTTTTTTTTGAGATGTAGTTTCACTGTAGCCTCAAGCAATTCTCCCACCTCAGCCTCCCAAGTAGCTGGGATCACAGGGGCATGCCACCATGCCCAGCTAATTTTTGCATTTTTAATAGAGATAGGGTTTCGCCATGTTGTCCAGGCTGGTCTTGAACTCCTGACCTCAAGTGATACGCCTGCTTTGGCCTTCCAAAGTGCTGGGATTAAAGGATAAGCCACCAAGCCTGGCCTCTCAATTTTGAAAGAATTTCAGACTTAGATCAATGTTGCAAGAATAGTATAAAGAATTCCCAGCCAGGTGTGGTGGCTCACACCTGTAACCCCAGAACTTTGGGAGGTTGAGGTGGGAGGATCGCTTGAACCCAGGAGTTTGAGACCAGCCTGGACAACATAGGGAGTCCTTATCTCTATAAAATATAAAAAGTTTGCTGAGCATGGTGGCGTGGACCTGTGGTCCCAGCTACCTGAGAGGCTAAGGTGGGAGGGTAACTTGAGCCTGGGAGGTTGAGCCTGCAATGAGCCGTGATTGTGCCACTGTGCTCCAGTCTGGGTGACAGAGTGAGACCCTGTCTCAGAAAAAGAAAAAAAATTCTCTTCACCCAGATTCTCCAAAAGTTAATATTTACCATATTTGCTGTATTGTTTTTTCTCTCTTCATATATGTATATATAATTCTTTTTTGAACAATTTGACACGTATAATAAATGATGTCCCTTTACCCCTAACCACTTCAGTATGTAGTGCCTAAAAAGCAAGGTTGTTCTCTTACACAATCACAGTAGTATTTTAAAAAACGAAATTTAACTTTTATACAATAATATTATTTTCTTAAAATTTCATCAAGGACTTTTTTTTTTTTTTTTTTTTTGAGACAGAGTTTTGTTCTTGTTTCCCATGCTGGAGTGTAATGGAGTGGTCTCAGCTCACTGCAACCTCCACCTCCCAGGTTCAAGCGATTCTCCTGTCTCAACCTCCCACGTAGCTGAGACTACAGGCACCCACCACCATGCCTGGATTATTTTTGTATTTTCAGTAGAGATGGGGTTTCACCACTTTGGGCAGGCTGGTCTCGAACTCCTGACCTCAGGAGATCTGCCCACCTTGGCCTCCCAAAGTGCTGGGATTACAGGTGTGAGCCACCAGGCCCAGCCAAGGATCTTAATATAGTCATTTATGGCCAAAGAAAAATAACATTTTTGGGTTGGATACAGTGGCTCACACCTATAATCCCAGGACTTTGGGAGGCCTAGGCGGGCAGATGGCTGGAGTCAAAGAGTTGAAGACCAGTCTGGCCAATATGGCGAGATCCCCGTCTCTACAAAAAAAACAAAAATCAGCTGAGTGTGGCGGCACACACTTGTATTCTCAGCTACTTGGGAGGCTGACGTGGGAGGATCACTTGAGCCCAGGAAGAGGAGGTTGCAGTGACCTGAGAGAGCACCACTGCACTCCAGCCTGGGTGACAGAATGAGACTCTTGTCTCAAAAAAAAAAAATACTTAAAAAAACCACAAAACATCTTTTGGGAGTAAAAGTGTTTATCCTCACTGCTTCACTTAACTAGCCTTAAAAAAGAAATAAAATAAAATAAGATGTTTTGTTTGATCACATAGATTTACAGTTACCCAAAGGAAAGATTTTATTTACAAATTAAAAATAAAAACAAAGGCTGAAGTGGGCAAATCACTAGACGTCAGGAGTTTGAGACCGGCCTGGCCAACGTGGTGAAACCCCATCTTTACTAAAAAATACAAAAATTAGCTGGATGTGGTGGTGCACACCTGTAAACCCAGCTACTTGGGAGGCTGATGCTCGAGAATTGCTTGGGCCTGGGAGGTGAAGCTAGCAGTGAGCCAAGATCACGCTACTGCACTCCAGCCTGGGTCTCAGAGCGAGCCTCTGCTTCAAAAACAAACAAACAAAACAAAACAAAATAAAAACAATATACACATTCAAATATGCAACATATTAAATTCATACTGGAGACTACTAACATATTGACTTGTGCACTTGTCATATGTACCACAAGTATAAATGCTTTCCATTGAAACTTATAAAATAAATAATGCTTTTATCTGTTTTTGTTATTGGTGTGTGCTGTTCATTTTCCATATCTGCTTTTATCATTTTCTATGTATATTTCTATATCCATATATGCATATACATGGACATATGTATCTAATTACATATATTAATTATGTACATATATTTTCCACTCAGACCCATTCCTCACCCTTCTCCTGTTCTCTATTTCATATTTCACGTGTTTCACTCATTTCCCAGGCTCCCTTGCTAGCTGGCTTCTAGGGAGATTTGCCCAATGGGATGCACTGGTGGAAGAGAAAGGGTAAGAGAAAGGAAGAAGGCAAGATGTTTCTATCTCTGCCTCAGATGGCTTCTCTTTCATGGCTCTGGCCCAACAACCGTCTTCTGGTAGGCATGGCCAGCTTCTGAACCCTGGTAGTTCAATCTCTTCTCATTGCTCCTCCAGCTCTAGGAATAATTCAGCATCTTGCTATAGCTAATCTCTAGATTTCCTTTTTTTTCTTTTTTTTTTTTTTTTTTTTTTGAGATGGAGTTTCACTCTTGTTGCCCAGGCTGGTGTGCAGAGGCGCAGTCTCGGCTCACTGCAACCTCCGCCTCCCGGATTCAAGCAATTCTCCTGCCTCAGCCTCCTGAGTAGCTGGGATTACGGGCACGTGCCACCACAGCAGACTAATTTTGTATTTTTAGTAAAGATGGGGTTTCTCCATGTTGGTCAGGCTGGTCTCGAACTCCTGACCTCAGGTGATCTGCTTGCCTTGGCCTCCCAAAGTGCTGGGATTACAGGCGTGAGCCCACTGCTCCTGGCCCTCCTTTTTTTTTTTAAATTAATTTTCTTTTCCTTTTTTTCTTTTTCTATTTTTTGAGACAGAATCTGTCTGTGTTGCCCAGGCTAGAGTGCAGTGGTGCAATCTCTGTGTACTGCAACCTCTGCCTCCTGGGTTCAAGTGATTCTCATGCCTCAGCCTCCCGAGTAGCTGGGACTACAGGTGTGTGCCACCACTCCCAGCTAATTTTTGTATTTTTAGTAGAGATGGGGTTTTGCCATGTTGACCAGGCTGGTCTTAAACTCCTGACCTCAAGTTGTGTACCCTCCTTGGCCTTCCAAAAAGTTCTGGATTACTGGCATGAGCCACCACACCTGGCCAAAAAAATTTCTTTTTATACACAGATGGGGTCTCACTGTGTTGCCCAGGCTGGTTTCAAGATCCTGGGCTCAGGCAATTTTCCCACGCCGGCCTCCCAAAGTGTTGGGATTACAGCCATGAGCCACTGTGCCTGGCCCTAATCTCTGGATTTCCTCATCCTTCTCTATTTGGCTTCCCAGGACTTCCATTGTCTATGTAACCAATTCCCAGTATTAAATTCCATCCATTTGAAATGCCAGGTTTTTGTTTTCTTGAGTCAACTCTGGCCAAAAATAGAGGTTAGATTTTCTTTGAAAATGTTCTTGCTCGGCTGGGCACAGTGGCTCATGCCTGTAATCCCAGCACTTTGGGAGGCTGAGGCGGGCGGATCACGAGGTCAGGAGTTTGAGACCAGCCTGGCCAATATGGTGAAATCCCGTCTCTACTAAAGAATCAAAAGTTAGCTGGGCATGGTGGCATGCGCCTGTAGTCCCAGCTACTCGGGAGGCTGAGGCAGAAGAATCACTTGAACCCAGGAGGTAGAGGTTGCAGTGAGCCGAGATTATGCCGCTGCACTCCAGCCTGGGCGACAGAGGGAGATTCCGTCTCAAAAAAAAAAAAAAAAGAAAGAAAATGTCCTTGCTCAGATAACTTCAGAAACAACTACCATGGACAATTGCCTCAATCCTTCACTTTTACTTTGTGTGTACATTCATTTATTCTTTCTTGCATGCTGTATATTGGGCTCCTACCAGGTAGCAAGTGTTAGGTGCTAAGGATACAAAGCGGAACATTGCAGTAACAACAGTGATCAACATTTACTGAGTGCTTACTGTTTATGTTTTAAGTACTTTTACGTTATCATCTTGTATTAGTTATCGATTTCCGAGTAACAAATTACCCTAAAATGTAATGGTTTAATGACAAGCATTTATTACCTCAGCTTCTATGTGTAAGGAATTCTGGAGTGCTTTAGCAGGTTGGTTCTGGTTCAGGGTCTCTCAGGAGGTTGCCGTCAGGATGTCGGCAGGGATTGCTGGCATCTGAATGCCTGGCTGGGACTGGAGGGTCCCCGCCGACCTTTTTTTTTTTGAGATGGAATTTTGCTCTTGTTGCCCAGGCTGGAGTGCAATGGGGTGATCTTGGCTCACCGAAACCTCTGCCTCCCGGGTTCAAGCGGTTCTCCTGCCTCAGCCTCCTGAGTAGCTGGGATTACAGGTATGCGCCACCAGGCCTGGCTAATTTTGCATTTTTAGTAGAGACGGGGTTTCTTCATGTTGGTCAGGTCTGGAACTCCCGACCTCAGATGATCTGCGTGCCTTGGCCTCCCAAACGGCTGGGATTACAGGTGTGAGCCACTGCACCCAGCCTGGAAGGTCCACTTCTAAGAGGGACCCCCTCAAAGGGCTATTGGCAGGAGGCCTCAGCTCCTCACCACATGGGCCTCTCCATAGGCTGATTGACTGTCTTCACAGAAAGGCAGCTGACTTCCCCACAGCAAGTATTCCAAAGCCACAGTGACTTTTCTATCCTAATCTCAAAGACATTATCACTTCTGTAATATTCTATTTATTAGTCACTAAGTCCACAAATTCAGGTCCATATTTTGGGGGGAAAAGCACTGAAGAATTTGCAGACATATTTTAGAATCATCACATCTCATATAATTCTTACAACCACCCTAATTTTGCAACAATCCCCATTTTGCAGTTGAGGAAACGGAGAAACAGATGGTTACAAATTTTTTTATGACCTTTTATTTTTTATTTTAAGTTCCGGGATACATGTGCAGAACATGCAGGCTTGTTACATAGGTATACATGTGCCATGCTGGTTTGCTGCATCTATCAACCTGTCATCTAGGTTTTAAACCCTGCATGCATTAGGTATGTGTCCTAATGCTCTCCCTCCCCTTTCCCCACATCCCCCCGACAGGCCCTGGTGTGTGATGTTCCCCTCCCTATAATGGTTACAAAATTTATCCAATATCTCATAGCTAGCAAGTGATGAAATTGAGATTCCAAATGCAGACTGACCCTAGAAGTTGTGTTTTTAACCACAGTGCTATGCACTGGTACTCAGATGCCTGGCAGTTGTGAAGCTTCTACTCCAGTGGGGAGAATTACATTAGTAAGCAACCTTACACACACACACACACACACACACACACACAAACATACAAATTACAAACTTTTTTTTTTAGAGATGGAGTCTCACTACGTTGCCCAGATTGGTCTCAAACTCCTGGGTTCAAGCGATCCTCCTGCCTTGGCCTCCTAAAGTGCTGGGATTACAGGCGTGATACACCATGCCCTGCCACAAACTCTTTTTATTTTTATTTTTTATTGAGACGAAGCCTTGTTCTCTTGCTCAGGCTGGAGTGCAGTGGCATGATCTTGGCTCACTGCACCCTTCACCTCCTGGGTTCAAGCGATTCTCCTGTCTCAGTCTCCCAAGTAGTTGGGACTACAGGCACGCGCCACCACACCCAGCTAATTTTTATATTTTTAGTAGAGACGAGGTTCCAACATGTTGACCAGGCTGGCCTCGAACTCCTGACCTCAAGTGATCCGCTCACCTCAGCCTTCCAAAGTGTTGGGATTACAGGCATGAGCCACCGTGCCAGGCCAAACTCTTTAAATTCTATGAAGGAAAAGTAAAGGCAACTATGGGAGTGCATGGTTAGGAAACCAGATCTAATCTGTGGAAACAAGTTGCTATATTTTGACCCTATGGTTTACTCCATGGCTCCAAGTGCAGCTCTTTAAGGGGCTAGCAAGACCAGTAGTTTCCAATCTTGACTGTGCATTAGAATCATCTGGAAAACAGCTTTAAAAAAAATACCAGTGCCCAGGACATACCTCAGAGCAATTAAACAGCATCTTTTTTTTTTTTAAACAGGGTCTGGCTCTGTCACCCAGGTTGGAGTGCAGTGGCACCATCCTAGCCTACTGCCTGGCACCATCCTAGCCTGGAACTCCTGGGCTCAAGCAATCCTCCCACCTTAGTCTCCCGAGTAGCTAAGACTACAGGTGCATGCCACCACACTTGGCTAATTTTCATATTTTTTGCAGAGAGGGCCCCATTATGTTGCCCAGGCTGGTCTTGAACTCCTGGGCTCAAGTGATCCTCCCACTTCAACCTCCCAAAGTGCTGGGATTACAGGCATAAGCCATTGTGCCCAGCCATTTAAAGTAATTTTAAATGTCATGATTTGTGGAAGTTGTTTTTATTTGACAAGGGAAGGGTAGTGGTATTCCATTGTGGGAAATATTTTGTTTTTTGGTAGGGATCGGGTCCCGCTCTGTTGCCTAGGCTGGTCTCTATCTCCTGGCCTCAAGCAATTCTTTCAGCTTGGCCTCCCAAAGTGCTGGGATTACAGGTGTGAACCACTGCATCTGGTATAGAAGCCAATTTTTTTTTTTTTCGGATACGGAGTCTCGCTCTGTCGCCCAAGCTGGAGTGCAGTGGCGCGATCTCGGCTCACTGCAAGCTCCGCCTCCCGGGTTCCCGCCATTCTCCTGCCTCAGCCTCCCGAGTAGCCGGGACTACAGGCGCCCGCCACCTCGCCCGGCTAATTTTTTGTATTTTTAGTAGAGGCGGGGTTTCACCGTGTTAGCCAGGATGGTTTCGATCTCCTGACCTCGTGATCTGCCCGCGTCGGCCTCCCAAAGTGTTGGGATCACAGGCGTGAGCCACGGCGCCCAGCCCCAGAAACCAGTTTTTAATGAATGAGCTGACTCTAAACCCTCCTCGAAGCTAGAGGACCTCTTTCTTTTCTTTTCTTTTCTTTTCTTTTCTTTTTTTTAACTGGCTTCTCCCATTCCAGCTATCAGGAAGTAAAAACAACATCCCACTAGCAAATCAGTTACCAGGGCCCTAACTCCTGGGGCAGGGCTGCATGGCTTAAATGAAGCTGAAGATAAAAATTCTCTTTTCATGTCTGACATTGAATCTTTCTGATTTTTCTTCTCTCTGCAACCCATATAGGGTCTATGGAACCATTCTACTTCCAGGGCTCTGCAGGGTTATTCCACTTCCACAAGGAAAGCAAAGGACCATCTTGGAACTGATCTCACCCCTGGCAGGCTGCTTGCTTGTTACTCAGACTGTGATTTCCTAGATAGCTGGAACCAAGTATGACTTATTTTTGAATATCCAAATCTTTTTTTTTTTTTTTTTTGAGATGGAGTCTCACTCTGTTGCCCAGGCTGGAAGGCAGTGGTGCAATCTCTGCTCACTGCAACCTCTGTTTCCCGTGTTCAGGCAATTCCGCCTCAGCCTCCTGAGTAGCTGGGACTACAGGCATACGCCACCATGCCCAGCTAATTTTTGTATTTTTAGTAGAGACAAGGTTTCGCCATGTTGACCAGGCTGGTCTCGAGCTCCTGACCTCAGGTGAGCCACCCGCTTGGCCTCCCAAAGTGCTGGGATTACAGGCGTGAGCCACCGTGCCCGGCCCGAATATCCAAAACTTAACACAGGGCCTTACACATGTCAGGTGCTCAAAAATATTTATTGCATTGAATTGATGCATTTATTGCATTTTCAAAGTTTGAAGGCAGTGATTCATTCAGCTGGTGTAACACAGAATCAAAGATGTCAACGGAAGGATATAACATTTGTTCAAAAAAAAAAACTGTTCAGTACCTTTTAGACAACTATGTTACAATGGATGGGAATTAATGCAAGTCTGTGACCATTGCCTGAAAAAAAAAAAAACACTCAAAACCTACATCTTGCTGATGGCACAAGAGAAGCAACTACTTTTCATGAACTGTCACAGTCTTCTAACTGCTCTCCAGCTTCCAGTCTTATCCTCCAACCCTACATCCATCTACTCTCTTGGCCAAAGTAAGCTATGATACTTTAAAAATATAAACCTGATTAAGTCTCAGGTAAAAAAGAGAAATAAATAAAAATATAAATCTGGGCTAGGCATAGTGGCTCATGCCTGTAATCGCAGCATTTTGGGGGGCCGAAGCGGGTGGGCTGCTTGAGTTCAGCAGTTTGAGACCAGCCTGGGCAATATAGTGAAACCTTGTCTCTACAAAAAATACAAAAATTAGCCAGGTGTTGTGGCTCACAGCTGTAGTCCCAGCTACTTGGGAGGCTGAGGTGGGAGGATCACCTGAGCCTAGGAGGCGGAGGTTGCAGTGAGCCAAGATTGGGCTGTGCACTCCAACCTGGGTGACAAAGAAAGACCCTGTCTCAAAAAAAAAAAAAAAAGGAAGAAGAAGAAAAATACAAACCTGATTATATCACTCCCTTGGCAAAAATCTTCATAGCTGGGAAGCCCATAAGGCCTGTGTGATCTGTCCTTTGCCACCTCTCCAGCTCCATTCTGTCCTAGGGCTTCTGCAATTGCTGTTCCCTCTACTTGTATCTCCTACTCCAGGCTATTTGCATGGCTGGCTCCTTTATAGCTTCTAGGTCTCTGCTTAAATGTTGCTCCTCAGAAAGGCCTTCCCATAATACTGTTCTGTGTTTTCTTAGATTGTGTTTTTATCTATTTGGCATCCATTAATCACAGGGCCAAACAAAGTGGTTTACATCTTCTCTGTAATCCGCTTTCACAGACACACACAGACACACACACACACAAATTACATAACAAACCCTCCACCCAGGCCAGGTGTGGGGGCTCACACCTGTGATACTAACACTTTGGGAGGCTGAGGCAGGAGGATTAACTTGAGATCATTTAAAACCAAGGGTTCAAGACCAGCCTGGACAACACAGCAAGACCCTCTCTCTAACAAACAAACAAACACTTCAACCAATCCAAATCCCCAACCACCTTCTTTCTCTAACTCTCGGACACCAGGCAAATATTTTCCACTCCCTAAACCAGCCCAGGGCCAGGTTCTAGACAACTAGAGACCACCCCTGTAGCTCAGAGCTCATTGACATTATTCAAACTAAACAATGCTAAGCTGTTTAGTCTTCCCTGCCTTGCCTTGCCTTGGAAAACATGATAAAGTCTCTCCCCTCCTTTCTGTTTCTCTCTCCCGACAAAACCTAGTGCTTCCCCATGTGGCTCTGCATGGTGGCATGTCCCCTTCTCTCAGGAACTGTTAGTAATAAATTCTTCTTTCAGTGGCATTAGCCTGTCCCCCATGTTGTCACCAGTCACCTTTATAAATTAAGACATGAGGGCCAAGTGCAGTGCCTCACACTTGTAGTCTCAGCACTTTGGGAAGCTGAAGGGAGGATCACTTGATGCCTGAATTCAAGACCAGCCTGGGCAACACAGCAAGACCCCATACACACACACGCGCACACACACACACACACACACACACACACACACACACTAAATAAAGATCTGGGTCGGGCATGGTGGCATGCATCTTGTAATCCCAGCTACTTGGGAGGTTGAGGCAAGAGGATTGCATGAGCCCAGGAGTTCAAGGCTGTAGTGTGCTATGATTGCTCCTGTGAATAGTGACTGCACTCTAGCCTGGACAACATACTGAGACCCTGTCTCTAAAAATTAATTCAGGTCTAGGCACAAATCAAACACCCAGCCTACCGTGACATCACTTAGTTGCTCATTACTTCTGCTTATTTTTCTCAAAGCATGTCTCTCAGTGTGACATTTCCGTATCTATTTATTTACTTGTTTATTATCTGTGTCCCTAAAATTTAATATAGGTGACAGGAAAGCAAGAACCTCCTTTTATCTATCTTGATCACTATTTTTTTTTTTTTAATTTGAGAGAGGGTCTTGCTTTGTTGCCCAGGCTGGAGTACAGTGGCGTGATTATGACACACTGCAGCCTCGACCTCACAGGCTCAAGCATATCTCAATCACTCTTGTATCCCCAGTATTTGGCTGACAATAGGCACTCAATATTTATTAAATGATTGAAAAAATACATAGAAAAAGTACAGTAAGGGAAGTGTTAGATACTACAGGCAGAACAGTGGTGACAGATTATAAAATAGAACATTTTTTAAAAAGACTTTACAATTACAAAATGGCTGTTATATAAATAACATTCCCCAAAAAGCTTGGACTATTATTTTTCCATATTCATGTCTTTTCATTTTTAAATAGTTCTATGGGGTGGAGGTGGGGGGGCGGTAAACACAATGATATTTACTTTGGAAACACAGACATGAAAATTACTTTTATTGTACATGCTGAGAGTAGAAATATGACCCCTGTGCAATGCAAGATTTTCCCTAAAGCTGAAAATGGACAAGACATTGGCATTCCCATCTATTATAACTGGACCAGAACTTCAATCACCAGCTGAAAAAATAAACACAGGGTCAGCAGGCATTTGCCCTGCACCCGGAGTGCATTCCAAAGTGAGAACCATGTGCAAATGACCTAAAGATCTAATGCCTCCTGATTTCAAATTAATAGTTATGCAATAACATAGGGTAGAGGGGGCCATGGCAGTGTGTCCTTGAAATTGATGCCCATGTGAGAGAAGGCTCAGGAGATAGGGGAATCACATTTTGGCCAAAAGAAAACTATATAAAATTTCCTACTTCTTCATTTCCAATGATCAAACCATTCGGGCCACTAGAAGACAGATGGTTTTGCTGTAGGTGGGATGAAACAGCAGGTCCCAGGGTTTGCAACAGTTGCCTGGCTTTGACAAGAAGCATAACGGGGCAGGTGCTGTGGTTTGCGCCTGTAATCCCAGTGCTTTGGGAGCCCAAGACAGGCAGATCAGTTGAGTCCAGGCGTTCAAGAGCAGCCTGGGCAACATGGTGAAACCCCATCTCTATAAAAATACAAAAATTAGCCAGGCGTGGTGCTGTGTGCCTGTAATCCCAGTTACTTTGGGGGCTGAAGCATGAGAATTGCTTGAACCTGGGAGGTGGGGGTTGCAGTGAGCCTAGATTGCACCACTTCACTCCAGCTTGGGCGACAGAGCAAGACCTTGTCTCAAAAAATAAATAGATAAAATAAAATAAAATAAAATGAAGCATAACAGGATATGTGGAGGGCCAGTCTCAATGTCTCCTGGATTGTTATTCAAGGTGAAGCGAGAGTTGTCCTGATTGGGTGTGCTGTGTAAGGAAGCCTGACATAAAGCAAACCTGGGAAGGACCAGAGACCTCTGTATTGACCTCTACAGTGCATACAAAAGACAGAAAGCCAGTTATGTACTCTGCTTGGTTTAGGGATTATACAGAGGTGTAAGCCATATCTTCATAATTTTCCCAACCCCACCTGTCTCAGATGATCTTGTTTTTTTCCTTCTTTATCTTAAATTTGATTTGATGGTAGAATACCACAGAGATGGTTGTTACCTCAAGTATACAGTAGTAGCATACTTTTATCTGCCATATCACCTTTTTTTGGTTATTTCAATGTGTCATGATTCCTATTCTGGTTTCTATTGCTGTATATGAAATGACTTCAAATTTAGTGGTGTAAAAAAATAACTCTCTTTTTATACTCAAACCATGTGGGTTAGGAATTTGCGCAGGGCACAGAGGAGATATCTTGCCTCCGCTCCATGGTGTCGTGTCTGGGGCCTCAGCTGGAAAGACTCAAACGCTGGAGGTGACTTGACTGGCTGGGAGTTGTGATAGTCTGAAAGTTTCATGACTCATCTGCACACAGGCTGACCTCAGCTGGAACTGTTACCAGAGCACCTACTTACAGCTTCTCCATGTGGCCTGAGGGCTTCTTTACAACATGGTTCTTCCAGCTTCCACCTGCCACCTAGTCCCAAAGCTAATGCCACATGTTTTAGGCTTTTCTTACAGCAACGTCCCATTTCCAGGTAGTAACATTATGATTGGTGCATCACAAACCACCTCAAAGTTAGTAGTATAAAGCAATACCCATTCTATTTAACTTATATGAATAGAGTGCAACAGGGAGGGTTTGTCACTGCTCCACAGTGTTTGAGTCCTCAGAGGAGAAGACTCGAACACAAAGAATGAGTCATTTGGCTGGGGGATGAAGTCATCTGGAGGCTTCTCCATTATGTATCCAGTGCCTGGACCAGAATGTCTCAGACAATAGGCTCAGCTTGGTCTGTAATTGGAGCACCCACATGTGGTTTGGGCTTCTCACAGAAAGGCTGCTGGTCTGAGATGGAGCCTCTTGAGAGCAAGCTTTCCAATAGAACGAGCTAGAAGCTTCCTGGCCTTTTCTGACCTATTGCCAGAAGTCATGCAGCATCTGGCTGGGCGCAGTGGCTCACATCTGTAATCCCAGCACTTTGGGAGGCCGAGGCAGGTGGATCACCTGAGGTCAGGAGTTCGAGACCAGCCTGGCCAACACGGTGAAACCCTGTCTCTACTAAAAATACAATACAAAAATTAGCCAGGTGTGGTGGTGCACACCTGTAGTTCTGGCTATTTGGGAGGCTGAAGCAGGAGAATTGCTTGAACTCTGGGGGTGGAGGTTGCAGTGAGCTGAGATCTCGTCACTGCACTCCAGCCTGGGCTACAGAGCAAGATTTCATCTCACACACACAAAAACACACACACACAAAGGCACGCAGCATCATTCACCACTTTCTGCTTTAAACTTAATCCATATCCTGAGGGCTGTAGAATTACCCAACTAATATAAATTTGGTATGCAAATCTACACTAGGAATGCTTTGCAGTTACAACTTTTGGGACAGTTCCCCCTACTGCTCAGCTCAGCAACTTTCCTTACTGTCCACGGTGGGCAGGGGTGGGGATGGGTTTACTTTGGGTCCAGTCTTTTTTTTTGTTTTCTTTGAGTTGGAGTCTCACTCTTGTTACCCAGGCTGGAGACGGAATGCAATGGTGTGATCTTGGGTTGCTGCAACCTCCATCTCCTGGGTTCAAGTGATTCTCCTGCCTCAGTCTCCCAAGTAGCTGGGATTACAGGTGCCTGCCACCATGCCCAGCTAATTTTTGTATTTTTAGTAGAGATGGGGATTTCACCATGTTGGCCAGGCATGCCAGGATGGTCTTGAACTCCTCACCTCAGGTGCTCCACCCGCCTCAGCTTCCCAAAGTGCTGGGATTACAGGTGTGAGCTGCCGCTCCCGGCCATGGTCCAGTCTTTATGAGGGCAGCATCTCCTATTAGTCTCCCATATTGGATGGGTCCTGAACTTTGTCTTCCATGAAAACTGAAGTTCAAGTTTGCCAAGTTTGGAAAGTAGCTTCAATACTCCACTTAGGGTTCATGCCTTCTCTTAGATTTTAGCATGATGCTTTCCTTACTATATTGCAAACTGCTTTTTAAAAAAGATGCTTTTGATATTTAAAACAGTAATTAGTTGTTGTTTTCAACAAGAGGGTCAGTGTAGCTTGCTGTATTACTGGAAATAGAAGTCCTTATCTCAATAAATTGTACCTTCAATCACTTGGTTGTTCGCTTCAGGAACATCGGAGTCCGTTTTTTGTTTTGTTTTGTTTTTGTTTTTGTTTTTTTTGAGACAGGGGTCTCACTCTGTTGCCCAGGCTGGAGTGCAGTGGTGTGATTATAGCTCACTGCAGCCTTGATCTCCTGGGCCGAAGCGATCCTTCCATTTCACTTTCCCAAGTAGCTGGGACTACAGGTATGTGCCACCATGCCCAGATAATTTTGCTTATTTTTTTAGAGATGAGGTCTCATTATGTTGCTCAGGCAGCAGAGTCTTTTTTTTTTTTTTTAAAAAAAACAGCTTTTTGAAGTATAATTCAGGCCCGGCATGGTGACCAACATTTTGGGCAGCCCAGGCAGGAGGATTGCTTGAGCTCAGGAGCTGAAGACCAGCCTGGGCAATATGGTGAAAATTGATCTTTACAAAAAAAAAAATTACAAAAATTAGCCAGGTGTAGTGGCATGTGTCTGTAGTCCTAGCTACTTAGAAGGATGAGGACTGATTGAGTCCAGGAGGTCGAGGCTACAGCGAGCTGTGATCATGCCACTACACTCCAACCTGGGCAACAGAATGAGACCTTGGTTCGAAACAAAAACAAAAACAAAATATACGCCAGGCACAGTGGCTTACGCCTGTAATATCAGCATTTGGGAGGCCAAGGTGGGCGGATCACTTGAGGTCAGGAATTCAAGACCAGTCTGGCCAACATGGTGAAACCCCCTCTCTACTAAAAAATATAAAAATTGGCTGAGTGTGGTGGTGCGTGCCTATAATCCCAGCTACTCCGGAGGCTGAGGTGGGAGAATTGCTCGAACCTGGGAGGCAGAGGTTGCAGTGAGCCGAGATGGTGCCATAGCACACCAGCCTGTGCGACAGAGTGAGACTCCATCTCTCTCTCTCTCTCTCACACACACACACACACACACCAAAAAAAAAAAAACAAAAAAACACAAAATAAATAAATAAATAAAACCTCCCAAAATAAATTAACATACCATACAGTTCACCCATTTAAAGTACGCAATTTGGCGGGGCACGGTGGCTCATGCCTGTAATCCCAGCACTTTGGGAGGCCTAGGCAGGTGGGTCACTTGAGGTCAGGAGTTTGAGACCAGCCTGGCCAACATGGTAAGACCCCGTCTCTACTAAAAATACAAAAATTAGCTGGGCGTGGTGGCAGCAGGCACCTGTAATCCCAGCTACTTGGGAGGCTGAGGCAGGAGAATCACTTGAACCCTGAAGGTAGAGGTTTCAGTGAGCCGAGATCATGCCATTGCACTCCAGCCTGGGCGACAAGGGTAAAACTCCATCTAAAAAAAAAAAAAATTAGCTGGGCGTGGTGGTATGCACCTATAATCCCAGTTACTCGGGAGGCTGAGGCAGGAGAATACCTTGAAGCCGGGAGGTGGAGGTTGCAAGATCTTACCACTGCATTCTGGCCTGGGTGACAGAGCAAGACGCTGTCTCAAAAAGTAATAAAATAAAATAAAATAAAATAAAATAAAATAAAATAAAATAAAATAAAATAAAATAAAATAAGATAATAAAGTATGCAATTTGGCTGGGTGCAGTGGCTCATTCCTGTAATTCTAGCACTTTGACAGCCCAGGAGTTTGAGACCAGCTTGGGCGAGATGGTGAAACTTTGTCTCTATTAAAAATAAAAAAAATTAGCCAGACATGGTGGCATGTGCCTGTAGTCCCAGCCACTCAGGAAGCTGAAGTGGGAAGATCCCTTGAGCCTGGGAGATTGAGGCTGAAGTGAGCTTAGATTGCACCACTGCTCTCCAGCCTGGATGACAGAGCAGGACCCTGTCCTAAATAAATAAATAAATAAATGGAATAAAAAATAAAGCACACAATTCAATAGCTTTTAGAATATTTGCAGAGTTATGCACCCATTGCCACCATCAATTTTATAACATTTTATTATCCCAAAGAGAAACCCTTATCCACTATCCACCAATCTACTGATCATTCCCTCAGCCCTAGGCAACCATTAATCTACTTTCTGTCGCTATAGATTTGCCTATTCTGAACATTTCATATGAAGGGAATCACACACTATGTAGTCCTTTGTGATGGCTTCACTTAGCATCAGGTTTTCAAGGTTCATCCATGTTGAGTCTAGATACCTCCATTTCTCTCATCAAGTTATTATGCTCCAGCCTTACTGAAGCAGCCATGCTCTTTTTCTCACATCAGCATCTTTGGAAATGTTCTCCCCACAGGCACTGTTGATTGGCTCAGCCAATATTCATTGCAACCTTCTTCTAGTATGTCCTGCGCTATGGCCAAAACTGGAACACTAACCAGACATTTCCCAGAGCTCCTTTCAGCTAGATGAAAAATAGAACATAAGTTCTGCCAAGCAGATGCTCCCATTTGAGATTTGAATTCACAATTGAGTAAAATTGGGTAGAGGAGTCATCTGCATCATCGGCATGAATTGTAGAAGAGGAGGCAATGTGCTCCTGGTCAGCAACTTCCTGTGGGGCAGCTATGATGTTCACCCACAGAAGAAGCTGTAGGATTCTGGGGTTGATGATTGTTCCTAGAAGCTCCACCTCAAACCTGCTTCTCCAGCTCATCAAATGTTAATTTTGTACACCTGCTAATATCTGATCATAAGTGCATTTTATTGTCCTTGGAAGAGACTTTAAGAGCCTCTGTGGTTTGTTCTCTTCCCGAACTCCAACGAAATGAAATTCTTGTCATTCAAGATCGGTGACTGGGCCAAGCATGGTGGCTCACGCCTATAATCCCAGCACTTTGGGTGGTCAAGGTGGGTGGATCACTTGAGGTCAGGAGTTCGAGACCAGCCTGGCCAACATGGTGAAACCCCGTCTCTACTGAAAATACAAAAATTAGTCAGGCGTGGTGGCGCATACCTGTAATCCCAGCTACTTGGGAGGCAGAGGCACTAGAATTTCTTGAACCTGTGAGGTGGAGGTTGCAGTGAGCTGAGATCACGTCACTGCAGTCCAGCCTGGGTGAAAGAGTGAGACTCTGTCTCAAAAAAAAAAAAAAAAAAAAATCGGTGACTAGCTAGTTGTTCTGTTTTAAAAGATCTCCAGAGACTGAAATCTTGAAATCTTGAAATCCCCTGTCCTAAGTTACAAGGTCTCCCTCACAGTCAAGTAGCTTTTCTTCATATCAAAGCAAACACTTTAGAGCAGTGCTGTTCAATAGAAATAGGATCCAGGCCACATAGGGAATTCCAGATTTTCCAGTAGCCATATTTAAAAAGTAGAAAGGAAATTAGTGAAATTAATTTTAACGATATATTTTATTTAACCCAATATGCCCCAAATTTTATTGTGTCAACAAGTAATCAATATAAAAAGCAGGCTGGGCCGGGCACAGTGGCTCACGCTTGTAATCCTAGCACTTTGGGAGGCCGAGATGGGCGGATCACGAGGTCAGGAGATCGAGACCATCCTGGCTAACACAGTGAAACCCTGTCTCTACTAAAAACACAAAAAATTAGCTGGGCGTGGTGGCAGGCGCCTATAGTCCCAGCTACTCGGAGGCTGAGGCAGGAGAATGGCATGTACCCGGGAGGCAGAGCTTGCAGTGAGCCGAGATTGTGCCACTGCACTCCAGCCTGGGCGACAGAGCCAGACTCTGCCTCAAAAAAAAAAAAAAAAAAAAAAAAAAAAGTAGGATGGGTGCGGCAGCTCACCGTAATCCCAGCACTTTGGGAGTCTGAGCAGGGAGGATCGCTTGAAGCCAGGAGTTCAAGATCAGTCTGGCGAAACAGCAAGACCCCATCTCTGCAAAACTAAAAAATAAATTAGCCAGGTGTGGTGGTGCACCTCTGTGGCCCCAGCTACTCCAGGGACTAAGGTGGGAGGATTACTTGAGTTGAGGAGGTCGAGGCTACAGTAAGCTGTGATTGTATCACTGCATCCCAGCCTGGGCCATAGAGCAAGACTCCATCTCTAAGAAAAAATTAAAAACAAAAAAGTAAAAAGTTATTAACACGAACTTTTTGAAATCCAGTGTGTATTTTATACTTGCAGTTCATCTCAGCTTGGACCAGCCACATTTCAAGTGCTTAACAGCCACATGTGGCACGTAGCCACCTATATTAGACAGAGTAGCTTTAGAGCCATTTAATACCCCTCCCCTTGGTTTCCCTTGGAAACCAACAGAATAGATCCCTTATGATAAACTTTCAGATAAAAGACAAGGATCGAGTCACTCTCTCATCCTGAACCACCTTTGCTCTTGCTCACTACACCACACAGGGTCTTCTTTCAGTTCCTTAACTGTGTCCAGCTCTTTGCTGCCCCAGGGCATGGGCACCTGCTGTCCCCCACACCCAGAATGTTCTCCCCTTTTATTCTCCCCCAGCGAACTCCAGCGTAGCCTTCAGTTTTGGCTGAGGAGTTGCTTCCTCAGAGCTCTTCCTGACCAGTGTCCCACTCACTACCCATCTGAATTTGATTTTTCTGTTATTCTTGCCCACCACAGCACATATTTATTCTCCATAACTCTCTGCACAATTTGTATGAAGTAACTTTTCATGTGATTGCTTGATGTCTATCTCCCTACCAGACTGCAGGCTCCCTGGGGGCAGGAACCCTGTTTAATTGACTCATTGCAGTATCCCCAGCACCTGGCATGGTTCATGGCAGTAGCAAGCATTCCAGGACTTTTGCTGAATAAATAGAAGTGCAATATGACTTTTCTTTCTTTTATTTTCTTTCTTTTCTTTTTTTTTCTTTTTCTTTCTTTCTTTTTTTTTTTTTTTTTTCTGAGACCGAGTCTTGCTCTCTTGCCCAGGCTGGAGTGCAGTGGCAAAATTTCAGCTCACTGCAACCTCTGCTTCCTGGATTCAAGCAATTCTCCTGCCTCAGCTTCCCAAGTAGCTGGGATTACAGGTGCACACCACCACGCCAGGCTAATTTTTCTATTTTTAGTAGAGATAGGGTTTCCTATGTTGGCCAGGCTGGTCTCGAACTCCTGACCTCAGGTGATCTGCCTGCCTCGGCCTCCCAAACTGCTGGGATTACAGGTGTAAGCCACCATGCACCTGGCCAGTATGACTTTTTTTTTTTTTTGAGACAGAGTCTCGCTCTCTCCCCCAGGCTGGAGTGCAGTGGTGCGATCTCAGCTCACTGCAAGCTCCGCCTCCCGGGTTCACACCATTCTCCTGCCTCAGCCTCCCGAGTAGCTGGGATTACAGGCGCCCACCACCACTCCCGGCTAATTTTTTGTACTTTTAGTAGAGACGGGGTTTCACTGTGTTAGCCAGGATGGTCTCGATCTCCTGACCTTGTCTGCCCGCCTTGTCCGAACTTGTCTGCCTGATCCGCCTGCCTCAGCTTCCCAAAGTGCTAGGATTACAGGCATGAGCCACCATGCCCGGCCCAGTGTGACTTTTAAAGCTTGTGTTGGACATGGGATGTGGTTGGCCCTTCCTCTTCTGACCTCCTACCCCTCCACTGGCAGGAAGTTCAGCACATATTTGGAACTCCATGAAAACAGCTGGGACCAGGGCAAGCGCCTTCAGTCCTACTTCGGAATGCAGCAACTCCCTGTAAAAATCACAGGAAAAAGCTGAATTATGAGTTTGTTGTTGTTGCTTGGCTTCTTTTCTTTTTTTTTGAATTATGAATTTTAATATTGCTGATAACACTCACAGTAGGTTAAGGTGTGTCCATTGAATGAACATAAGGCTTTTTAATGTTAATAATAATAAAGATTCACTGGGCGCGGTGCCTCACACCTTTAATCCCAGCACTTTGGGAAGCTGAGGTGGGCGGATCACCTGAGGTCAGGAGTTTGAGACCTGCCTGGCCAACGTGGTGAAATCCTGTCTCTACTAAAATACAAAAAGTAGCCAGGTGTGGTGGCGCACACCTGTAATCCCCACTACTCGGGAGGCTGAGGCAGCAGAATCACTTGAACCAGGGAGGTGGAGGTTGCAGTCAGTCGACATTGCGCCACTCCACTCCAGCCTGGGAGACAGAGCAAGACTTCATCTCAAAAAAAAAAAATTAAAAATAAAGACTCACAGAAAAGGGAAGGCTAGTTTTGTTTTTGTTTTGTGAGACTCTTGCCCAGTCTGAAGTGTAGTGGTGCAATCATGGCTCACTGCAGCCTTGATCTCCTGGGCTCAAGCAATCCTCCCATCTCAGCCTCCTGAGTAGCTGGGACTGCAGGTGCATGCCACCACACTCAGTTAATTTTTCTTTTTTCTTTTTTTTTTGTAGAGATGAGATCTCACCATGTTTCCCAGGCTGGTCTCCAACACCTGGGCTCAAGCAATCTTTTTTTTTTTTTAGATGGAATTTCGCTCTTGTTGCCCAGGCTGGAGTACAATGGCGTGGACTCAGCTCACCACAGACTCCGCCTCCTGGGTTCGAGCAATTCTCCTGCCTCAGCCTCCCAAGTAGCTGGGATTACAGACATGTGCCACCACGCCCGACTAATTTTGTATTTTTAATAGAGATGGGGTTTCTCTGTATTGGTCAGGCTGGTCGCGAACTCCCAACCTCAGGTGACCCACCCGCCTCGACCTCCCAGTGTGCTGGGATTACAGGCGTGAGCCACCGCGCCCGGCCACAAGCAATCTTCTTGCTTTGGCCTTTCAATGTGTTGGGATTACAGGCGTGAGCCACCGTGCCCAGTGGCAAAGCTAGTTGAATGAAGAGGGCAAAGAAGCCAGCCTTCTGGTCGGGAGTTGTTGATGATCTGATATGAGGCCCCTCCTCACTTTCTCTCCACCCCCTGCCTCCCTTCCTGTGCCCAAACTTGTTATTTATTCAGGCCAACCATAGTAGCCTGCAATAGCACCCAGCTTCCTTTCTTCGCTCCTTCTTTCTTTTCTTCCATCCTTCTTTCCCTCCTTCCTTTTCTTTTTCTTTCTTGCTCTCTTTCCCCCACTTTTTCTTTTTTTTTCGACAGGGTCTTGCTCTGTCACCCAGGTTGGAGAAGAGTGACACTATCACAGTTCACTACAGCCTGGACGTCCTGGGCTCAAGCTATCCTCCCACCCCAGCTTCATGAGTATCTGGGATTATAGGCATGTGCCACCACACCCAGCCTGAACCCAGCTTTTAAAAGAGATGTCAAAATATACTAAACATATTTAATGGTCTCCCACAGTACTTTTTTTTTTTTTTTTGAGACGGAGTCTTGCTTTGTTGCCCAGGCTGGAGTGCAGTGGCTCCATCTTGGCTCACTGCAACCTCCGCCTCCTGGGTTCAAGAAATTCTAGTGCCTCAGCCTCCTGAGTAGCTAGGATTACAAGTGCGTGCCACCTCGATGGCTAATTTTTGTATTTTTAGTAGAGATGGGTTTCACCATGTTGGTCAGGCTGGTCTTGAACTCCTGACCTCAAGTGATCCGCCCGCCTTGGCCGCCCAAAGTTCTGGGATTACAGGCGTGAGCCACCGCGCCCAGTCTCTCATGGTACTTTTTGCTAGACAGTAATGATCTGTTCCTGGTGAGCTCCCTGTCCTTTTAAGTCACAGCTGACTCACCAGGGCATGTTGTCAATCTTTAGGCTAACCAATGACCTTTGCCCTGTGCCTGGTGCAATAGCTTCTGCCAGTTTGAAGTGGAGGCGGGGTGAGGAGTAGGGGAGAATGATGCAGATGTGTATTCATGGCATATTAATGGAAGAGCATCAGGAGGAAAGCCCACAGAGCCCTGCAGTTGAAAGCCCCTCAGCAGCTTTGAGCCCAACACCACCCCCTACTCCAGCCATAGGAAGCTCAGGGACAGCTCCTCTTGGATTAATTTGAGAGCCTCTTTATTATGCCTTACAATAAAACTTCTTTATGTTAGCTAACTGCAGTGAACCTCAATTCCTTACAACCAAAAGAGTCTAGAGTAAAATGGTCTATAAGTTCTAAAACACCAAATATAATGGACACATTTTATGTTTCCAGCCCGCAACTTCCTTCTCTGAGAACTGCCCCACTTGAAGGTATGAACACCACCAAAAGCTACAGGCAAACAAAAAAAGCACTGTCAATATCCATTCATCTAACAAATACCTATTGAATGCCTACTATATCTATATACCAAAATTAGAGTAGTTTCAACTATATGTGTGAGTCCAAATTTGTGGGGGTGGCTATAGCCTCCAATCATTATTTATAAAAAAATTTTTTTTTTTTGAGACAGAGTCTCCCTCTGTCTCCAGGCTGGAATGCAGTGGCGCGATCTCCGCTCACTGCAACCTCTGCCTCCTGGGGTTAAGCGGTTCTCCTGCCTTAGCCTCCCAAGTAGCTGGGATTACAGGCGTGCACAACCATACCCAACTAATCTTTGTATTTTTAGTAGAGACAGGGTTTCACCATGTTGGCCAGGATGGTCTCAATCTCCTGACCTCGTGATCCACCCACCTCAGCCTCCCAAAGTGCTGGGATTACAGGCGTGAGCCACCGTGCCTGGCCTATAACCATGATTTTACAGAAAAATTTGTTTTACATCTCTCTGCCCAAATTGTCTTCCAATTAATATTTGGCCTAGCTGGTATGCAAGCTAAAGATTGCTTGCGGGGAACGCAGGTAGCACAGTGTGTATCTCACTTGAGAAAAAGCTGCTGACTTTCATTATTGCTTCCTGAACAAAGTCGGGGAAGGGACCAAGAACGTGAGAGGTGATGTTTTAAAATGCAGCTGTATGTAAGGCATCCACAGGAAAGTAAACAGTGCAGTACTA
This sequence comes from Homo sapiens, assembly GCF_000001405.40. Classification (NCBI taxonomy): domain Eukaryota; kingdom Metazoa; phylum Chordata; class Mammalia; order Primates; family Hominidae; genus Homo; species Homo sapiens. Next base: position 61,631,108 of record NC_000002.12, read on the forward strand.
GTGGAGTATGTTTACTGAAACAGGTGGCAGAGACACCTGGAAAGTCTCTGAAATGAGTCATTGGTAATTTATATTTTATTTCTTTGATATATATTTTTTGAGACAAGGTCTTGCTCTGTTGCCTAGGCTGGAGTGCAGTGGCAGGATCACGGCTCATTCACTGCATCCTCCACCTCCCAGGCTCAAGTGATCCTCCTGCTTCAGTCTCGGGAATAGCTGTGACTACAGGCGTGCACCACCACGCCTGGCTAACTCTTCTGTTTTTTTGTAGAGACAGGGTTTTCTCCATGTTGCTCAGGCTGGTCTTGAACACTTGGGCTCAAGAGATTCTCCCACCTGGGCCTCAAAAAGTGCTGGGATTACAGGTGTGAGCCATCATGTCCAGTCCAGGCATTGGTGATTCATAACATTGAATCAGTTATCTGCTTTACACACTCTTTAAGTTAGGTAGGTTTTGTCAGACTTACATATATTGAGTAATACTTGCACTCAAAATTAAATTCATTCAAATAAAGACCATGGAAGAAAAAATAATTAGGTTTTCATCCAGTGGGAAAAAACTCTATACAAGAGTGATTCTTTACCTTTTTGAGTATGAGAATTCCAGATCTTTATGATTTCAAAAGTAATAATGTTCATTAAAAAAATTTAAACATTATAGAAAAGTATTCATTCATTCAGTAACTATTTATTTAGCACCTACTACCTATAAGACCCTGGACTAAGCCCTAGAGATGTAATAGTGAGCATAAAATAGATAATCTCCTATAAGCTCACCTTCTGGAAAAAGCATTATTAATAGTCTGGTGAAGTTTGTTCTAGACCTTGCACATGTCTGGATTCTAATTCAGGATGATAAGTCTGTGGCCCTGACCCTCCTTCTGAGGGTCCTAAGATAGGAACCACTGCTCTAGAGGTGTTAGATGAAATGTTTGGCTTCACAGACTTCTGCCTCTGCACTACATGTCACTGATAGTCAAGAACCTCCATGAGGCCAGGTGCAGTGGCTCATGTCTGTAATCCCAGCACTTTGGGAGGCCGAGGTAGGAGGATGGCTTGAGTCCAGGAGTTGGAGACCAGCCTGGGCAAGATAGTGAGACTCTGTCTCTACAAAAAATTCGCCCCACTAATTTTTTAATAATTCACATGGTGAAATGTGCTTGTAGTCCTAGCTACTTGGAAGGCTAAGGTGGAAGGGTTGCTTGAGCTCAGGAGTTTGAGGCTGCAGTGAGCTCTAATCACACCACTGTATTCCAGCCTGGGCAACAGAGCGAGACCCTGTCTCAAAAGAAAAACAACAGCAAAAGAATCTGCATGACTACCCTTGAGAAAAGTCTCTTGCAGTGGAATTCAAGGCCATGCCACAACAGACTTTGGCACCACGCCTCTTCCTGATGGGAGCCGTCTTCGTAAGAGGCCGTACAAAAGCAAGGGAGGACAAATGTTTCCTGCTGTCCCTTTAATCAGATGGTGGAGAATGGGGAAAATATCCTGTTTCAGATCCAGGGCAGCCAACAGGTATTTGATCACTTACTTCAGGGGTCCCCAACCACCACTGCAGACCGGTACCCGTGAGTAGCCTGTTAGGAACCGGCTGCACAGCAGGAGGTGAGAGGTGGGCAAGTGCTGGGCAAGTAAGCATTACCGCCTGAGCTCCTCTTCCTGTCAGGTCAGCATGGCATTCGATTCTCATAGGACCGCTAACCCTATTGTGAACTGTGCATGCGAGGGATCTCTGTGCATTCCTTTTAAGAATTTAATGCGTGAGAATAGTTTCATACCGAAACCACTTCCCACCCCATCCAGGAAAAATTGTCTTCCACGAAATCTGTCCCTGGTGCCAAAAAGGTTGGGGACTGCTGACTTAGCATCTTGGAGCCTTAGTCCAGGAAAGATTAAATGTTGAGATGAACATTCCAGTTATATTTGAAGAGAGAGGCGGTTTCATGTTGCTCTTAGGAGGAAATTACTGGAGCAGGTACACACCCACATAGTTTTGAGGACATTGTTCCTAAATCTCTGATATCATGCACATCTCCCATGTCAGAGATGCTCGTGGAAGTGTGCTGGGTGGAGCGTCTAGATTAGCTGTCTCTCATTACACCTTGTCTTTTGGGTTTCTAGGCATATAGTTTACAATCTAGCCTTGGGTTGTCATCCATGAGATCAATCTCCTGCAATTTTAATTTTTGTGCTTATAACTAAGTCTTCTTTAATGATGCTTTAATTGGGAATTTTGGCCTAAATATTCAAAAGATTTCATCGGAGAAACTTCAGGGAAAGTATCTTTTACAATATACATATTGGCAGTTTTGATTAAATAAATTATTTATGCCATCTGCTGGTCTTCTTAGGTCTCACTTTTTCATTATTAATTTTTTTTACATTTAACTTGTATTTATGCTATACACAAATGTGTCTAGAATAATCCTTCAATCAAACCCATAAATGTTTTATAAGGAAGGTACTGAGTTACAGAACTTGATTCTGACCCATACCATCTATTTTTAAAATTTCCCCGTCCAAGACTAATTTAAAAAGATATTTATATATTATTTAGGGGAGAGCAATTATTCTGTAGTATAGACTAAGATTGCTAAACAGTGTGTATTTTGGACTTCAAAGCCTTTATGAATATCAAAGAAGGTACATGATCCTGCTGAATAGTGAAGTTTGTCATCTCTACAAATGTAAAATAGCTCATTTAGCTAGAAATTCATTAAATGACTCTTCCTCCAAGAAAAAACTAACAAAGGTAACAAAGTCATTGCAACTGTTTTGTGTCCCCTTTGCCATCTGCCATCCCTCTATTCCTACCTGCCTCCTTCTAGTACATAGTCAGGTTGGAAGAATGTTTTAGGTAACCCATGATTGATGTTTCCCGATTAATTCATATATATGCCTCAGAGTACTATAGGAGACTAATGAGGAGCAAATCGATGTGCTGCTAGAACTCTCCAAATTGAATTTTGCGTGAGGGTAACATTTTTTTTTTAATTATAAAAGAAAACATGTTAATTGTAGTAATTTTGGAAAATGCAGGCAAGTACGAAGAAAAATAAAAATAATCCATAGCAAGCTCTACATAGGCAGTATTAACATTTTATTTTATTTATTTTTATTTATTTATTTTTTTGAGACAGAGTCTCATTCTGTCACCCAGGCTGGAGTGCAATGTTGTGATCTCGGCTCACTGCAACCTCCGTCTCCCAGATTTAAGCGATTCTCGTGCCTCAGCCTCCCGAGTAGCTGGGATTACAGGCGCCTGCCACCATGCCTGGCTAATTTTTGTATTTTTAGTAAGAGACAGGGTTTCACCATGTTGGCCAGGCTGGTCTCGAACTCCTGACCTCAGGTGATCCACCCACCTCAGCCTCCCAAAGTGCTGGGATTACAGGCGTGAGCCACTGCACAGGCCTTTTTTTTTTTCTTTTTAACAATTTTAAATAAATAAAATAGAGACAGGGTCTCACTATGTTGCCAGGATGATCTCAAACTCTTGGATCTGGAACTCTTGGCTTCAGTGATCCTCCCGCCTTGGTATCCCAAAGTGCTGGGATTACAGGCATGAGCCACCTCTCCCAGTCAAACAACTAATAACTACGCCCAGGAGAAGGTCAGCTGCGGGGGTTAAGCCCTTGGGCTGGTTTTAGTGTTGCCCCTACTCCAATCTCCCTGTGGAGTTCTTAGGGGAAAAAGCTGCGAGTAATTTCAGCACTAAAGGAATTTCCTGAAAAAAGTGGGGAATCTTTTAAAATAATAATAATTAAAAAAGCTTATGTAAAATCGATGGCTGGTAACAAGAGATGTAAATAACAATTCAGACAGAGGTTTGTTGAAATCCTAGGATATTTTAACTGAGATGGTTTCAGAGAATAGCTATTCTGTCCAAACCAAAGAGCAAAGAGTATATATAATTTCCTAAACATTTTTGAGTATGTAAAACACACATACCAGGATTGAAATATACAGCTGCACCTGACACATACAGCACAACTCCAGGGGTGCCATTTGCAGATAAGAATATGAAGAGCCCACTTTGGATTACACAGTGGCAGCCCTTTGCAGATAGTACACAAATCAAAGATTCAAACAGGTAAACAGCAGGAAGTTAGTTTCTCTGCCACCTTGTCCCCTAGGTGTCCTATCTGGGGCAGCAATTCATTAATCTTTGAGTGTCCTTCTCAAGTTTTTTTTTTTTCTTTTTTTGAGACAGAGTCTCACTCTGTCACCCACACTGGAGGCCAGAGTGTAGTGGCACGATCTCGGCTCCCTGCAACTTCTGCCTCCTGGGGTTCAAGCGATTCTGCCTCAGCTTTCTGAGTAGCTGGGATTACAGGCATGCGCCACCCGGGCTAATTTTTGTATTTTTAGTAGAGATGGGGTTTCACCATGTTGGCCAGGCTGGTCTCAAACTCCTGACCGCAAGTGATCCACCCGCCTCGGCCTCTCAAAATGCTGGGATTATAGGTGTGAGCCACCGCCATGCCCGGCTAGCACTGATATTTTTAATACCATACTGTTTGCTGGTTCATGTTACCCAAGAAGCAGGGCTGCTCTTGATCATCCTTCTTTGATTTCTTGTCTAGACCGAGAGGCCTCTGCATTATTTTAAGCAAGTAGGGAACACTCACCCTTAACAGGAGCAGTGGGCCATTTCTGCAGGCCCATATGGTTTAGAGGGATCTATAGTCTCAAGGTTTTTAAGTGCATCAATCCAAATACCCCTGTCCCAAGTCTCAGGATTTCACTTCTTCCTAGTCAAGACCTTCACCTTGATGTAGCAGACTTGCTAAGACTAAGAACTCAAATTTCTCTGGAGTTCTGCCACCCTTAGAAGTAAATGCAGGGCCCCATCTCAAGCTTTTTCTGCCCTCTGGCTGTGGGAGATGAGAGTCCCTGGATAAGCTGCCAAGGAATCCCTCTTTGTTTTCACACTGGGCCTTCAGTTGGTGATTCATCACCTTCCCTCTTTTGATGTCTTTTAAAAATGCATCAAGGATCCTCAGAAAGAGCCATGTGGTTCATTGTCCTTCGTGGTTAGTACTTTTTCCAATCTCTCAAAACCTTAGATATTGCAGTGGCTGGTACATTCTCTTCCAGGAGTATTCCATCCAAGATCACCACTAGTGAAAGTTTAACAACTGCACTGCATGCCAGGAGCTGGCAGTGCGACTCCTACCATCAGCAATGGGGTCTTCATTGCCAACTGGCAGATGGGTAATCACTGTAGAGTCTGTTTCCACAAACCACTCCCGGCCCTGGCTTAGGTTGGGTTCTCCAGGAAACAGACTCTGAGATGAAGGTTTTTGTGCAGGTGGTTTATTGAGGAATGTTCTTAGAGTCAACACCTCACTTTGGGAGATCGAGGCAGGCAGATCACCCGAGGTCAGGAGTTCGAGACCAGCCTGGCCAACATGGTGAAACCCCATCTCTACTAAAAATACAAAAATTAGCTGGGCATGGTGGCGCACACCTGTAGTCCCAGTTACTCAAGAGGCTGAGGCAGGAGAATAGCTTGAACCCAGGAGGCAGAAGTTGCAGTGAGCCGAGATTGCATCACTGCACTCCAGCCGGGGCGATAAGAGTGCGACTCCATCTCAAAAACAAACAAACAAACAAACAAACAGCTACCTGTAGAACTGGGCAGAAGGAGGCAATGCAGTCACAGCAAACACCAGAGTCATTCTGGAGCAGCTGTGACCCTTCAGTGTTATCCCACTGTGGGAAATCAAAGTATGCCATCCCCAAATATCTTTCTTTGGCATATTTGAAGGTGGCTCTTCAGAGGGGCTGCAGACACAGGAATAGCTCTGTAAAGCTGTCTTTTTGGGGGAGAGATTTGCACCTCTGGAGGAAATCATTATTAGCAAGAGATGCAAACAAAGGCTCTCTCTGAGGTGCCCTTATCAGGATCTAGGAAAGATTAACTCACAGGAAAAGGAGACTAAATCTCTGGCGTTTTTAAAGGTCTGACAGCAAAACTTTACCACAGGTCCATCTATTCTCTCTGAGGGCTGCTACTCGAGAGAATTCATCCATTTAATAAGACAGCCTTTGCTCACCCATGAGTTTCCTCCTTTTCTCCCCCAGTAAACCTGTTGCCACCTCCCACCAGGAGCTCCAAGCCTCTCTTCCTTTCTGTGTAGTATAAAAACATCAGTCATTTGGTCCTTCTTTTAGTTTCACATTTTGTGTGGCTCCTATGCATATGATACATTTGTATGTCTTTTCTCCTGTTAATCTGCCTGTTGCCAGTTTATTTCAGTAGATTTTAAGACTCGAACTAAAAAATTTAAAAAATTGCCAGGCATGGTGGCTCACACCTGTAATCCCAGCACTTTGGTTGAGGCAAGTGGATCACTTGAGCTCAGGAGTTCGAGACCAGCCTGGCCAACATGGTGAAATCCCCTCTTTACCAAAAATATAAAACTTAGCTGGGTGTGGTGGCACATGCCTGGAGTACCAGATGCTTGGTGGGTTGAGGTGGGAAGATCACTTGAGCCAGGAGGCAGAGGCTGCAGTGAGCTGAGTCCAGCCTGGGTGACAGAGTGAGACCTTGTCTCAAAAAAATAAATTAATTAATTAAAATACATAAATAAATAGATAAAAGTCTGGGTGTGGTGGCTCATGCTTATAATCCCAGCACTTTGAGAGGCCGAGGCAGGAGGATCATTTGAGCCCAGGAGTTTGAGACCAGCCTTGGCAACATACGGAGAACCCGTGGCTACAAAAGATTTTTAAAAATAATAACAATAAGTTTAAAAAGACTCAAACCTTCAGAGCCGGAGGGATAAATTCCCTTTGCCCCTATACCACCCTGAGGCAAGGGAGCTGACCCCTGTCATCCTACACTGAAGGATGGCTGGATGTGGGCTGTCCCCAGGAGGGGCTGTGACTGACCTTGGCTGAGGTGGCTGTATTTGCAGGGGGCAATTTCCTGAAAGAACTCAGCTTAGAGATGTCATCCTCCAACCTTCTCAGCAGCTGAGGTGAGGAAAGCCTCAGTGCTGAAGCAGGGGCCTGGGTGATGCTCCAATGTCCACCTCAGAGATTATAAGTAAAATTCAATAAAGGATTAGTGAGAAAAGGGATCAAAGACAGTTCACTGGAGAAACTCCTGCATGTACATCACAATAGGAAGAAGAATTGCCAGAAAAAGAGATGCCAGAGAGAGAACAAAGTGAGCAGACAGCCTTGGGACACAAGGAAGCTGATGGGAGAAGTCCACAGGAAGCTTGGAGTTTCTTAATCCAGTCTCCTAGCTTTATTTTATTTTTATTTTTTATTAAGAGAGTCTCACTTTGTTGCCCAGGCTGGAGTGCAGTGGCGCAAATCTCGACTCACTGCAACCTCTGCCTCCCAGGTTCAAGTGATTCTCATGCCTCAGCCTCCTGAGTAGCTGGGACTACAGGCGTGCTCCACCACACCCAGCTAATTTTTGTATTTTTAGTAGAAACGGGGTTTCACCATGTTGCCCAGGCTGGTCTCCAACTCCTGATCTCAAGTGATCTGCCCACCTCAGCCTCCCAAGGTGCTGGGATTACAGGAGTGAGCCACCGTGCCTAGCTAAATCTCCTAACTTTAAAGATGAGGAATTCCAGAGCAGAAAGGCTAAGGGGCTTAATTCCAAGTCACCCAGTAAGTCAGTAACAAAGCCCAGACTAACATTCATGTTTTCTGACCCTTCATCCAATATTCTTAACTCTGTTTCTCTCTTACATATTGTGTAGGTGATCTCTTTCTTATTTCCCTCGGAGCGAGGAAAAGTTAAATTAGAAAAACTCTGAAGTATTCTGTTTGTGGGAGTTTGCTTCCTAACTTCATTAACTCTCACCAAAAAATTCTTAAATTATATTTATTATTATGTTAGTTTTTCTTTTCGCTTTGAATAATGTCCACAAGGTGACATCAGTGAATATGAAGGGAGTTACTAACAAGTGTATAGATTTTATTTTTAAAGCTTTTGAGTAATTCCACAAAAAAATTTTCTTTTGAGCAGACTGGCTGCCTACCTTGTCATAGACTTATAAGAGAAACAAGGGATGTTTCTTTCATTTCCCTGCTTTAAATATAAGGCCGAACTTAGTAATGCTTCTTTTTCTCTTTTTTAAATAAAACTTATCATGGTATGCCAAGAATGTTTAGTTGAAAAACACAAGATAAGAAGGGTTGAACTATCATTGAAATGTTATAAATTGCAACAGTTAATTTAGTCTCGTGCCTCCAGATTCGTGGTTATTTTAGAATAAAATTTCCTGGAAAAAAAAAATTGGTGATTGGTAGTGGGATTGGTTTCCGAGATCTGGTACTGTTAACACCCAGTTTTAGATATAGCTTTAGAATTTGTGATTGAGAGACCCCCTGCCTAGGTTAGGGCATGTGGGCCCTACAGACACACATTAAGACAATATTGAAAATTAGGGCTTGAAATTCCCAGATATCCTTGTGGGAAAAAAACAGTTTTCCCAAGGGCCTAATGACTTAAACAGATCCTATTGATACAGGAGTCAAGAAGAAACTACTTAGGCAGATAGTAAGGGTATGGCAGTCCTCGGTTAGGCTTTTCTTTTTAATGAAAAGCAGCCCCAAGTCATTTTCTTAACAGAGCAGCCTGTAAAGTCCAGCTGTAGACATAGACAAGCAAGCTGGGAGCTTGCATGGGTGAATACCTGCAGTAACCAGGGACTAGACATGTTCAAGATGGCGGGCTCCATCTTCCCTTCTCTGCCAGCCACGTGTACAATAAAGAGCAGAAAAGATGGCGTTGGCCAAGAAAAGTTCATTTGCATAATAAGATTAGGGTGGCGTGACCAGCCTTCCCCAGGTGCTATGTAAACGTCATACCTGCCAATCTGTGAGCCCTGTGTAAATCAGACACTGCCTTCTCAATCTGACTATAAAGTCCGGGGCATCGGGCACGGGCTGGTCTTTTCTGCTCGGAGACCCCTTTTTCTATAGAGAGCTGTTTCCCTTTCTCTTCCCTTCTGCCTATTAAACCTCTGCTCCTAAACTACTCCTGTGTGTTTGTGTTCTAAATTTTCCTGGTGTGCAGTGAAAAACCCCAGGGTATATACCCCAGACAATGCAACTGCTTCACTATTGTCATTGTACCCATCTTACCTCACTTAAGAGTTAGTGTCACACTTACACACACTTAAGAGTTGTGTAAAAACAGAAGGTGTTGGGCACCATAAAGACACTAAATACTGACTGGGGAGAGAACACAGGAAGTATAAGGCTTTTCTTCCTCCAGCTACTCCCCTATGCTTTGTGGGGAGGCACAGGGTCACTTTTTCATTTGTTTTGTTTTGCTTTTTGACTCTGGCAACAACTTACTTTAATAGGCCAATAATTTTTATTCAGATACTATCTGAGGCATTCAAACCAGAGAAACTCCATTTTGAATAGGGGCTGGGTAAAATAAGGCTGAGGCCTGCTGGGCTGCATTCCCAGGATGTTAGGCATTCCTAGTCACAGGATGACACAGGAGGTCAGCAGAGCTGGTATCAAGATACAGGTCATAAGGACCCTACCAGCTAAACAGGATGCAGTAAAGAAGCTGGCCAAAACCCACCAAATCCAAGATGGCGACAAAAGTGACCTTTGGTTGTCCTCACTGCTGCTTATATGCCAATTATAATGCATTAGCATGCTAGAAGACACTCCCACCAGCGCCATGACAGTTTACAACTGCCATGGCAACATCAGGATGTTACCCTAAACGGCCTAAAAAGGGGGAGAAACTCTCAGTTCTAGGCACTCCGCACTCCTATCCCAGAAAACTCATGAATAATTCACTCTTTCTTTAGCATATAATCAAGAAATAACCATAAGTATACTCAGGCAAGCAGCCCATGCCACTGCTCTGCCTATGGAGTAGCATTCTTCTGTTTCTTTACTACTCTAATAAACTTGCTTTCACTTTACTCTATGGACTTGCCCCGAATTCTTTCTTGTGTGAGATCCAAGAACCCTCTCTTGGGGTCTAGACTGGGACCCCTTTCTGGTAACAATATTGCAGTTACGCTCCCTAGTAGCATACTAAAAATTATTCTGGGCCGGGCTCATGCTTGTAATCCCAGCACTTTGGGAAGCCAACCAGGGAGGATTGCTTGAGCCCAGGAGTTTGAGACCAGGCTAGGCAACATAGTGAGACCCTGTTTCTACAAAAAATAAAAAAACACCAGGTGTGGTGACGTGCTCCTGTAATCCCAGGTATTCTTGGAGGCTGAGGTAGGAGGATCACTTGAGCTGGGGAGGTTGAGGCGGTAGTGAGCTGTGATCATGCCACTGCACTCCAGACTGGGTAACAGAATAAGACCCTGTCTAAAAAAATACATATATATATATATATATATATATATATATATATATATATATATGCATGTGTATATATATATACATGCATATATATATACACACACACACATACACACACACACATATGTATATGTATATATATTCTGGATCAACAATATATTTGTGCACCATCTAACGGTCCTAAAACTATTAAATTTCTTTCTTTCATCTTTTTTTTTTTTTTGAGACGGAGCCTTGCTCTGTCGCCCAGGCTGGAGTGCAGTGGCGCTATCTGGGCTCACTGCAAGCTGTACCTCCCGGGTTCACGCCATTCTCCTTCCTCGGCCTCCCAAGTAGCTGGGACTACAGGCGCCTGCCACTACGCCCAGCTAGTTTTTTGTATTTTTAGTAGAGACGGGGTTTCACCGTGTTAGCCAGGATGGTCTCGATCTCCTGACCTCGTGATCCGCCTGCCTCGGCCTCCCAAAGTGCTGGGATTTATAGGCGTGAGCCACTGTGCCCGGCCCTGTTCTTTTTTTTTTTTTTTTTTTTTTTTGAGACAGAGTCTCCCTCTACCACCCAGGCTGGAGGGCAGTGGCATGATCTTGGCTCACGGCAACCTCTGCCTCCCAGGTTTAAGCAATTCTTGTGCCTCAGCTTCCCGAGTAGCTGGGATTACAGGAATGTGCCACCACACCTGGCTAATTTTTGTATTTTTAGTAGAGAAGGGGTTTCACCATGTTGGCCAGGCTGGTCTTGAACTTTTGACCTCAGGTGATCCACCCGCTTCAGCCTTCCAAAGTGGCTGGGATTACAGGCATGAGCTACTGTGCCTCACCTTTAATTTCAGTTTCTTCATAAATAACACTTTGGGGCTGATTCAAATAAGGCTCAAATTCTACACATTAAGCAGTCATTGAAACTGTTAAATTCCGCGATATTGAGCAATATGGACCATATTTCCCCTCAAAATACATTCTTGTATAAATATAGTAAGTTACATTTCCTTGAGTTAATTTTTAATTTTCAGATGGGAAACTAACCCAAGAAAGGACAATTTATTCAGAGACCTAGGATCTTCATTCATGTTCTAAAGCTAAAACAAATATATGAATACAAACATATGGATATTTGAAAATACCTGGAAGATTAGAAGGTTCGATTTCCAATTAAGATCTTTGCCATTGTATGTAGAGAACATGAAGAGACAGCTTGTGGCCAGGCGCGGTGGTTCATGTCTATAATTGCAGCACTTTGGAAGGCTGAGGCGGGTGGATCACGACGTCAGAAGTTCAAGACAAGCCTGGCCAACGTGGTGAAACCCTGTCTCTACGTCTCTACTAAAAATACAAAAATTAGTCAGGCATGGTGGCGGGCGCCTGTAATCCCAGCTACTCAGTAGGCTGAGGCAGGAGAATCGCTTGAACCCGGGAGGCGGAGGTTGCAGTGAGCCGAGATTGTGCCACTGCACTCCAGCCTGGGTGACAGATCGAGACTCCGTTTCAAAAAAAATAAAAGAGACAGCTTGTTCTCTCAGGAGGGAACTCACATTCACTCAGCTCATCAGACTGGTGTATAAAATCCAAACTCCAATATACGGATCTATGGTGAGAAATGTATTGTTGCTCAGACCTGAGTCCATGTATTAGCATAATGATGACTGCATTTTCTCTCAGTAGATGAATTATATATATATATTTTTTTATTTTTTATTTTATTTTATTTTTTTGAGATAGAGTGCCACTTTTTCACCCAGGCTGGAGTGCAATGGCACAATCTCAGCTCACTGCAACCTCCGCCTCCCAGGTTCAAGTGATTCTCCTGCCTCAGCTTCCCCAGTAGCTGGGAGTACAGGCATGTGGGACCACGCCTGGCTAATTTTTGTATTTTTAGTGGAGACAGGGTTTCACCATATTGGCAAGGCTGATCTTGAACTCCTGACCTCAAGTGATCCGCTGACCTTGACCTCCCAAAGTGCTGGGATTACAGGCGTGAGTCACCACACCTGGCCGGTGAATTATATTTCTAGCCATCTTCTGGGCCATAACACAAGTCCACATGAATTTATTTATTTATTTATTTAGAGACAGTGTTTCACTCTGTCGCCCAGGCTGAAGTGCAGTGGTGTGATCTCAGCTTACTGTAACCTCAGCTTCCCGGGCTCAAGCGATTCTCCTGCCTCAACCTCCTGAGTAGCTAGAACTACAGGCATGCGCCACCACGCTAATTTTTGTATTTTTAGAGGAGACGGGGTTTCACCATGTTGGCCAGGCTGGTCTCGAACTCCTGACCTCACATGATCCACCCTCCTCGGCCTTCCAAAGTGCTGGGATTATAGGCATGAGCCACCGTGCCTGGCCTAAGTCGTCATAAATTTAAAAGTAAGAAAGTCATACAAAGTGTTTTCTGGGCTAGTGCAGTGGCTCACACCTCAAATCCCAGCACTTTTTGGCTGAGGTGGAAGCATCACTTGAGGTGAGCAATTTGAGACCAACCTGGACAACACAGAAAAAACCCTGTTTCAATTTAAAAAGTTGGTTCTGGCTGGCGCGGTGGCTCATGCCTATAATCCCAGCACTTTGGGTGGATCACTTGAGGTCAGGAGTTCAAGATCAGCCTGGTCAACATGGTGAAACCCTGTCTCCACTAAAAATACAAAAATTAGTCAGGCGTGGTGGTGTGTGCCTGTAATCCCAGCTACTTGGGAGACTGAGGCAGGAGAATTGCTTGAACCCAGAAGGCCAAGGTTGTAGTAAGCAGAGATCATGCCACTGCACTCCAGCCTGGGTGACAGAGGGTGACTCTGTCTCAAAATAAATAAATAAATTAATTAATTAAAAAAGTAAAATAAAATAAAAAGTTGGTTCTTTGAGGGGATCAATAAAATTGATAAACCTCTAGCCAAATTCATCAGGGGAGAGACAGGGAGGGAGATGGAGAGAAAACATATCAGGAAGTAGAGAAGACATCATCACACATCCTGTAGACATTAAAATGATCATAAGGTAGTATTATAACAAATTTTTGCCAATCAACTTAAGCTAAAAATAGGAGAGAGCCTTCTCAACCTGATAAAGGTTTATCATAGATGATAAACCTACAGCTAACATCATACTTAATGGTGTAAGATTGAATGCTTTTCCCCTAAGTTGAAGAACAAGGCAAGAATGCCCACTCTAACCACTTCTACTGAATATTGCACTAGAGGTCCTACATAGTCTAGTAAGGCAAAAAATTAAAAATTAAAGAGAAACAAGCCAGGCACTGTGGCTCATGTCTGTAATCTCAGCACTTTGGGAGGCTGAGTTGGGAGGATTCCTTGAGCCCAGAAGTAGTTGAATACTAGAATAAATGGGTTTAGTAAGTAAGTTCACAGGTTATAAGGCCAGTAAGCTTTTTTTTTTTTTGAGACGAAGTCTCACTCTGTCACCCAGCTTGAGTGTAGTGGTGCAATCTTGGCTCACTGCAACCTCCACCTCCCGGGTTCAAGCAATTCTCTTGCCTCAGCCTCCCAGGTAGCTGGGATTACAGGCGTGTGCCACCACACCCGGCTAATCCAATAAGCTATTGTATTTCTACATACTAACAATAAACAGTAAGAAATTAAAATTGAAAAAATATATACAATAGCATAAAAACATGAACTATTTAGTTATAAATTTAATGTATGTTCAAGACTTGTACATTGAAAACTACAATACATTGCTTAGAGAAAGTAAAGTAGACACAAAGAAATAGAAAGACATCTTGTATTGGAAGACTTAATATTAAGATGGCAATACTACCCAAAGAAATCTACAGAATCTATGTAATCTCTATTAAATCCCAATGGCCTTTTTTAAAAAATAGAAAGCTAATTCTAAAAATCATATCATGGAATTGCAAGGGAGTCCAAAGAACCAACTCCCGAGTAGCTAGGACTACAGGTGCGCACCACCAAGCCCAGCTAATTTTTATATTTTTAGTAGAGATGGGGTTTCACCATGTTGGCCAGGATGGTCTCGATTTCTTGACCTCATGATCTGCCCGCCTCAGCCTCCCAAAGTGCTGGGATTACAGGCGTGAGCCACCGCGGCTGATAAAACAGCTCAATTTTAAAATGGGGCTGGGCATGGTGGCTCACTTCTGTAGTCCCAGCACTTTGGGAGGCTGAGGCAGGTGGATCACTTGAGGCCAGGAGTTCGAGACCAGCCTGGCCAACATGGTGAAACCCTGTCTCTACAAAAAATACAAAAATTAGCTGTGTGTGGTGGCGCACGCCTGTAATCCCAACTACTTGGGAGGTTGAGGCATGAGAACTGCTTGAACCCAGGAGGCAGAGGTTGCAGTGAGCTGAGATCACACCATTGCACTCCAGCCTGAGCACCACAGTGAGACCTTGTCTCAAAATAAATAAAATAAAATAAAATAAATAAAAATGGGCAAAGTTATTTTATATCTTTTGTGGGTGAAAAAAATGGGCAAAGGATTTGAATAGATATTTTTCCAGAAAAAGTATACAAATGGCCAAAAAGCACTTGAAAAGATGTTCAACATTATTAGTCACTAGGCAAGTGCAAACCAAAACCACAATGACGAGGTACCACTTCATACCAATAGGATGACTATAATTTAAAACAAAGCAAAATGAAATGAAAATTTACAAATGTTGGTGAGGATGTGGAAAAGATGGAACTTTTGTACATTGCTTGTACAAAAGTACAAGAAATATAAAATGGCACAGCCAGTTCCTCAAAAAGTTAAAAATAGAATTACCATATGACCCAGCAGTTCCACTCCTGGTATACACCCCAAAGTATTGAAAACAGCTGTCCAAGCAAAAACTTACAGATGAATATTTATAGCAGCACCATCCACAATAGCCAAAAGGTGGAAACAACCCAAATGTAAAGTATCTAATGAACGGGTAAATAAAATGTGGTGTGTGACACACATACACACACACACACACACACACACATAATGGGATGTTATTCTGCCATAAAAGGAATGAAGTACTAATGCATACTACAACATGGATAAACCTTGAAAACATTATGCTAAGTGAAAGCGACCAGACACAAAAGGCCACATATTATATGATTCCACTTATATAAAATACCCAAATTGTGTGTGGTGACTCATGCCTGTAATCCCAGCAATCTGGGAGGCCAAGGCAGGAGGATCACTTGAGCCTAGGAGTTCAAGACCAGCCTGGGCAACATGGCAAACCCCTGTCTCTACAAAAAAATAGAAAACATTAGCTATGGTAGCATGTACCTGTAGTCCCAGCTTCTTGGGAGGCTGAGGTGGGAGAATCACCGGAGCCCAGGAAGTCGAGGCTGCAGTGAGCCATGATTGCACCACTGTAGTCCAGCCTGGGTGACAGAGTGAGACTCTGTCTCAATAAATAAATAAATAAATAAATAATAAAAATACCCAGAATAGGCAAATCTATAACAACAGAAAGCAGATTATTGGTTGCCAGAAGGAGGAGGGAATGGGTATGAGGAATGACTTTGGACAGCAGCTGGTCACGACCCTCAGGCTTTCAATCTGAGGGTCCAGGGTTCATATCCCTGTTCAGGCACCACTTTGCCACAGACCCTGGTGGACTAAACAAAGGAGGATGAATGCAGGAATAAAGACAAAGACAAAAAGATCTATTTTAAAAGAAGGGGTGAGGGGGCTCCTTGCTTCTTGTGAACAAGGACCTTGAGCTTCTATAGCCCTTCGTATTTATTGAGTAAAAGAAACTGGGAGGAGGGGGTGGTTGTAGGTCAGCTGCTTGATTTAGTGCAGGCCCGCATGACTGCTTTCTTAGAACAGTAGGCTCCAGATGTTCCATTAGATACTCTCAAGGAGCTCAGCGCCAGGGAGTGATTGCCCTCAGCATACCTTCTGGCAGCAAGCGCAGATGTGAGTTTGCTCACATCCTGTATTCATGATAAACAGTTTGCTCTTTGATCATATAGCCTCCAGTGGAATGCTGAGTTGGTCACGACCCTCAGGCTTTTGGCTCCCAACATCCAGCAGCTTTGGGGATAATGAAAATGTTCTGTTTGGCATGAAGTACAGCAAAAACAAATAAATAAATACAAATTAAAAATGAAAAAAAAATGTTCTGGGACTAGATAGTGACCATGGTTGATAGGGATATACTTAACATAAAATGTGCAAGGCTTATATACTGAAACCTATAAAATACTGCTGAGAGAAATTAAAGAACTTAACAGAGAGTTACACCATACATATGTATCAAAAGGCTTCACATATTTAAGACATCATTTCTCCTCAAAATGATCTGTATATTCAATGTAAGATTTCTCAGCAGCAGCACAAGTGACATTTTGGGATGGATGGTTCTCTTCTTTGTTGTGAAAGGCTATCCTGTGCATTGTAGGATGTTGGGCAGCATCTGTGGCCTCTACCCACTGGATGCCAGTAGCAACCCCTGGTTGTGAAAACTAAAAATTTCTCCATATATTGCCTAATATCTTCTTAGGCATAACATTATGCTTAGTTAAAAACTACTGGTTTAGGCTGGGCTGGTGGTGCACACCTGTAATCCCAGCACTTTGGGAGGCTAAGGCAGGTTGATCTCTTGAGTTCACGAGTTCAAGACTAGCCTGGTCAACATGGTGAAACCCTGTCTCTACAAAAAATACAAAAATTAACCATGAGTGGTGGCATGTGCCTGTAGTCCCAGCTACTTTGGAGGCTGAGGCAGGAGGATTGCTTGAGCCCAGGAGTTTGAGGCTGCCATGAGCCATGATTGTGCCACTGCACTCCAGCCTGGGCAACAGAGAAAGACAGTATCCCAAAAGAAAAAGGAAAAAAAAAAAAAAAAAAAAGCAAAATCTGCAAAACTTCAAGAGAAAAGAAATCCCTAGTGACTTTGTATAAGGCAAAAGTTTCTTAAATAAAATGCAAAAAGCAAGAATTATAAAAGAAAAAAGATTAATTGAACTTTATTAGTTTCCTAGGGCTACTGCAACAAATTATTCTAAAACATAGGGTGCCTTAAAGCAACAGATATGTGCTCTCTCAGAGTTACAGAGGCCAGAAGTCCAAAATCAAGGTGTGGGCAAGGCCACATCCCCTTTGAAGGCTCTACGAGAGAATCCTTCCTTGCTTCTTCCAACTTCTGTTGGCTCCTGGTTTTCCTTGGCTTGTGACAGCACAATTGCAATCTCTGACTGTCTTCATGTTACAGGCATTAGAACCAGAGTGACTCCATCTTGAATAGGTGAGCCAGGAATCGTCAGGATTGGTTTTGCAAGGTACAGGACACAAAGACCTCACTGATTAAATGAAATGCAGTAAAGAAGCCACTCAAACCCACCAAAACCAAGATGGCCATGATAGTGATCTCTGGTCATTTTCACTGCTCATTATATGCTAATTATAATACATTAACATGCTAAAAGACAATCCCACCAGCACCATAACGGTTTACAAATGCCATGGCAACTTTGGGAAGTTACCCTATATGGTCTAAAAAAAGGGAGAAACTCTCAGTCTTGGAAACTCCCCACCCCTTTCCCAAAAAACGCATGAATAATCCACCCCTTGTTTAGCACATAGTCAAGAAATAACTGTAAGTATACTCAATCAAGCAGACCATCCTGCTGTTCTGCCTATGGCGTAGGCATTCTTTTGTTCCTTTACTTCTGCAATAAACTTGCTTTCACTTGACTCTGTGGACTTGCCCTGAATTCTTTCTTGGGTGAGATCCAAGAACCCTCTCTTGGGGTCTGGATCAGGACCCCTTTCTGGCAACATTCACATGATCCTTTGCCCTGTGTTTCTGTGTGTCCTTTTCTGACTCTTATAAGTGTTACTGAAATGTCACGGGTTTGGTCTATGTCTCATTGCTTAAAGCACAGACAGCCCATCACTGAGATGGGTTATTGCCAGGGAAGAAGGCTTTAATTGGGTGCTACAGCTGAGAATAGGGGATCAGTCTCAACTTCATCTCCCAACTGACTAAAATTGGGAGGTTTTCAAAGAAGGGTGGGGATGTAGCTAATTGTGGAAAGGAATTGTTGCTGGGGGTAGGTAAGGAAGCAATCATGATGAATGAGGGGTCTGGTGTCTCACAGTCTGGATGTGGTGATCTGGTGGGTTTCAGTCCCTTGCCTGAGGGTCGGTTTCCTGAGGAGACCCCGTGTCTGTCTCTCTCTCTCTTTTAAAGTGAAAGCAAATTTATTAAGAAAGTAAAGGAATAAAAGAATGGCTACTCTATGGACAGAGCAGCCCCTCTCTTTTTATTTAAATTTTTTTGTAGAGACAGAGTCTAGCTGTGTTGCTCAGGCTGGTCTTGAACTCTTGGTTTTAAGCAATCCTCCTGCCCTGGCCTCCTAAAGTACTGGGATTACAGGCATGAGCCACTGTGCCCAGACCAATGATCTCATTTCAATCCTTACCTTAATTACACCTGCAAATGCCCTATTTCCAAATAAGGTCACTTTCTGAGGTTCAGGATGGACATGAACCTCGTGGGGACACTATTCAAATCACTACACAGACTTCATCAAACACTAAAAACTTTTGGCTGGGCATGGTGGCTTAGGCCTTGATCCCAGCACTCTGGGAGGCTGAGGCAGGAGAATCCCTTGAGGTCAGGAGTTCGACATCAGCCTGGGCAACACAGTGGGACCCTGTCTCTACAAAAAATACAAAAATTAGCCAGGCATGGTGATGCATGCCTGTGGTCCCAGCTACTCAGGAAGCTGAGATGGGAGTATTGCTTGAGCCTAGGAGGTTGAGGCTGTAGTGAGTCATGATCAAGCCATTGCACTCCAGCCTGGGTGACAGAGTGAGACCCTGTCTCAAAAACAAAACAAAACAAAACAAAACAAAACAAAACAAAAAAAGGCCAAGTGTGGTGGCTCATACCTCCCAACATTTTGGGAGGCCGAGGTGAGGTGCAAGGATCGCTGGAGCCCAGGAGTTTGAGACCAACCTGGGCAAAATAGCAAAAAAAATAGCCAGGCATGGTAGCATGTCTGTGGTCCCAGCTGCTTGGGAGGCTGAAATGGGGGAATCACTTGAGCCTGGAGGTTGAGGCTGCAGTGAACTGGGATCACACCAGTATACTCCAGTCTGGGTGACAGAGGATAATCTTGTCCCCCCACAAAGTAGGCATTAAATATTAATTTAATTAAAAACAGTAATATAGGGCAGAGATTTTAGCACTTTGCCTAAAACAGTTCCATTTTTTATCTTTAGGACTGCTTTATGTAGATTTGTGGTTCTTCATTTCTATTAGGTTGTTGGTTATTAATTATTAGTAGCATCAGTGTGTTTGTCCATGGTGGAAGTATCCTCCTTCCCATGTTGTTTTCTCCTTCTATTCTGCTATGAACATGGAAACCAGATGATCAACATTATTTTATTGTTTAAAATTGTGTAGAGGTGGAAAAATTCCACCTCCATCCTCTGGGTCCCAGCTGGGCCCAATAAATATTTTTGTGTTTATTTTATTTTTGAGACAGGTTCTTGCTCTGTCACTCAGGCTGGAGTGTAGTGGTGCGATCACAGCTCACCGCAATCTCAACCTCCTGGGCTGAAGAGATCTTCTCACCTCAGCCTCTAGAGTAGCTGGGACCACAGGCATATACCACCACACCTAGATAATTTTTTAATTTTTTTGTAGAGACAATGTCTTGTTTTGTTGCCCAGGCTGGTCTTGAACTCCTGAGCGCAAGTGATCCTCCTGCCTTGCCCTCCCAAAGTGCTGGGATTCCAGGTGTGAGCCACCATGCCTGGCCTGGGCCCAAGAATTAAACTGATCTAACATAGATGAACAGGAGAAAAGCATAACACTGTATAAGTTTTACATGGCATAGGGGCCCTCATAAAGAAATAAAGACCTGGCCAGGCGCAGTGGCTCACACCTGTAATCCCAGCGCTTTGGGAGGCCGAGGAGGGTGGATCATGAGGCCAGGAGATCAAGACCATCCTGGCTAACACAGTGAAACCCCGTCTCTACTAAAAATACAAAAAATTAGCTGAGTGTGGTGGCGGGCGCCTGTAGTCCCAGCTGCTCAGGCTGAGGCAGGAGAATGGTGTGAACCCGGGAGGCGGAGCTTGCAGTGAGCCGAGATTGCGCCACTGCACTCCAGCCTGGGCGACAGAGCGAGACTCCGTCTCAAAAAAAAAAAAGAAAAGAAAAAAGAAATAAAGACCCAAAGAAACAAGTCAGTTACTTACATGATGAGTTGGACAAAGTGTAGTGAACTATGAAAATGTGATAAGGCAAAGGAGCTTGGGCTAGGGTAGTTAATTGGGTAGAGAAGTAGCCAGGAAGATAAGGGTTAGTTTAACAAGTCTTGTTTGTATGGAATTCCTTCAGACTCAACTTTCTTATCCCTGATGATAAAGCTGTTGCATCTTTCTAGTACAGGGAGGGTGTCTTTCCCATGGGAATTTTATCTTCTG
This sequence comes from Homo sapiens, assembly GCF_000001405.40. Lineage (NCBI taxonomy): Eukaryota > Metazoa > Chordata > Mammalia > Primates > Hominidae > Homo > Homo sapiens. The sequence continues at coordinate 61,651,835 of NC_000002.12, forward strand.
CTTTTAAGAAAGAGCACAAAGGTCAAGGTTATCTTCTTACACCTGTTGTTTTTCTTTTTTTGTTTTCAATAAGGAAAACAGTTCTTGGCTCACAGTTCTGCAGGTTTTACAGGAAGCATGGTGCTGACATCTGCTCAGCTTCTGGGGAAGCCTCAGGCAGCTTATAGTCATGATGGAAGGCCAAGGGGGAGCAGTGTCATCAGATGGGGAAGCAGGAGTGAGAGTCACCTGTTGTTTTTCAAGAGCCTTTAACTTACATAATCAATATTCCTAGATAGCATATCTCAATCCCCTCAGTTCCCCAATTTGGAACTTCCCTAGAAGTGGTCCTGTGGCCCCAGCTACTTGGGAGGCTGAGGTGGGAGAATCACTTAAGCTGGGGAACTCAAGTCTGCAGTAAGCTGTGATGCCACCACTGTACTCCAGCCTAGGTGACAGAGCAAGGCCCTGTCTCAAAAAAAAAAAAAAAAAAAAAAAAGTGACATTCCAGTCAAAGCTTTGGTAATATAACTAATGTTTTAAATCATGTCCTTTTATAAAGAAAATAGATTCTTGTTGAACTTATGCAAATAACCATTTTGCCATGAAAGTAAGAATACTCACTGATAGTTTCTAAATTCTGGAGATATCAAGCAGGGAGAAAAAAATACATGTTTCAATTCTGCTTACAATGGTGTATTTTGGCAAATTGCTGCAAGCTATATATAGTTTAAGAGAAATGAAAAAAGATTTCTTAAATCTGGAAAACAAAATGTTAAAGGAATCAGCAATGTTTCAGATAAGTAATTTTCTTTAAAAAAATCATAATTTTTTAAATCAATTCATTCAATCCCATGTAATTAATTCTTGTTTTGCTTGATCTTGAATGAGAAGTTTTATGAATCCAGTTTTTCCATTAGAATTCTGAAAGTTCTTATCCAGTCCAATGGTATGATCTTAAAGTTATCACAAACCTATATTCCAGTGGACTTGTCTGAGTCTTTTCCATAAATATTTTTGGAGATAAACAATTTTAGGCTGGGCACGATGACTTGTGCCTGTAATCCCAGCATTTTGGGAGGTCAAGATGGGAGAATTGCTTGAAGCCAGGAGTTTGAGAATGGCCTAGACAACATGATGAGACCCTGTCTTTACAACTAAAAAAAAAAAAAGACAAGAAAAAAATGAAGATAAATAATTTTGGACTATTGATTGTAAGTGCTTTCAGGAAGAATCAAAGTAAACAATTGCCATCTGCAAATGACGAAAGACTTAAAGTAGCCATAGTTAAATATCTGATGAGAGTTTTCTATAATAATAATTCAACTTGCAGGGAAATTTGCCTATATTCTGTGTCATACAACATTTTAAGATTATAACTAGAATTATGACTGATAGTGTTATATTAGGACATATCACTTTTTAGGAATTTCATACAACTTCTGGAACAATTTATTTATTTATTTATTTGTTTTCGAGATGGAATCTTGCTCTGTCCCCCAAGCTGCAGTGCAGTGGCGTGATCTCGGCTCACTGCAACCTCCACCTCCCGGATTCAAGCAATTCTCCTGCCTCAGTCTCCTGAGTAGCTGGGACTACAGGAACGTGTCACCAGGCCCAGCTAATTTTTGTATTTTTAGTAGAGACAGGGTTTCTCTATGTTGGCCAGGCTGGTCTTGAACTCCTGACCTCAGGTGATCCACCCGCCTCAGCCTCCCAAAGTGCTGAGATTACAGGTGTGAGCCACCGTGCCTGGCTTGGAACACTTATTTTATTTTGAGACAGAGTCTTGCTCTTGTCATCCGGGCTGGAGTGCAGTGGCATGATCTCAGCTCACTGCAACTTCCGCCTCCTGGGTTCAAGTGATTCTCCTGCCTCGGCCTCCTGACTAGCTGGGATTACAGGAGGCTGCCATAATGCCCTGCTAATTTTTGTATTTTCAGTAGAGATAGGGTTTCACCATGTTGGCCAGGCTGGTCTTGAACTCCTGACCTCAGGTGATCCACTTGCCTCAGCCTCCCAAAGAAAGCAAAGACCTTCATTGTTTATTTTCTTTATAATTTTTTCTTTTGAGACAGTCTCATTCTGTCACCCAGGCTGGAGTGCAGCAGTACAAGTACAGCTCACTACAGCCTCAATCTCCTGGGCTCAAGTGATCCTCCCACTTCAGCCTCCTGATTAGCTGGGATCACAGGTGTGCACCATCACCCTGGCTAATTTTTAAATTTTTTTATGGAGATTGGGTCTTGCTATGTGGCCCAGGCTGATCTCAAACTCCTGACCTCTAGGGATTCTCCTGCCCTGGCCTCCCAAAGTGCTGGAATTACAGACATGAGCCACTGTGACTGGCCAGACCCTCGCTGTTAACAAGGTGATGAAAGTTGAGACAATTAATACAAACTTCCCTGAGAGACCGCATGATGGGACAAAGAGACACTTCGTGTTACGTGCTCCTGGCCAGCTTGCTAGCCGCCAGGTGCAAGCCTAACAATTTGTGTCTCCTGGCTGGCAGAGATTAGAGAGAATATCCTCACTGGTCACAAAGCCAAGCTCTCAAGGCATAAAACAATTCAAAAGAAACACACAAAAGATACAGACAAGGAAAACAAGGACTATTCCAGGGAGGCTGTGGATCAATAACCAATGGGTAGCCAGAACTAAATTCACAAGAGTCACACTTCAAAGAGCCAATTCTTACAAACGGTTTTCTCCTGCCAATCCAGATTTAGAAAAGAAGGGACAAGGAAAACTTTTACCTTTCTCTCTCAACTGCGCACTACAGAGATCCAGGAGAGCTGACTTTGATAAGAATTCCTACCTCTTTCAGCTTTTGTCAGGTGTCTTGGGATCTCATCTGCAGGCTCCAGAGTGAGTAGGGTGGCCCCCAACATTTGAGGATTACATCCTCATTGCCTGAAAGTATAGGAGTGGAAAAATTCCACCTCCATCTTCTTAGGGTTCCAGCTGGGTCCAAGAATTAAATTGACGTAACATAGATTAACAGAAGAAAAACATAATATTGTACTCTTACATGGCATGGGAGCCCTCATAAAGAAATAAAGACCTAAAGAAACAGTCAGTTACAGGCCAGGCGTGGTGGCTCACACCTGTAATCCCAGCACTTTGGGAGGCCAAGTCAGGTGGATCACTTGAGCCCAGGAGTTTGAGACCATCCTGGGCAACATGCTGAAACCCCCGTCTCTACAAAAAAAAAAAAAAAAAAAAAAGCAAAAATTAGCCAGGTGTGGTGGTGCATGCCTGTAGTCCCAGCTACTAGAGAGGCTGAGGTGGAAGGATTGCTTGTGCCCAGGAGGTCAAGGCTGCAGTGAGCTGTATTTGTGCCACTGCACTCCAGCCTGGGTGACAGAGTGAGAGCCTGTCACAAAAATAAATAATAAAAAAGAAAAAGAAACAGCCAGTTACTTACATACTGAATTCAACAAAGAGTAATAAACTGTGAAAATGTCATAAGACACAGGGGTTTCAGCTAGGGTAGTTAATTGGGTAGAGAAGGAGTTAGGAAGTTAAGAGTTAGCTTAACAAGTTTTGTTTGTGTGGAATTCCTTCAGCCTCAACTTTGTTGTCATTGATGATGAGGCTGTTGTATCTTTCTAGAATAGAGAGGATGTCTTCCACACGGAATTTCATTTTCTGCTTTTAAGATCACAAAGGTCAAGATGACCTTCTTACACCTGTTGTTTTTTAAGTGTCTTTAACTTATATAATCAATATGCCAGAATAGCGTGGTTTTTGTTTGTTTGTTTTGAGATGGAGTCTCGCTCTGTCACCCAGGCTGGAGTGCAGTGGTGCAATCTTGGCTCACTGCAACTTCTACCTCCTGGGTTCAAGAGATTCTCCTGCCTCAGCCTCCTGAGTAGCTGGGATTATGGGCGCCCGCCACCACGCCTGGCTAATTTTTGTATTTTTAGTAGAGATGGGGTTTCACCATGTTGGCCAGGCTGGCCTCAAACTCCTGACCTCAAGTGATTCACCTGCCTTAGCCTCCCAAAGTGCTGGAATTACAGGCCTGAGCCATTGTGCCAGGCCTAGAATAGCGTGGTTTTTTTTTGTTTTCTTTTTTTTTGAGATGGAGTTTTGCTCTTGTTGCCCAGGCTGGAGTGCAATGGTGCAGTCTCGGCTCACTGCAACCTCTGCCTCCCAGGTTCAAGCAATTCTCCTGCCTCAGCCTCCCAAGTAGCTGAGATTACAGGCATGCACCACCACACCTGGCTAATTTTTTGTGTTTAGTAGAGACAAGGTTTCACCATGTTGGTCAGTCTGGTCTCGAACTCCTGACCTCAAGTGATCCACCCACCTCGGCCTCCCAAAGTGCTGGGATTACTAGCGTGCAGCACCGCACTGAATAGCGTATTTTAACCACTTCAGTTGGAATATATAAAGTGTAACTTAAGACTTGCTTATACACTTTATATATGTCGTGGTTCTTGTGACATCTATTATTGGCCTGTGCAAAGGGCTTTTTTTTTCTTTTGTAACTATGGATAAATTACCTAACTCTGTGTGGGAAATAATAGTACCTATATTAAGGGTTGTTGTAAGGATTAAAAGTGGGAAAGATTAAGTTGAGGTAGATTTAGTATAATTCAGTTATGTATTTTTTCCATTTATTAGTTTTTAAAGTTATAAAAACAAGTTAACAAATCAATATACTGTTCTTTATTATCTAATTTACAGTAATGCAATGTCATGAGTAGCCAAATTATAAACTATTTATAGAGCAAGGAATATAGTACAAATAATGACATTCCTTTGGTAAAATGTATCTATATGCAAGTATCAAACTCTGAGGAAATCAGACATAGAACCATTACTTTAATTTAATTTAATTTTATCTTGAGATAAGACCTTGCTCTGTCACCCAGGTTGGAGTGCAGTGGTGTGATCATAGCTCACTGCAGCCTCAATTTCCTGGCCTCCAGTGATCCTCCTGCCTCAGCTTCCCAAGTAGCTGGGTCTACAGGTGAGTGCCACCATGCTCAACTAATTTCTAAATGTTTTTTGTAGAGACATGCATGATATCACTATGTTGTCCTCAGCTCAAACAATCCTCCTGCCTTGTCTCCCCAAAGTGGTAGGATTATAGGCATGAGCCACCTCGCCCAGCCAGTTTCATTAGATATCATGAGAAAACTTTTCTTACGGATTTAATGAAAACATATAAATAAGCTGCAAAAATGAATTGATCTGGCAAGTAACATAGAATTGTGTTTTCGTTAGTGGGAAATAGACAATATTAAATAAAATGAGATAATAAAGATAAGAATTGACAAATATTGGAATGTTTTAAAATTTTATTTTGTTCTGCAAATGGAGTATGAATAGTTTATCATATGATTTGATACAAATATTTTATAACTACCTTGTTGAAAAACACACACCACATTTGAAAGAAATCATGTAAAAGTTTTATTGGTTTCTTTTAGCTAGTGTGTCATGAAAAGTTTGGTGATCCTAAAAACATATTTTAGTTACATTTAAGATAATCAGCTGGTTGTGGTGGCTCACGCCTGTAATCACAGCACTTTGGGAGACCAAGGTGGGAGGATGGCTTGACCCCAGAAGTTCGAGATCAGCTTGGACAACTGGTGAAACCTCATCTCTACAAAAAATAGAAAAATTAGCCTGGCATGGTGGGGCGTGCCTGTAGTCTCACCAACTAGGGAGGCTGAAGTGGGAGAATTGCTTGAGCTGGGAGGTCAATGCTGCAGTGAGCTTTGATCATGCCACTCCACTCCAGCCTGGGTCACAGTGAGATCCTGTTTCAAAAATAAGTAAGTAGGCCAGGTGTGGTGGCTCACACCAGTAATCCCGGCACTTTGGGAGGCCAAGGTGTGTAGATCACCTGAGGCCAGGAGTTCCAGACCAGCCTGGCCAACATGGTGAAACCTCATCTTTAAAAATAAATAAATAAAAGTAAATAAATAAATTAAAATAATTAACTGCTTTGGCCATTCCAACATATTTCATTCCTGCTAATGATGTGAGTTTGAGATGAGTATTGAGAATAGCTGAAAATTACTATGTATATACAGTGTTTTTGTGTTTTTTTTTTTTTTTTGAAACAGAGTCTTGCTCTGTTGCCAGGCTGGAGTGCAGTGGCACAATCTCAGCTCACTGCAACCTCCGCCTCCCGGATTCAAGCGATTCTCCTGCCTCAGCCTCCCGAGTAGCTGGGATTACAAGTGCCCGCCACCACGCCCAGCTAATTTTTGTATTTTTAGTAGAGGCAGGGTTTCACTATGTTGGCCAGGATGGTCTCAATCTCTTGACGTCATGATCTGCCTGCCTTGCTCTCCCAAAATGCTGGGATTACAGGTGTGAGCCACTGCACCTGGCTGAAAATTTACTATATTTATATATGTAAAAGAGCTATTTTTTAGCATTTTTTAAACAGATGCTCTCTTTGCTTTGCTTTCTTAAGATCAAGGCATTTGCCAATAATTCTTAGAGGATGGAAAAGGTCTTACTCCCACCACCCCACTTACCATATATTTTATTCATGAAGACCATAACAACAAGAGCCAAAATACCCCATTCCTAAAGCCAAGTTTCACTCTTTTTTTTTTTTTTTTTTTTTTTTTAGATGGAGTCTCGTTGTGTAGCCCAGGCTGGAGTGCAGTGGCGCTATCTCAGCTCACTGCAAGCTCCGCCTCCCGGGTTCACGCCATTCTCCTGCCTCAGCCTCCCGAGTAGCTGGGACTACAGGCGCCCGCCACCACGCCCGGCTAATTTTTTATATTTTTAGTAGAGACGGGGTTTCACCGTGTTAGCCAGGATGGTCTCGATCTCCTGACCTCGTGATCCGCCCACCTCGGCCTCCCACAGTGCTGGGATTAGAGGCGTGAGCCACCGCGCCCGGCCTTCACTCTTAACAGAAGTATGTGAAAGATAGAAAAAGACTGGTTCCTTTTTGATTGTTGAAGATTTCACCTTCGTCTGATGTCTTGGTGGGTATTTATCTGATGGTGCCATAAAATAAGATTTCAGGTGAAGAACGGGTATGCTTTCGTTTTTGAAAAGTTGGAGAAGAGCTATTGTGAACATGGGTGCTTTCCCAAGCAGGCTGATTTTAGGAAAGAGAATACATTGAAGTTGAGGATCAGATTTCCACAAAGCTATCTATAATTGAGCACCTCTTGGAAAGCATTTTGTACTCCCAACAGCATGGGAATCCCCAGTTTGAAGACCACTGGGGTAGACTCAAAAATGGCTAACCATGCCTTAAGAAAATATTGCCATCTAGTGGCAACTACTCAAGACATAGGCATAAAGACCTAAATGGTCCCTTGACCCTTTGAAGGACACCTCTGTGTGATTCAGCCACAAGGAGCAAAATATCTCATATTTATATTGTACGTTTACTTAACATTACTCTTTCTATATATATTGTGTTATCTAATATTCCAAGCAAGCCCTTAAGATGCACATGCTCTTTCCTGTTATAGATGAGGCATTTGAGGAACACAGAGAGTAATTTATCCAAGATCATATTTCCATTTATTTATTCCAGATCCATTTATCAGGCACTATTACATGACTGGCATTATTCTAGGCTTGAAGAAGGGGCATGGGTTATGGGTGAACTGAAAGATGACTAAGACACATGTCCTTATGTCATTCACAATCTAATGGGGACACAAAACTATGAATGGGGCAATCAGGACTTGTATCTTGGACTGCTAATGTGTATCAGTGTCCTCACTGTACCATGGTACAGTAAACATAAATGTCAGACTGGTGCTCGAGTGATCCTGGGAGTCCTTGCAGTCACATGAAGCCAGTATCAGAGGAGTGTGGTGTCCAAGCAAAATGAGTCACTGAATTAAAATGTCATTTGAACAGAGTGCCTGCCCTTCCCTCCCCTTCTAATCTGTTGCTTGTAATTTGCTGTTGGCTTGGAAACCCAATAAGGAAATTTATTAAAAGAGTATTTAAGATGAAAGAAAATTATCTGAATGAAAATCCCAGAAGCTCCCCGATGAGTGTTGTATATGAGCTTTGGAGCATAAACTTGACTTCTGCTTTGGCCATTCTTGGGACTTTCTTAAGATGGCCTGTCTCTGAGCTGAGGCCAGGTAGCTGAGTTAGGCAGTGAGCTGTGAGTGGGCAGTGTTATGTTCGAATCGATAATCGTGCTGTAACGGGCACAACATGTTAGGAAAGACCCACATTCTCAAGACATGTTGGCCTCCCCAGCCTCACCTTCAGGATCTTTCCCAACTCTGTGCACTGCAGAAATTGATGTTCTTTCTGTTTTTTGAACATTCCAAGTTCTTGCCTAACTCAGGCCTTTGTAATATTTCTCCTTCTCCTTTACTCTTCACATGCCTGGCTCTTTATCTTTCAGGATTCAGCTTAAATGTCACCTTTTTAGAAAGCCCCTCATCGACTGCTCTACCACATTAATACAGGGTCCTGCACCTAATCTATATGCTCTGCCAATACCTTGTTGTATCCTAAAAATGTCCTATTGACATTTTTCTATGCTAACTGAAACTGAAGCACTTAACCCCTTCTAACTAATACTATTTTGTCTACATCTTTATTGGTCTATCTCCCTCCACCAGAAAGTAAGCCTTGTGAGGACAGGGGTTGTGTCTATTTGGCTCATTTCTGTATCCCTACCACCTAGAAGAGACTTGGCATGTGGTAGGCCCTCAGTAAATATCAGTGAATGAATTGAATGAACACTCTTTCCCTCTTTGTCTCAGTGGCCATTCTCAGTAAATGCAGCCAGACGGCCAGACTGGCCTGGTTTTCTTAAATAGATTCTGACAGTTTTACTTGGCAGCTCATGAAGCAGGACTGCTGTGTGCCTTTGTTCCAGGAAATGGACTTCAAGTCACCTTCCCAGGGCCCAAGCTTCTTTGGGACAGGAAATCAGGCATTGATTAGGTACATAAAGTTGGGGCTTCCTAAGTCTACACCGCCATATCTTTGGTTAACTCTGGGTAAGAGGTCATAGTTCTGTTAGCTCTCCTCCATTCCTAACCACAACTGCACCTCTGTAAGGAGCCGGTTCTCTGGCCTTTGTGCCACAGATCACTGCAGCAGGGTGGCCCTGGGGCGAGTGGAGCTTCCCTCACTCATCCTTCCCTGCTTCTGGATAAACAATGCCAAGTTCATCATGCCCTGCTGGTATTAAGTCAAGAGTGGATGTCTTGTGAAAAGAACCATATGTCTCCTGTGAAGGGCTGAAAATGGACTGTTGAGAACCAATTTCCAGTGAGAGCCATGGGACCTAGGAAGAACCAAGGTCACTGAGCTCAGGGACTTTGGGAGACATCCATGAAGGTCCAGTTCATATGCAGTACTACTCTAAACATAGCAATGAAGAATCCCTGCCCTCTTAGAGGGAGGGGTGGGGCTGAATACTTCCCTTGCTAAGGAGCTATCAGTCAGCATCCTATCCCTGCCTCCAGAGCAGCCAGTCTTGCTGGGATTATGGCCTGCAGCCTCCAGTCTCCACTGCTTCACTTTCTGTTCACTTCTTCTAAACTCACTACCTTTCCAAATTCAATGCATACTCTCTCTTCCTCACTTACTGCAATCCACTTTTGAGTTCGTTGGATGGGGTAAGTACTTCCCACCCCAGGTCTTTGCACACTTTGGATGGAATAAATATTTCCCGTGTTTTTGCACACACTGTTCTGCCTCTACCTCCATAAAAAGGCACTTCTCCTCAATTAACATTGTTCTACCACCTTGTGGCTTCTGTTTTCACCTGTTAAGCAACCCAAACTGCATTTGCCAATGAATCAAAGGTGTATCTGTTTCTAAATGTGTGGATGCGTGTAGGGAGAACTGATGTTTTGTGAATGTTATCCTATCCAAGAGCATGGGAGACCTTCCCATTTGTTCCAAGTTTTTGCTGTGTTCCTGAGGAAAATTTTAAAGTTTTCATCATATAGACCTTGTACAATTCTTGGCAAGTCTATTCCTAGGAATTTTTAAATTTTTATTTTTGAGACAGGGTCTCACTGTGTTGCCCAAGCTGGAGCAGTGGCATGATCATGGCTCACTGCAGCCTCAACCTCCTGGACTCAAGCGATCCTCCCACCTCAGCCTCCTGAGTAGCTGGGACTATAGGGATGCACCACCACGACCCGCTAATTTTTGTATTTTTTTTTGTAGAGACGGGGTTTCACTATGTTGCCCAGGCTGGTCTTGAACTCTGGGCTCAAGTGATCTGCCCACCTCAACCTTACAAAATGCTGGGATTATAGTCATGAGCCACCATGCCTGGTCTGGGAATTTACGTTTTTTGTTGCTATTAAAAATAGTGTCTTTCCCCCACTATATCTAATTGATTGCTATTTGCATACATAAAAGATAATTGGTTTATAGACATTAATAGAATATTTGTTTTGTTTATAGTGGATTTTATATTTGATTCTGTTGGGTTTTCTAGATATATAATAATAGAATCTATGTAAATAGCGATACTTTATAACTTTTTTCCAGTTTTGATACCATGAGTTCTCTTCTCTTGTCTAACTGCATTGACTAACACATCTAGAAAGATGTTAAATAACATGGTGATAGTGGGCATCCTGTCTTGTTCCTAAGTTTAGTGAGAATGCTTCCCTTGCTTCCCCCTTAGGCATAAAGCTGAGTTTTTGGTTGTGCATTAATATGTTGAGTCTGTCCATATCTATCTTCACTGCTGTCATCTTAGTTCAAGACACCATGATCTTTCACCTGGACTACTGTAATAGCTCCCTAGTTTTCATTTTCTTTTCTTTTCTTTTCTTTTTTTTTTTTTTTGAGACGGAGTCTCGCTCTGTTGCCCAGGCTGCAGGGCAGTGGTGTGATCTCAGCTCACTGCAACCTCCGCCTCCCGGGTTCAAGCAGTTCTCCTGCTTCAGCCTCCCGAGTGGCTGGGATTACAGGCAAGTGCCACCACACCCAGCTAATTTTTGTAGTTTTAGTAGAGATGGGGTTTCACCATGTTGGCCAGGATGGGCTCGATCTCTTGACTTCATGATCCGCCCACCTTGGCCTCCCAAACATCTGGGATTACAGGCGTTTGCCACTGTGCCTGGCCTCATTTTCATTCTTGTTCTTTCCAGTTTATTCTCCACATAACAGCTGGAGTTTTCATAAAAATGAAAATGTGATCATGTTGTTTCTCTCTTACAACTTTCCAGTGGCTTCTCATTTCTTGTCGGAGAAAGTCTAAAATCCTTAATGCGATCCACAGGCCCTGCATGATTTGACCTCCACGTGCATTTCCAGCTTCATTGTGTACCCTCTCTTGCTCACTTCCCACAGTCCAGCTCACAAAGGCCTTTCAGTTCCTTGAGCGTGATAAGTTTCTCCCACCTCCAGACTTGGCACGCGCAAAAGTTCTTTCTCTATCTCTCTGCTTAGCTAACCTCATCCTACTTAACCTTTGCATTTCAGCTTCTTACTCACTTCCTCAGGAAGACCTTCCCTAACACCTCAGACAAGGTGTTATATATTCTCATTGCACCTTCTTCTTTTCTTTTATAGTCCTTTTCACCACGGCATGCTTAAATATAACCATTTATACCATTTTTTAAAATTGCCTGTCCTGCTGGATTGTGAATTGGTCTAGTACCTGGTACATAGTCAATTCTCAAGAACTATTCATTAAATACATTAATATAAAGTATTATAATATATTGAGGACAGAAGAACTGCATTCCTGGGGTGTTTTTTGTTTGTTTTATTTATTTATTTTTTTTAAAAGGAGTCTTGCTCTGTGGCCCAGGCTGGAGTGCAGTGGCGTGAGCTTGGCTTACTGCAAGCTCCGCCTTCTGGGTTCAAGCGATTCTCTTGCTTCAGCCTCCTGAGTAGCTGGGATTACGGGCACGTGCCACCATGCCCGGCTAATTTTTGAATTTTTATTAGAGATGGGGTTTCTCCATGTTGGCCAGGCTGGTCTTGAACTCCTTACCTTAAGTGATCCACCTACCTTGGCCTCCCAAAGTGCTGGGATTACAGGCATGAGCCACTGCACCCAGCCACATTCTTGAGTTTTTATATAAAAAATCTCAAGTTCTGTGACTGCACAATCATGAGTGAGTGGTGTCTTTGCAGGGGAAATATGAAATGATACCAAAGCAAACAGATTAGAAAATGGGCACATATTATTACATCAGATAATAAAGTATTTGACATTATCTACTGAGGTCATGTCAAAAGGACTCCAGAGCTAACCTGAAGATGCTCCCATTGGCCAAAGATGGAACAAGCTGTATAATAAGTGCAATAGATAGAGACATATCAAGTATGTTTATCTTACAATGATATCAAGCAAATTCAAACTCAGAGTTAACCTTCTGGAGGATGGTGGGGAACTAGCTTATTCTTTTGAAAACTGGCAAAAAAGAGAAAAAATCAAGCATTTATTTTGCCTTTCCTACATTAACTTTACCTCCATGTAACTGAATAGTTAATGAGGGAAATTGACTTTTTAAAGGATGCATTCCAGGTAATAAATGAAGAAAAATGATAGAATTAAATCAGCACAGTTTTGCAACCTAGATTGCATTAACAGATCTAGCCAATGATTATCAATAACTGATGACATCATTATCTGGTACTTTAACTGAATAGAAGTATACGATACAATGTATAAAATGTCTTGTAAGAAAAGAAAAAGTGAAACCTGAATCTGATCAAGACTCTAGGTCTAACTCCCATTTACAGAAAATAAAGGAGACAGAGGAACATGTTGTTTTATACCACAGGGATGCAATGAGCAAAGTCTAGACTCTGAGAAATTACAAGACAGAAGACTTGGTTTCTTCTACAAAAAGCTGTGAGGAGTAAAAGGAGATATAGAAGAGGATGTAAAGATTTAAAGACTTAAAAAGATGTATCAACCATGTGTGTTGTATGGACCTAGTTTTTTAATTTATACATTTCAAAAATTTGTATTTCTTAGGGATGGGGGGTCTCTCTCACTGTCACCCAGGCTGGAGTACAGAGGCACTATCATAGATCAATGTAGCTAGCCTCAAACTCCAGGGCTCAAGTGATCCTCCCAACTAGCTGGGACTACACATCCGGGCCACCATTCCCTGCTAATTTTTTTTTTTTTTTTGAGACGAGATTTCACTACATTCCCCAGTGTGGTCTTGAACTCCTGGGCTCCAGTGATCCTTTTGCCTCAGCCTCCCCAGCATCTGGGATTACATGTGCAAGCCACTGTGCCCAGCATGTATGGACCTTATTTGGATGCCTGGATTTTTGAAGACACTAAGGAGTTATTGGATTTTTAATTTGTTATTATGGTATTATGCTTAACATTATTTTAAAAGAGCATCCCTATCTTTTAGAGATACATAGGGAAATATTTACAAATGAAATTATGTGATATCTGGAATTTGAGTCTAGTTAATCCTGGGTGGAGAATGTGGGTAGGGGAGACAAAGACACCAAGATAGCCTATGAATTGAAAATTGTTAAGGCTGCTTGATGAGTTCTTGGAGATTGACCCTATCAATCTGCTTCTTTTACATAAGTACAACAAGTCAAAATTTAAAAAATTAATAGAAGCAGGACGGTGGCCACGGACATCAGAATCCACTAAGGACTGTGTAACAACTCACCTGCTGACAAAATTAATAGAAAAGAGAAAGACAGCATTGCTCCTGGCCTTCAATATATCAGACTCAGAGCTAATGCCAAAATTCCAAGAAGCATTTTTAAAAGCAACACAAATCTGGTGTTGAATGTCTACATCTTGACAGTTTGAGGCTTGAAGGAGCAGTTGTTCCTCATGGACGGTGGGGAGCCACAGGCAGAGCTGACTTTAGAAGCTCAGGGCGTTTTGTCCTGGTTGCATCCAGACGATCCAGACAGCAGGGACAGGAAGTAATGACAACAAAGACTTATTCCATTTGAGTATTGTCCTGTAGTACTTGGATTTCCAAGAAGAAACTTGGATTCAGGGCAATCCTTTTTGCCCAAGCCTTTTTAATTTTTGGCTCTCGTTCCAGCGCTCTCACAATAATGAGCAGCACAATTCATGAGAGTAAACTGGATTTTTATTGAATGAAAGTAAAGAACACAACTATTCAATGTAGACCAGAGCTCTCCAGTAGAACTTTCAATGATGATGGAAAAGTTTTATCTGCACTGTAATATGGTAGCCACATATGGCTACTGAGGACTTAAAATATGACTAGTGTGATTAAGAAACTGAATTTTAAATTTTATTTAATTTTAACTATTTTAAGTCAAAGTCTCCTGTGGCTAGTGGCTACGGTACTGGAGAGCACAGTTTGACTGTATGTAATATATATAGTAATTGCTTCCTTAATACTTTCTGTTGTTAACTCCACCACAAAGAATGCCTTATTCCTGTTAGCTGAACAGGTCAGTCAACATTAATTTTAGTAGACATTCTTCTCCTATTCCTATTCCAACTCCTATATTTAAAAAACCACCCAACCCCCCAAAAACAAAAAACAAAAAAACTAAAGATTTTTGTTTTCCCTTTTCCATAAATCCTCCAGGAGACAAATAGGTGTATGCAATAGTGCTGAAAAGGACTATTTATCTATTTAACAATCTGCAAATCTGGCAGCCCCCAGAATGAGGAGAGGTTCTGAGCAACTCCTGAAAGGGTCTAATCCACACTTTCCATCTTACATAACATATTAATGTAACAAATATTTAATGAGAAGCTACACTCCCAGCCACTGTGTCTATTGACTGTAATGGATGCTGTAGTACGCTGCCCAGATATCCTCCATCAGGAGGAAGGCACTCATTCTCCCCGCAGCTGGGTGTATTGATCCTAACACCTCCAACTATGGGGATCATATCTCAACATGAGGTTTGAAGGGGACAAACATCCAAACCATAGCAGGGATATAAAAGCCAGACCCACTTGCTGAAATTTGTGACAACCCTGATAGGCCATTCCAGGCCCAGAGCTCCCCATGGGATGGCCGAGGCCTTTGTTGCAACTATATTTTCAACTTGTCCCTTTGCCCATCCAAGCCCCTAGAGTTATTCCCAAATCCACATCTCCATTACAGACAGACCTGATTCCAACCCTCAAGGAAATTATACTGTTCTGGCAGGGGTGCAGAAATTGAAATCCAGAGAAGTTTAAGGACTAGCCCAATGTCAGGCCGCTTATTCATGGCAGTCAGGACCAGAATCCATTTTCCTGGCATTCGGTGTAGCGCTCTTCCTACTGTACCATGTGGCCTTATTAATAAAGCACATTGCACCAGGAAATCTCAATCTGCCCTTGGAACCTGTATTAAGGGAATAAGATATCTTTCTAAAATGTTAAGTTGGGCAATAGACAAATTGACTCCACTGGGAGCAGCACTTCTCTCTTTCTCTCCTTTTAGGGAAATGCTTCCCTCCTCCTCTAAACACAGGATCCTCAGGGAAGTTTCTCTTTTCTTATATTTTTAAAATAAAAAAAATCTAAATACCTTTTTTTTTTTTTAATAGGGTCTCTGCTACTCAGGCTGGAGTGCAGTGGCACGATCACAGCTCACTGCAGCCACATTCTCCTAAGCTCTGGAAGATCCTCCCACTTCAGCCTCCTGAGTAGCTGAGACTACAGGCACGCACAACTATGCTTGGCTAATTTTTGTAAATTAGCCAAGACAGGGTTTTGCCATGTTGCCCAGGCTGGTCTTGAACTTGTGAGCTCAAGAGATCTGCCCGCCTCAGCCTCTCAAAGTGGGATTACAGACGTGAGCCTCTGCAGCCAGCCAACTTTCTTCTTAAATAGCCCAGATCCATTGACCACAAGGGTTGGTTGCGAGGTGGGTGCCAATCCTAGTAACCTGACCATTGATGGTCCAGAGATGGGCACATGACCCAAACCAGGTCAATCAGTACCTTTCCCAGAGTTATTCTTAAACTACAGCCAAAACTTAAGTAGGCACTGTCATCCTGGTGGGAAGATAGGAGAATGTGAGGTTAGTGGATAAATTGTCACCTTGGGAATAAGTTGGGTTGAAAGAGACTTCCCTGGAGAGGGAAGTGAAGAGAGAGAGGGATGGGAAGTCCTGATAGCAATGTGTCCCTCTTTCAGACATCCCTAAGGCCAGTGCCTCTCTCACCCTACCTAAGAACTTAATTATCTGAGCAAATGAATTTTCTCCTTTTTGCTTAAGCCAGTTCAATCTTTCAATCTGGATTTCTGTCCTGTTGTCCTACCACCTTAGCAAATTGATCCCAATTTTCCTTTTTGCCTTGTCATCTGTGTTCTGCATACTCCTTTTTATATAGCTTGCATTCATTAACATAGAATTTTGTATTCTGCTTTTTCATGTGCATTTACTTCATTCATATTTTCCCACAGATGACACGATGGCCATAAATTAGTAATCCTGACAAGTTAATATACCACAATCTACTTAACTGCCTCCCAACTATGGAATATTTAGGCTTTTTGCTTTTTATCCTTATTATACTTAACACTACAATGACCAAATCGGTGTACATAGTTTCATTCTTCTGTTGAATTAATTCTTAAATATCCAAGAGTAGGATTGCTGAGTTCAAGCGTATAAACACTTTCATGGTTTTTGACAGAAAAGTGAATAATTTTTACATTTGAACATTTGGAAAAAGTTTGTTTAGATGTCAAGTGTAGAGAAACTCTCAGTGTTTGTTTGTTTGTTTTAACAGGTCTTGCTCTGTCACCTAGGCTGGAGTGCAGTGATGTGATGATAGCTTGCTGCAGTCTTGAACTGCTGGGCTCAGGGGATCCTCCTGGTGCAGCCTCCCAAGTAGCTGGGACAACAGATGCGTGCCATCACACCAGGCTTGTTTTTGTTTTTGTTTTTGTTTTAAATTATTTGTAAGACAGAGTCTTGCTATGTTGGCCAGGTTGGCCTTGAACTCTTGGTCTTAAGGAATCCTCCCACCTTAGCCTCCCAAAGTGCTGGGATTATAGGCATGAGCCATCGTGCCTGGCCAGAACTCTGCGTTTAAAGTTGAGAGCCTTGGGTCATGCCCTCCTGCCCTGCTTTCAGCCCTGGAGTAATTGCTGCTGTTGCTCATCCAGAACATGCATCCAGGTGAGAAGAAGCATCTGAGGGCCATGGTAACTGCTGTACTGAATTTTTGCTTTGCTCAGGAGTGGAGATCCAGAGTTTGGTGTCGGGCTTTCACAAAGGAAAGGGAGGTAGGGAGGGGCCAGATGCACCAGAAGGGGGTTTCAAAATACCAAGTTCTCCCTATCCACAGCCAGACTCAGAATCTCATGAAGGTGAGTAACCCCTCCACAAGGGATTGTGGTAACAAGTCTCTAATAACTCTTATTATAGCTTCCCATCACACCTTGGATTTTTCCTTCATAGCACTTATTATTGCAAATTATTTTTTTATTTTTTTTTTTTTTGAGACGGAGTCTCGCTCTGTCACCCAGGCTGGAGTGCAGTGGCACGATCTTGGCTCACTGTAAGCTCTGCCTCCCCGGTTCATGCCATTCTCCTGCCTCAGCCTCCCAAGTAGCTGGGACTACAGGCGTCCGCCACCGTGCCCAGCTAATTTTTTTTTGGTATTTTTAGTACAGACTGAGTTTCATCGTGTTAGTCATAATGGTCCCAATCTCCTGACCTCGTGATCCACCCGCCTCGGCCTCCCAAAGTGCTGGGATTACAGGCATGAGCCACCGCGCCCGGCCAATAATGAATTCTTAAGAGGGTGTTAATTTAAGGATTACTTCAGCAGAAGGCAAAAGCTATCCACATTATATTGTCTGTAAGCTCCCTGAGAGCAGGGATTCGTGTCCTTTTTGTTCACCCCTGCATCCAAAGTACCTAAAAAGGGCTCGATACATAGTAGGCACTGAACAAATATTTGTTGGAATGAAGAAATAAGTGAATTAACATAATAAAAGGAATGAGATTAACTATTAGTAGCTGGGACCACAGGCACACACCACCATGCCTGGCTAGTTTTTGTATTTTTAGTAGAGATGGGGTTTTACCATGTTGCCCAGGTTGGTCTCAAACTCCTGAGTTCAAGCGATCTGCCCACCTCAGCCTCTCAAAGTGCTGGGATTACAGGTGTGAGCCACCACGCCCGGCCTTAAAATTCTTAAGGAAGTTTATTTGTGAGCATTTCCCCAATGCTGATATATATTGATGTTAAATCAGCCTTTTGCATATTTTATAATAAAAGACTAACATATCCAAATAAAAAGATTAATTCACAGAGACTTTTTCTGACTGTGTAAGTGAGAAATTATTCTGGCGTTTAGTCAGCCAGATTAGAAAGAGCTCTAGAT
Source organism: Homo sapiens (assembly GCF_000001405.40). Lineage (NCBI taxonomy): Eukaryota > Metazoa > Chordata > Mammalia > Primates > Hominidae > Homo > Homo sapiens. Next base: position 61,670,082 of record NC_000002.12, read on the forward strand.
TAGGAGTCTAGATTAGCTGAGATACCTAGTTCTTATTCCAGCGCTGCTCTCAAACAACCTGCTAGATCGTTAGGAGCCTTTCTGAGCCTCTGGGACTTCTTTTTTTTTTTTGAGATGGAGTTTTGCTTTTGTCGCCCAGGCTGGAGTGCAGTGGCGCCATCTTGGCTCACTGCAACCTCCAACTACCAGGTTCAAGTGATTCTCCTGCCTCAGCCTCCTGAGTAGCTGTGATTACAGGCTCTCACCACCATGCCTGGATAATTTTTTTGTATTTTTAGTAGAGACAGGGTTTCACCATGTTGGCCAGGCTTGTCTCGAACTCCTGACCTCAGGTGATCCACCTGCCTCGGCCTCTCAAACTATTGGGATTACAGGTGTGAGCCACCACGCCCAGCCAACCTCTGGGACTCCTTATATTGGGCGAGAAGATTGAATTTAAAAGACTACTAATAATTGCTACTAGTGGGATAGCCAGTGGTGCTTTTGTGAAAGCACATTTAGTATCTAAGAATGGCATAAGTAGCTGTGAACATGAAGAACTGGTTAATACATTCATTGCTGTGGCTAGTACAGTCTTGAGATCATTACAGGGAAGTGGATGCTAAAATACAAAGTTCACATTTCATGAACTTGAATCATGATTGCTCTTTGGCTGAGCAATTCAAAAGGCTCTCTCAGAACAGGTTCAGTAAAGCCCACTTATATTTAATGCTGCTGGAGAAGAAAAGTGAAATGTCATGAAAGATATACTGAAATTAACCCAAGGCAGACCCTTTGCTATTTGCAGGTCTATAGTAGGACCATTTTACTTACTAGCTTTGTTCTGTGACCTTATAAGTGTCTCTTGAGCTTCCAGCACTCGATTTTTCCCTCAGATACATTTCCCCTGTACTGCTTATCTTGTAAAATTAACTACTGTGTAACAGATGTATGAGCCAAAGCTAATTTTATGAGAAACTTGAGTGAAAGGAAATCAATCTTTCAAGGTCCCTGAAGTCCTAAGATCATAAAGAAAAGGCTAAAGAAGTAGTTTCTGGCTTTTTGCTTTTGATTTCCTTCTTAGTTTCAGTTTTCTTTTTCTGAATCTCTCTCCCCAGATCTTCCCTGGCATATATAGATGCTCATAAACAAAACAATGACAAACACTGGGCTGTTAGAAAGGTCACAGCCCTGGCTGCCAAAAGACACAGTCAGGCTTGCTTGTTAGTGGAAATTTACAAATGATAATGCGCTGCCACTTTTGCTTTAAGAGCTACTCCCACTTGGGGACCTGAAACTGTAGTCTCCAACACAGCAAAAATTGACTAATTATTTGATTTACCGGGAGGAGCCCTACTGATCAAGTTCATTTACAGTTATTAGTTCATTCTACACACTGTCACAGTTTACTTTTGGCAACCACAGAAACTTAGTACTTTCAAGTGGCAAAAATTATATTATTGTTGAGTTACAAAATCATGGGCTATCCCCATTACCGTAAACCTAATCTTAACTCATGCTGAAGTTTAAAATTCTAAATTGTTTTCAGTTTTCCTCCTGGTTATGAGATTTTGTGTGTGTATGTGTTATGTAAAACACAAATCTAATGACTGTTTTGAAAAGATCTAGGCAAAGGGTCATGACAACAATTCAGCTATTTAGCACAACTCTCTGTAAACAAATCACCAGAGAAAGGCTTAAAGTGAAGTAATAATTCCGGCTCATTGTCAGTGAATAAACACCAGACAGCTATAGACATGTTTAATGCATTCCTGCACTCTCTTCAAATACAAATTAATACAAAATAGCATTTTGTGACTTGAAGTAATTGCCCACATGGCTGAGCTGTGTATCTCCAGGAGCTGAATAATTTAAGCGTGGATTTATGTATGGAACATGCAATGCTCTGAATAAATATTTTGAAATGAACATTTATTTCACAGAAGAGGCAAGGAAAGTGGAGAATAAATGCTGGCAAGGGAGACACTAGACACAAGTGACAATAGTGCAAGCCAAACTGTGCTCTGCTAGAGGTGTAAACAAACTACCGCCTCAGCACCAAGGAGGGACAATTTAATTCAGATGGGAGCACAAGCATCCCAGAGAAAGGGAAGTCATGCCTGGGCTTCCCGGGAAGATGAGTATTATTTTGATTAATACAGGAGGAGGGAAGACATTCCAGTGAGAGGAATGGTGGAGGGAGTGAAATAGAACGAAAAGCATCACCTAGGATAATTCTGGGTGAGGGAAGGGTGGATGGGAATGGTAGAGGTGAAATTGTGGGGCTAGGGGCTCATTTTGAAGAGCCTTGAATGTTGTCCTAAAAAGCATGAATCCATTAAAGAAAAAAAATTTTCTTGATGACATTTTTGTATCATTTTTTAAATTGAAAAATAAATAAGGCTGGGTGCAGTGGCTCATGCCTGCAATCCCAGCACTTTGGGAGGCCGAGGCGGGCAGATCATTTGAGGCCAGGAGTTCAAGACCAGCCTGGGCAACATAGCGAAACCCCATCTCTACCAAAAATGCAAAAAAATTAGCCAGACATGGTGGCACACACCTGTAATCCCAGCTACTCGGGAGGCTGAGGCAGGAGACTAACTTGAGCCTGGGAGGCAGAGGTTGCAGTGAGACGAGATCTTGCCACTGCACTCCAGAATGGGCGACAGAGTGAGACTCCGTCTCAAAATAATAATAATAATAATGATGATAAGAATAATCATAAACATAAACATTTAAATACTATGAAAAGTAGTGAAAAATACTCGGAGAAGTAAAAAGTTAGTTTTTTTTTCTTTTTCTGTCTTTATTTTTTATTTTTGCCTTACAGATTTCTAGGAATATAAAAAAGTTTTTTATATAATAATTCCAGGCCCGGCGCAGTGGCTCATGCCTGTAATCCTAGCACTTTGGGAGGCTGAGGTCAGGAGTTCAAGACCAGCCTGGCCAACATGGGGAAACTCTGTCTCTACTAAAAATACAAAAATTAGCCAGGCATGGTGGCAGGCGCCTGTAAACCCAGCTACTCGGGAGGCTGAGGCAGGAGAATTGCTTGAACTTACAAAAAATACAAAAATTAGCCGGGCATGGTGGCACACACCTATAATCCCAGCTACTTGGGAGGCTGAGGCACAAGAATTGCTTGAGCCTGGGAGGCGGGGGTTACAGTGAGCTGAGATTGCGCCACTGCACCCCTGCCTGGATGACAGAGTGAGACTGTCTCAAAAAAAAATGTGTATATATATATATATATATATACACACATTATATATATATATATAAATATATATGTATATACATGTATATATATATATACGTGTACACATATATATATATATATATACACGTGTGTGTGTGTATATATATATATATATATATATAATGAATTCCACAATTCCAGAGATAACCATTGTTAGGGCAAATGAGTATTACTAAAATTTATTTTATTTTATTTTATTTTTTGAGTCAAAGCCTGGTTCTGTCATTGAGGCTGGAGTGCAGTGCCCCTATATTGGCTCACTGCAACCTCTACCTCCTGGGCTCAAGCCATTCTCCCATCTCATCCTCCCAAGTAGCTGGGCCTACAGGCACATACCACCACACCCAGCTAATTTTTGTATTTTTTGTAGAGATGGGGTTTTGCCATGTTGGCCAGGCTGGTCTCTAACTCCTGGCTTCAAGTGATCTGCCTGCCTCAGCCTCCCAAAGTGCTGGGATTACAGGCGTGAGCCACTGTGCCTGGCCTTGGAATTTTAATAATTATTGCTACATTTCCCTCTAAAAAGTTTGTATCTATTAATACCCTCACCAATAGTGGATGAGGTTGCTTGTTTTCCCACATATTTGCCAACATTGGATATTTTCATTCTTTTAAATCTTTGCTGGCCAGGTGCAGTGGCTCATGCCTGTACTCCCAGCACTTTGGGAGGCCGAGGCGGGTGGATCACCTGAGGTCAGGTGTTCAAGACCAGCCTGACCAACATAGTGAAACCCCATCTATACTAAAAATACAAAAATTAGCTGGGCATGGTGGCTCACGCCCATAGTCCCAACTACTCAGGAGGCTAAGGCAGGAGAATCGCTTGAATCTGGGAGATGGAGGTTGCAATGAGCTGAGATCACATCATTGCACTCCAGTCTGGGCGACAGAGCAAGGCTGTCTCAAAAAAGAAAAATCTTTGCCAATCTCATGGGAGAAAAATAACATTGAGCATCTTTTCATTTTGTGATGACCATTTGATTTCTTTGCCCCTAGTTTGAAATGTTCCCTTTATCATAACTCACCAGTGCATCCCCAGCAGCTAGCACATAGGAAGCTCTCAATAAATCAAGGAATGATCTATTGCTGCGCTTTTGAAGAAAAAAATGGCATGATCACGTCTGTGTTTTAGACCACTGTGCTGATGACAGTATAGAGAAAGGGCTGAGAACAGAAAACCATTGAATTCATGGTTTAATGTTGAAAGAAAAACTTTAGGCAAAGTCAATTTAATAGAGTATAATTGAGCAAAAAATGATTCACAAATTGGGCAGCACATCCCACCCCCAACTATGATAGGTTTAGAGAGACTTCTGGGGTGCCACGTGTTCTGACGGGATTTATGGACAGAAAGAGGAATGTGACACAGAAAATGGAAGTGAGGTACAGAAACAGCTGGATTGGTTATAGCCCTGATGGTTGTCTTACTTGAGCGCTGTTTGAACAGCTGGCCACCTGTGATTGGCTGAAGTATGGTTCTGTGATTGGTTGAGACTCAGCTCTTTGTTACAAGTGTAGTTTACAGTCTATTTACACATCTAGTTAGGTTTAAGTTCACTGTATGGTGTAAGCTTTTGGCCAAACTTAAAATACTTAAGAAGCTTTAGTTAAATTTAATCTATCATACCATAGTCAGAAAATCATTAAATTTTTTCAGGAAAGAAATGGCAAGTGCCTTACTTAGGGTAGTGCCATGGGGATAAAAAATGGGAATGGCTATGGAGCATGAGAGGTGTGGAATTGAGAAAGCTTGGTGCCCATTTAAGCAGGCAAGAGGATGAAAGTCAAAGATGTGTTAAAGAAGACTGGGGTTTCTAGCATCAAGGAACAAAATTACAAATTTAAAGATCTCAGTTGGCTTTGTTTGAGATTCTAGAATCAGGCAATATTTTATTCCATAAAATATAGTAGGTGTTTGGATTGAAACTGGCCTAATTGTCCCATAAAACTGATGTTTATGATTTCTTTTGAATAAACATAGAAACTGACACTCACAGTCTTAAAACTTGAGAAAGTTACATTTGTCTTATCTGAGTTCCTTTCTCAGGAAACCAACCATCAGGCCTCCCATATAGTACCAAGGAGCTGAAAGTTACCAGATCATTGCATCTGGACAAAGAGACTCAAGACTTTTTACCCATCATGATTGCCTAAATGACAACCTGCTTCCTGTTGACCAACTTATTTTCCTTACCTCTGCCTAATTCCTGTGTTTTGCATATAGTTACATTTCTTCCCTGCTACAGAAACCTCTGATTTTAGTTGGTCAGGGAGATGGATTGAAGACTGATCTCCCATCTCCTCAGATGCAGGACTTGATTCAAAGCCTTCTTCCCTGGCAATACTCAATGCCTCAATGATTGGCTGTCTGTGCACCAAGCAGCAGCACCTAGACCAAACCCTTGGCGTTTTAGTAGCATGCATGATAAGCTGAGCAGAAGAGATTGGCTTTATAGACAGAGAAAGGCTGAAGAAAGCGGAAGAGAGCAGAAGCAAAGAACACAGAATATTAGTTATTTCAAAGCAACTCTTCTTATAAGGTGGGAACAGGAGGCTAAAACAACAGAAAAACAGCTTATTAATGTCAGATTACATCAGGCTATTTCTTTTGTATAAGGATTAAAGCAGAGGGAACTTCATTATCATGTGGATTGAAGATTGAAACTGGCCTGTTCGAGGAAATTGGCTGTTATCTCTTTCTCCTGCCTTCTAGGAAGGTGAGATAAAAACTTAGTGTGGGTTTGATGACTTAGAACTTTAGCATGGGTGACTCCATTTTTTTTAGCCTTGTCTGTTGGGGCCTAGTACAGGAGCTTAGTCCAAAACAATGGCTTCCAATAATTTTTATTTCTACTAGCTTGGGTGGTTGAGTGTTTTTTTTTTTTTTTTTTTTTTGAGATGGAGTCTTGCTCTGTCACCCAGGCTGGAGTGCAGTGGCACGATCTTGGCTCACTGCAAGCTCCACCTCCCAGGTTCAGCCATTCTCCTGCCTCAGCCTCCCGAGTAGCTGGAACCTCAGGTGCCTGCCACCATGCCTGGCTAATTTTTTGTATTTTTAGTAGAGATGAGGTTTCACCGTGTTAGCCAGGATGGTCTTGATCTCCTGACCTCGTGATCCGCCTGCCTCGGCCTCCCAAAGTGTTGGGATTACAGGCGTGAGCCACTGCACCTGGCCAGTTGAGTGAATTTTGATATAGTTAATGGAAATATGGAACCCATAATGAGACCTACCTTCTCCTATCCTACTGCTTGTGATGTTGTTCTCATTTCCTCTTGCTTTAATTATGATAGTGTCCCATCAGTTTCCTTATTTTGCATCTCTGATGTATACTTTTCCACCGGAGTCCTCTGCCTGGAAGTGTGTTCAAGTTGCCCCTTTCCTCAACTACACTATTATTGTAGTCTTTTCTTTATTACCTCCATTGCCTCACTTTTTTTTTTTTTTTTTGAGATGGAGTCTCGCTCTGTGGCCCAGGCTGGAGTGCAGTGGCACAATCTTGGCTCACTGCAAGCTCCGCATCCTGGGTTCACGCCATTCTCCTGCCTCAGCCTCCCAAGTAGCTGGGACTACAGGCGCCCGCCACCATGCCTGGCTAATTTTTTGTATTTTTAGTAGAGATGGTGTTTCACTGTGTTAGCCAGGATGGTCTGGATCTGCTGACCTCGTGATCTGCCTGCCTCTGCCTCCCAAAATGCTGGGATTACAGGCGTGAGCCACTGTGCCTGGCCCCTACCTCACTTTTTTTAAACCACCACTCATCATACATTAATTCATCCACTTATTTATGAATATTTATGGAGAGCTTTCGATGTGCTAGTGTTAAATTAAGTTTAGCCTAAAGCTGTCTCTTTACATATTTTATTTTATTTATTTTTTGAAACAGGGTCTCACTCTGTCACCCAGGCTGGAGTACAGTAGCGGCAACATGGCTTACTGCAGTTTTGACCTCCCAGGCTCAGGTAATCCTCCCACCTCGGCCTCCCAGGTAGCTAGGACCACAGGTGCATGCCACTGCACCTGGCTAATTTTTTGTAGAGATGGGGTTTTGCCATGTTGCCCAGGCTGGTCTCACATTCCTGGGCTCAAGGGATCCACCCACCTCAGCCTCCCAAAATGCTGGGATTATAGGCATGAGCTGGCACACTCAGCCATATTTACATACATTAAAGGTTTCTCTGTACATAGTGAACTGTAATCTAACTGGATGTGTAAACAGACCATAACTGAAACTGTCTTTGCAAAGATTATGACAGAGAAATCTGACATGGCTGACTTGATCTTGCTTCTATCCTCAGGCTGGCTATGTCTGCTCATTCCTGGACATACGGCAAGCTAACCATGGGAATAATTTAGTATATTTATTTACTTATTTATGTTTGAGATAGGGTCTTACTCTGTTGCTTAGGCTGGAGTGTGACTTCCCCAGTTGCTTCTAGAGATAACATCACTATTGTGAACCTAAGATTGGTCTTTTGAGATGTATTTCAGACTTTTGCATTATGGCAACTGACTGACCCCACCCAGACTTGTGACTGTTGACCCAGCTGGTCCTGTGGCCCCCTACCCTGAGGTGGACTCGGCACACAAGGACTCTTTTCCACAACCCTGTGATTGCATTCCTAACCAGTCAGCAGCACCCATTCCCTAGTCCTTTGCCCACCAACCTATCCTTGAAAAACCCTAATCTCCAAGCCTTTGTGGAGACTGATTTGAGTAGTAACTCTATCTGCCATGTGGCTGGCCTGGCATTAATTAAACTCTTTCTCTACTGCAATACATGGCCTCAGTGAACTGGTTTTGCCTGTGTGATGGGCAGGGAGAATCCATCAAGTGATTACATAACCTACTCTGGTGCCAATCACCAAGTGTTGGCTAATCAAAGGTGGCCAGCTGTTCAAACTGGGTTCAAATAGGGCAAATGCCAAGCTGTAACCAATCTGTTTTTGCACCTCATCTGTACCTGACCTTTCTTTTTCTGTCCATAAAACTTCTTTGTCCAAGCAGTAGCACCAAACCCTCTCTGAACCTGTTCTGGTTTGGGGGCTTCCCAATTCATGAATTGTTCTTTGCTCAATTAAATTCTGTTAAATTTAAGTGTTGAAGGTTTTTCTTTTAACACTAGTTATGGTTCTAGGGTTTGGGGAGCACCAGCAAATAAAAGAGGCAACAATCTCTGCTTTCTTGGAATTCACATACTGTTCTACTTACTCCTTATTTCCTTTTATGTACTTCCACCATTTTCCTGGAATTTTTATTCTGAAGGTTGATGCTGACTTCAAGATCATTAAATCCAAGAGTCATTTCTTGGTCTCTTTGTGTTGACCCACTCTCTTTTCCTTTAGCTTCTTTAACTCTTGTCTCCACCTCTTCTGCTCTTCTTTCTATTCCCTGGATGCTTTATTTATGTTTCCTTCTCTGCCTTTCCTTCATTTGTTTCCCCCATCTTCCTACTCATGTTTCAAGGACCGAAGCCATGCTCACAGGGTTAACAAGAATTCTGGACAGAAATATAGTTATTATTAAGCACTAATCAGCCTGCACTTTGACTGACTTCCTTGTAAGTGAGTCTCTAGACACGGATGACACTAGATACTGTTTGCATTCCCACTGTTCCTATAGACAGGATTTCTGAAGTTAGATAAGATCTCTGATGTTAGAATCGTAAGATTTTATTTAAGAATTGCGTAAGTGAATCCTGAATTCCAGTAGACCAGCTGATGCCAATCAGTTTAAAGACCCCCCCACAGAAAAAACAAATCGGCATTAGAATATCATTTCCTCATCTTTCTCTCCCATGACTTTCCCTGCACTTGTCAGCCAATCAACAATCTCCACACTTCAGCCCACTCAAAAGCCCTTAAAATTCCTAGCCTCAGACTCCTCAGGAAGATAGATTTGAGGTTTTGTCCTGTTTCCTTGTTAGACAGCGCTACAAGTAAACACCTGTCTCTGCTGCAACACTGTGTCTCGGTGTGTTGACTTTCGGTGCACATTGAGCAATGGACCTATTAGGGCTACAGGACTAGCTCTCAGGACATTTGACTTGCACTGTAGCTACTCGGTTGTGTGTTTTATCTAGTCCATGGTTTCCTGAAGTATTTTCCATTGAACAGAAGTTCTTTAGATTGTTAATAGATGCTATATAACAAACGGGTTTGGTGATCACATTCTTTTGGGAAACTCTGAGCTTCTCTATGGCAGAACTTCTTAGAGTAATAAACATGCTCGTGAGAATTATGAACCACCTACAGAAGAAATGATATATGGTACCATGTTCCCTCATGTCTTTGATCATAGAACCTTATTTTTGAGTTGTATTTTGCAGGACTTCTGAAGAACACACTTCAGAAGACACTATGCTAGACAATAAGCTCTTTGAGAGCCAAGACCTTACTATATCTATTTGTTCATATATTCCCTAGAGAACTCCAAAGAATATTTTGGTTCTAGTAGGTATTCAATACACTTCAATAAGTACAGACTAAGTTGAAGGGATTCCAGGTACAAAAGTGAAAGGGCAGGAAAGCAGGGGTCATATTTAGGAACACTTGATTTAGTGGGGCAATAAATGATGAGGAGAAATCCTATAAACAATTATGTACCAACAAATTAGATAATTTATTCATAGAAAGATACAAGCTAACAAAAATTAACTCAAGAAGAAATAAACAATTTGAATAGGTCATAACAAGTAAATACATTTAATTAATAATAAAAAAAGCCAATCACCAAGAAAATCCTGGGCCCAGATGGCTTCACCACTGAATTATAACAAATAAAGGTACAGTAGGTACCATCAAGCCTGTGGATGGACGAATGGGAACTTTACCCATCAGTAATGGACTGCTAAAGGTTAGAAGAGGAGAATGACACAGTCAGGGCAGGCCAAATTCCTCTTTCCAAACAGAGATGCTGCTGACCTGCCTGGATCATCGACACTCCTAAACTGGGCTGGGCCAGATTGGTTCTGGATGTACTGGACACAGGTTCTGTGACATGCACTGTTTGATCAGACATGAAATTCAAGGCTGTGAGGTAGTCTCATCGTTCTGAGCAGGAATGTGGTATCAGAAATAGTCATAAATATCCTAAATCCCCAAATCGCCAGCAACAGGGCCTTAATACCACCCACTGGTCTAGAAATTAGTCTGAAAGTAGGTTATGCTGGTATGAAGTGGGCAGCTACCTGTTGCTTCAGGAAACTGATGTTACTTTGGCTAAATCAGGACAGGCTTGCTTTCATAATTTTTACTAAGGAATCAAAGCTTCTCAGAAAAATGTGACCAAAGCTCATCTCAAACTATAGCCATAAACATCACCCAAAATTGTCTTAAATATTACAAAATTCCCAAATGAGCTTTCTCCCTATACCTCTCCTTTTTTGTTTGTTTGTTTGTTTGTTTGCTTGTTTTTTGAGACAGTTTCACTTCGGTTGCCCAGGCTGAAGGTGCAGCGGCGTCATCTCGGCTCACTGCAACCTCTGCCTCCTGGGTTCACGTGATTCTCCTGCCTCAGCCTCCCGAGTAGCTGGGACTACAGGTGCATACCACCACACACAGCTAATTTTTTGTATTGTTAGTCAATACGGGGTTTCACTATGTTTCCCAGACTGGTCTCGAACTCTTGACCTCGTGATCCATCTGCCTCAGCCTCCCAAAGTGCTGGGATTACAGGCATGAGCCACCGTGCCCAGCCTCCATTTTTAATACTATAGGAATATTGATTAAATATGAACACAGATACTTTGTCTCACAAAATATCTTCTGCACATTGTCTGACTTCTATTCAATATATTATCACTGTTTGTATGTTAATTCCTGATCTTCAGTAAAACAGGAATGTGACCTCTGATACTGAGCCGGCTTACTTTGAGGCATTCAATGAATATCAGTATGACTTTTCTTTCATGTTCTTCTCACTACTATCTTTCTGTTTGGCAATCTCTGTGGCAAATATAATGTTTCATTTCCCTTACTATCTGAATTCATTCATTTGCCAAATGTTTATTGATCATTTTCTTTTTTTCTTTTCTTTCTTTCTTTTTTTTTTTTTTGAGATGGAGTCCTGCTCTGTCACCCAGGCTAGAGAGCAGTGGCGTGATCTTGGCTCACTGCAATCTCCGTCTCCTGGGTTCAAGCAATTCTCCTGCCCCAGCCTCCTGAGGAGTTGGGATTACAGGCACACACCACCATGCCTAGCTAATTTTTTTGTACTTTTAGTAGAGACGGGGTTCCACCATGTTGGGCAGGCTGGTCTCAAACTCCTGACCTCAGGTAATCTGCCTGCGGCCTCCCAAAGTGCTGAGATTGCAGGCATGAGCCACCATGCCTGGGCTATTGATCATTTTCTATGCTCCAAATGCTGACCTAGGCTCTGGGGATTGAGCAGTAAACAAAGTCCTGCCCTCATGGAACCTATGTTCTAGAGAAGGAGACAGATAATGAGCAAATAGATATGTAATAGCGGTGGTAGATGCTTTGTAGAAAAAGAGTCAAGGGCTAGAGAGTGGTAGCGCTGCTACTTTAGATAGGGTGGCTAGGCAACCAGGTTTCTCAGAAGCCATCACATTTTATTAAAAACCTGAAAGCAAGAGGAAACTTCACAGATATGTAGGGGAGGGTTGTTCTGGACAGAGGGAACCACAGGTACAAAGACTCTGAGATGTGAATGTGCTTCAGGTATGAAAAAAAAAAGGAAGCCAGAATGCAGCTCAATATACCAGGGGTGCCTAGTAGGAGATAAGGTTGGAGGAAAGGTGGGTGCTATCATCTGAATATTTGTGTCTCCAACCCCCCAAATTCATATGTTGAATCCTAACCCCTAAGGTGCTGGTATTAGGAAATGAGACCTTTGAGGGCCAGACAGTTGCAGTTACTATTTTTTTTTTAACAATAGTGATATCATATTGTCAGCTTCTCTCACTTATCTAGATAGCAAATTTTAGATTCTTTAAAAAAATTAAACTTTTGCTGGGCTTGGTGGTGCACACCTGTAGTCTCAGCTGCTTGGGAGGCTGAGGCAGGAACACCACTAGAGCCCAGGAGTTCCAGACTGGGCAACATAGTGAGACTTTGTTTCCTTTTTTTTCTTTTCTTTTTTTTTTTTGAGACAGAGTTTCACTCTTGTTGCCCAGGCTGGAGTGCAATGGTGTGATCTCAGCTCACTGCAACCTCCACCTCCTGGATTCAAGTGATTTTCCAGCCTTGGCCTCCAGAGTAGCTGGGATTACAGGCGACGCCCTCACACCCAGCTAATTTTTGTATTTTTAGTAGAGACAGGGTTTCACCAGGTTGGCCAGGCTGGTCTCAAACTCCTGACCTCAGGTGATCTACCCGACTCAGCCTCTCAAAGTGCTTGGATTACAGGCATGAGCCACTGCGCCCGGCTGTTTTTTTTTGTTTTTTTGTTTTTGTTTTGGTTGGTTGGTTTTGTTTTGTTTTGTTTTTTGACACAGAGTCTTGCTCTGTCACGCAGGCTAGAGTGCAATGGCACGATCTGTGCTCACTGCAACCTCCATCTCCTGGGTTCAAGCGATTCTCCTGCCTCAGCCTCCCAAGTAGCTGGGATTACAGGCGCATGCTACCATGCCTCCTGGCTAATTTTTGTATTTTTAGTAGAGACAGGGTTTCACCATGTTGACCAGGCTGGTTTTGAACTCCTTACCTCAAATGATCTGCCTGCCTTGGCCTCCCAGAGTGTTGGGATTACAGGTGTAAGCCACTGCGCCCGGCCAAGACCTTGTTTTAAAAAAATAAATAAATAAATAAACTTTTAATTTTGAGATCATTGTAGATTCATATGTTGTAAAAAATAATTCAGATAAATCCTATGTACATTTTACCCAGTTTCCCCAAGTGTTAACATCTTGCAAAGTTAAACTATAGTATCACAACCAGGATACTGACATTGATACAGAATATTTCCATCACCACAAGGATCCCTCACGTTGCCCTTTTATAGCCACGCCCACTTTAGTAGGCTTGAGCCCGGGAGGAAGAGGTTGCAGTGAGCCGAGATCACACTGCTGCACTCCAGCCTGGGTGACAGAGCAAGAACTGTCTCAAAAAGAGAAAAAAAAGAAAAAAAAGGAGGGGTATTAGGGAGCTTGCTAGCCCCTCTCCCCTGCCACTATGTGAGGACACACAAAGGCACCATTAATGAAAAATGAGCCCTCACCAGATACCTAATCTGCTGGTGCCTTGATTTTGGACTTCCCAGCCTCCAGAACGGTGGACAATGAATATTTGTTGTTTATAAATTACCCAGTCTAAGGTATTTTGTTATAGCAACCCAAATGACTAAGACAATGCATAAAGCTGCTATAAACGTTTGTGTACAGGGTTTAGGGTGGACATTCCGTTTTCATTTCTCTGACATGAATGCTTAGGAGTGCTATTGCTGTGTCCTATGGTAGTTGCATGTTCAGTTTTTTAAGAAACTGCTAAACTGTTTTTCCAAAGTGGCTGTACCATTTTACATTTGTGGCAGCATGTATGAGTGATATATTTTCTCTACATCCTTGTCAGCATTGGTATTGTCTTGTCACTATTTTTTAAATTTTAGCCATTCTATTATGTGTGTGTAGTGATATCTCTTTGTAGTTTTTTTTTCTTTATTCTTTAAGAGACAGAGTTTTGCTCTGTCACCTAGGCTGGAGTACAGTGATGTGAGAGTTCTTTATATAGTCGAGATACTAGTACTTTGTTGAATATGTAGTTTGCAAATATTTTCTCCCAGTCTGTAACTTGTCTTTCCATCTTCTTTACGAAGTTTTTTTGCAGAGCAAAAGTTTTAAATTTTAATAAAGTCCAATTTACCAATTTTTCATTTTATAGATTGGCTTTAGAAAGCTAGGCTGGGCACAGTGGCTCATGCCTGTAATCCCAGCACTTCAGGAGGTCAAGGCACTCCAGCCTGGGCAACGGAGAAAGACCCTATCTTACAAAGAAAAAAACAAAAAACAAAAGAATCTTTACCTCACTTTCAATTTTTTAATTTTTATTTATTTATTTTTGAGACAGAGTCTCCTCTGTTGCCCAGGTTGGAGTGCAGTGACACAATCTTGGCTCACTGCAGCCTTGACCTCCTGGGCTCAGGCAATCCTCCCACTTCAGCCTCCCCAGTAGCTGGGACTACAGGCACATGACACCATGCCTGGCTAATTTTTGTATTTTTAATAAAGACTGGGTTTCACCATGTTGCCCAGGCTGGTCTTGAACTCCTGGGCCCATGTCATCTACCCTCTGGCCTCCCAAAGTGCTGACATGACATGCATGAGCCACTGTGCCCGGCCCTCACCTTAGATCTTGCAGATTTTCTCCTAATTATTTTTCCTAAAAAGTTTTACTGTTTTATGCCTTACATTTAAGTCCATGGTCCATTTTAATTTTTGTATATTGTATAAGGTGTGAGACTCAGGTTCATTATTTTGTCTTTGAATGTCCAATTTACTCCAGGACCATTGGTTGAAAATGCTGTCTTTTCTCCATTGAATTGCTTTTGCATATTTGTCAAAATTCAGATGGGTATATTGTGTGTGCCTATTTCTGGGTTCCCTCCTATTCTATTCTATTCTATTCTATTCTATTCTATTCTATTCTATTCTATTCTATTCTTTCTATTCTATTCTATTCTATTCTATTCTATTCTATTTTATTCTATTCTATTCTATTCTATTCTATTCTATTCTATTCGTCTGTATCTCTATCCCTCTGCCAGTGCCACATGGTATTGATTGCTGTAGCTATATAATTAAATCTTGAAATTGGGTAGACTGATTCTTCCCACTTTATTTTTCTTTTACAAAATTGTTTTAGCTATTCTAGGTCCTTTGCATTTCCATCTAAATTTTAAAACAATCTTGTCTATCTACAGGAAATCTTACTAGAATTTTGATAGGATTTGCATTAAACTTGTATATCAATTTGGGTGAGAATTGACATCTTTACTAAGCTGAGTCTTCCAACCTAGAAACACAGTACATTTCTCCATTGATTTTGATCTTCTTGATTTCTTTCATCAGCATTTTGAAGTCTTCATCATACAAGTCTCCTATACGTTTTGTAGACTTACACCTAAGTATTTCATTTTTGTGGAGGATAATCATAATTTTTTTTTTTTCAGACAGAGTTTCACTCTTCTTGCCCAGGCTGGAGTGCAGTGGCATGATCTCAGCTCACTGCAACTTCTGCCTCCTGGGTTCAAGCAATTCTCCTGCCTCAGCCTCCTGAGTAGCTGGGCTTACAGGCGCGCACCACCATGCCTGGCTAATTTTTGTATTTTTAGTACAGATTGGGTTTCACCATGTTGGCCAGGCTGGTCTCAAACTTCTGACCTCAGGTGATCTGCCCACCTTGGCCTCCCAAAGTGTTAGGATTACAGATTTGAGCCACTGCGCTAGGCCATAAATCATTTTTAATTTTGGTGTTCACACGTTTATTGCCAGCATATAGAAATGCAATTGATTTTTGTGTTTATCTTATATTCTATAATCTTGCTGAACATACTTATTACTTCTAGGAGGGTTTTTGTTTTTTTTCTGTAGAGTCCTTAGGATTTTCTATGTAGACAGTCATGTCATCTGCAAATAGGAACAGTTTTATTTCTTCCATTCCAATCTGTATGCTTTCTTTCCTTTCCTTGCTTATTGCATTGGCTAGGACTTCCAGCACTATGTTGAATGACAGTGATGAGACCGAACAACCTTGCCTTGCTCATGATATTAGGGGAGAAACATTGTTTTTCACTATGAAGTATAATGTTACTGGTGGGGTTTTTGTGATTTTTTTTTCAAGTTGAGGAAGTTCCCCTTTATTTGTAGTTTTCTGACAGTTCTTATCATAAATGGATGTTGAATTTTTTCTAATGCACTTTCTACATTAATTGATATGATCATGTAATTTTTATTCTTTGGGCTGTTTATATGGTGGATTATGTTGATTGATTTTTGAATATTAAACCAGCCTTGCATCCCTGGAATAAGCCCCACTTGAATATTCTATTCAGTTTTGTACTAGAGATTCTGGCTAAGGCAATTAGTAAAGAAAAATAAAACGCATCCACATTGTAAAGGAAGAAATGAAACTATCTCTATTCACAGATGACACGATCCTATATATAGAAAATCCTAAGGAATACACTAAAAGTCTACTAGAAATAGAAAACCATTTCAGTGAGGTTGCAGAATATGTAATTGATATACAAAAATCATTTGCAGTTTTGCAATGAAAAATCCAAAAATGAAATCAAGAAGACAATTTCATTCACAATAGCATTAAAAAGAATAAAATACTTAGGGATAAATTTAACAAAAGAAGTGCAACTCATGTTAATCACAGCACTATTCACAATAGCAAAGACATGGAATCAACCTAGGTGCCCATCAATGGTGGATCGAAGAAAGAAAATGCGGTACATATACACAATGGAATACTATGCAGCCATAAAAAGAATGAAATCGTGTCCTTTGCAGCAACATAGAGGCAGCTGGAGGCCATTATGCTAAGTGAATTAACACAGAAACCGAAAACCAAATACCATATGTTCTCGCTTTTAAGACTCTGGCTCCCAGGTGGGCACAGTAGCTCAGGCCTGTCATCCCAGCACTTTGGGAGGCTGAGGCGGGCAGATCCCTTGAGGTCAGGAGTTCAAGACCAGCCTGCCCAAAATCTCTACTAAAAATATAAAAGTTAGCCGGTGTGGTGGTGGGTGCCTGTAATCCCAGCTACTTGGGAGGCTGAGGCAGGAGAATCACTTGAACCCGGGAGGTGGAGGTTGCGGTGAGCCAAGATCGCACCATTGCATTCCAGCCTGGGCGACAAGAGTGAGACTCCATCTCAAAAAAAAAAAAAAATAGTTTAGCTCCCATTTTTTCATCCCTTGCACTCACCCTCCTCTCCCCTAGTAGTTCCTGGTGCTTATTGTTCTCATCAATAATCACCCATAGCATGGGTACCCATCGACACAAAGATAGGAATAGTAAGCACTGGGGATGACTAGAAAGGGGAAGAAGAGAGGGGGCAAGGGTTGAAAAACTACCCACTGGGTACTATGCTCACTATCTGGGTGATGGGATCAGTTGTACCCCAAACCTCAACATCATGTAATATACCCATGTAACAAACCTGCACAGGTACATCCTGAACCTAAAATAAAGGTTGAAATTTAAAAAAAAATAGAAGTACAAAACTTATGCTCTGAAAACTACAAAACATTGTTGAACAGAATTAAAGGAGATCTACAGAAATGAAAAAAAATTCCATGTTCTTGGATTACAAGATTTAACATTGTTAAGAAGGCAACGCTCTTGAAACTGATCTAAAGATTTAATGCAATTCCTATCAGAATCCCCACTGACTTCTTCCTAGAAATTGACAAGTTTATTCTAAAATTCATATGGATTGCAAGGGACCCAGAATATTCGAATCAATCCTGAAAAAGGAGAATAAAGTTTGAAACTCACAATTCTTGATCTCAAATTTACTACAAATCAGTAGTTATCAAAACAGTGTGGTACTGGCACAAGGACAGACATATAGATGGATGGGAATGGAATTAACTGTCCAGAAATAAACCCTTACATCTATAGTCAACTCTGTCGCCCAGGCTAGGGTGTAGTGGCTCAATCTCTGCTCACTGCAACCTCTGCCTCCCGGGTTCATGCTTTCTCCTGCCTCAGCCTCCCAGGTAGCTGGGATTACAGGTGCCCACCACTATGCCCTGCTAATTTTTGTATTTTTAGTAGAGACGGGTTTTGTCATGTTGGCTAGGCTGGTCTCGAACTCCTGACCTCAGGTGATCTGCTCTCCTCAGCCTCCCAAAGTGCTGGGGTTACAGGCGTGAGACACAGTGCCTGGCCGATATTCAATTGATTTTGACAGGATACCAAGACCATTCAGTGGGAAGGAATATTCTTTTCAACAAATAGTGCTGGGATGACTGGATAGCTACAGGCAAAACAATAAAGTTGAACCCTTATTTCATACCATATACAAAAATTAACTCAAAAAGGATGAAAAACCTAAATGTAAGAGCTAAAATTATAAAATTCTTCGAAGAAAACAAGGAAACAGGGATCTTCATGATCTTGGATTTGGCAGAGTTCTTAGATATGAGAACAAAAATATGAACAACAAAAGAAAAAATGGACAAATTGGACTTCAAAATAAAAAACTTTTTTTTTTTCTTTTCAGACCGGGTCTCACTCTCTTGCCCAGGCTAGAGTAGAGTGGCGCAATCTCGGTTCACCACAGCCTCCGCCTCCAGGGCTCAAGTGATGCTCCGCCTCAGCCTCCCGAGTAGCTGGGACTACAGGCCCGCACCACTGCACCCAGGTAATTTTTCTATTTTTTTTGTAGAGATAGGTTTTCACCGTGTTGCCTAGGCTGGTCTCAAACTCCTGGGCTTAAGCAATCCTCCCACCCTGGCCTCTCAAAGTGCTGGGACTACAGGCATGAGCCACCACACCTGGCCAAAATAAAAAAACTTTTGTGCTTTAAAGGGCAGCACGTGGATCTTATTGAAACATTCTTTTTCAGCTGGTTTCTTTGATAATGCTCCAGGAGGAGGGTGGGGGCATGGGGCTGGACAGCACGTTACTGCTGGCTGGGGGTAGAAGTCCAGTTGGGTGCTGTACTCTTCGGGCCTACTTGGCCTCTGTTGGAGGTGCTCTTCATTACTTCTGGGTGGAGATGGGCATTCCAGGTCTTCACTAAGCCTCCACTGATGTCTCCCTGACAGGGAGGGCCTCACTCTGCTCCTGAGGGGGACCCCTCTGACATCACAGGGTTAGGGTGTGTCGCCTCCACCTCATGACTTTCTGAGTGGTTGTGAAAGTCCTGCGTCTCCACTAGGCTTCCTCTGGCACCACACTGGTGGTGGCAGGGTGGTGGTGGGTGGCACTGGGGCACCTCGTTATAGTCTGGCAAAGGTGGAAATCTAAGTTTCCTACTTGGCTTCCACTCAGGGGGATGGGTTGCGGCCACAGTTTTTTTCTGCCATGTTTGGCTCGAGTGTAGAAGTTACTGTCTAAAGGTTTTCTGTCTTACTAGGCTTCTCTTTTTCAGGTCCTTTGGCTAAGGAGAGCAGGCTTCTGTTGGAGCCGCCAGCTTCTTCAGCTCCAAGTGCAGTATAGATGAGATAGAAAGACAATCTAGAAGATGCATCGCTGTTCCTTGGGCCCTGAGTTTCCTAGCCAGTCTGCCTTCTCTCCACCTTTTAGAATCTTCATGTTTGTTTTCAAGTCGTAGACTCTTTTTTATTTATATTTATTTAAAAATTGAGAGAGTCTCACGATATTGTCCAGGCTGGTCTCAAACTCCTGGGCTCAAGTTATCTTCTCCGCCTCGGCTTCCCAAAGGGCTGGGATTACAGTCATGAACCACGGCTCTCAGCCCAAGTCACAGACTCTTAAAACGTAAAAAGATCTTGGAGATGATGGGCTTAATCATTTCCTTTTAGAGTGGGAGAAAATGAAACCAAAGTTACAAAATAGTTGCAATATTGGGAGATTCCAGTGTTCAAAGCTCTTTTCAGTACATCATGTTGCCTCAATCAGATGGTTTTGTTTCATTTTATTAGATGTGAACTCAAATTAATTGAGACTTTCCTCCAGATGCTCAAATTTAAGAAAAAAATTAGTATTAAATTTTGTCCAGTGAGCAATTAATCTTCATTTGTAAATTAAACTTAAGAATCATTTTTCAATTGCATAAGTTTGAATCAAAAAATTTTTAAATAAAAAGGTATTGAACATCTACTTTATGTAAAACAAAGGGCCAGTATACTTTGTAAAATGGACCATGTTACCAACCCACAGGTAATGTTCCATCTTAGAAATCTGTGACAGGCAAAAATGTCCCAGTTGTTTTTATTTAAAGACTAATTATTAACTTGATGCTGTTCTATTGGGAAACTTGTCTGTTTCTACATGGTGTTTTGTTTCTTCAATTTTCTACTAGAGTATTTGCCTTGTTTTAAATCCTTCATTGATGTATGACTCCACTGATACAACTGCCAATGGAAGGTGTTCATTTAACTTATTTAAATAGTTGGAACACAACTGAGTTGTCTGAGAGGATTTCCTAAATTGCTTCATAAACATGTTCAAAGGACTTATTTTTTTTCTTCTCAAGTATTAGGCAGATACCAAATATAAAGCTATATTGCTTAGTGTGTCAAAACTCCATGCTGTAATTACTAACTTGTTTTCCTACTTGCAAGTTAAAAAGGTCTTTTAAAAGGCACAAATTCTAACAGCTCTAGGTAGCATTTATTTTTGTCAAAATGACATTAAAACACCTTTTTCTTTTGACAAAAGACCATAGTCACACATTATACAACAATCTGAAAATACTGACAAGCAAAAATGTTCTGAAAACATTTATAATTTCACCATTGGAGACTTAATAACTTGATGTACAGTTTTCCAGACCTTTTTCTAGGACATATGAATCATATTATGTATGTAGATGAGTGTTTTAGTTGAAAAGACCCTCACTTTGTGCACTTTAACAGTATTTAGCACAGGATCTGGGGCTCTTAGGCTTTTTGGGAAGAAGGAA
The DNA here is from genome assembly GCF_000001405.40 of Homo sapiens. Lineage (NCBI taxonomy): Eukaryota > Metazoa > Chordata > Mammalia > Primates > Hominidae > Homo > Homo sapiens. The sequence continues at coordinate 61,690,882 of NC_000002.12, forward strand.
GCATTATTAAACATGAGATTACTTTCTGAGTTTGTGTTATTAATTGTTTTTTAATAATGTTAACATTTTAGATCTATGTAGGTGTAAGCTTTTAGACTATATTCATTTTGTACTATTGTACTTTGGGAGAAATAGGCTTTCAACCACAGGAAACAGTTCTGACAACTAGTTGAGGATACGAATGAAAGGAGGTGGCAGAGTGAGACTGATTTCTAAAGTAGTCATTGCTTAGGATTATTTCTTGGCTATTTACCATGTATAAGCACTAATATTTTATTCCATTAGCTATGATCAAGAAGTTAAGTGTTTCTTAAGCCCTCCAAGGATTTTCTTTTTTAAAAATTAGTATTTATTTACCTGATTATTAAAAAATGCTAATCATAGACAATGTGAAAAAATGTTGAAGTATAAAGAAAATTTAAGTGGCCCATAATCCTACTATTCAGCAATAACCACAATTAACATTTTGATGTAGTTGTTTATAGTCTCTTATCTATGCTATATATGTTACTGTTGTTGATTTATATTAGGTTTTCCAATTTTGTCATTATATATGCCACTGCAGTGAATATCTTTTATATATACATAAGGTTGAATTTTTTTTTTTTTTTTTTTTGAGACTGAGTCTCTTGCCCAGACTCTATTGCCCAGGCTGGAGTGCAGTGGCGTGATCTCGGCTCACTGCACCCTCCACCTCCCGGGTTCAAGTGTTTCTCCTTTCTCAGTCTCCCAAGTAGCTGAGAATACAGGTGCCTGCCACCACACCCAGCTAATTTTTGTATTTTTAGTGGAGAGGGGGTTTCGCCATGCTGGCCAGGCTGGTCTCAAACTCATGACCTCAAGTGATTTTCCTGCCTTGGCCTCCCAAAATGCTGGGATTACAGGCGTGAGACACCACACCTGGCCTTGGTTAAACTTTTTAAATTTTAAATTTTTTTTTATTTTTCAGATGAGGTCTCTCTGTTGCCCAGGCTGGAGTGCGGTGGTGCGATCTCCACTCACTGCAACCTCTGCTTCCCAGGTTCAAGCGATCCTCCCACCTCAACCTCCCGAGTAGCTTGGACCATAGGCACATGCTACCAAATCTGGCCAATTTTTTGTGTTTTTGGTAGAGACAGGGTTTTGCCATGTTGCCCAGGCTGATCTCAAACTCCTGGGCTCAAGTCATCCTCCTGCCTTAGCCTCCCAAAGTGCTGGGAGGCTAATCGTAGAGAATGATTACAGGCATGAACCACTGTGCCTGGCCAAGAAAATATTTTTTAGGAAAACATAAGGTTGTGCAGAATTCCTAACAGTGAAATTCAATTAGTAACATCCTATTTTGAGGCCTTGTGGAGTTTATCGTTATAAGGGGGGCTGTTAAATTGACCGACAGAAACATATGTGTATCGGGCCAGGGTGGCAACTATCATCAGTTTAACCATTCTATGAAAGCCAGTTTGCCACTTGTGAGAAAAACTGAGTTATGCTGTATCCTGTTTCTACATATGTATGGACAATCATGATTGTTCAGAATACCAATTTTATGAATTTTTGATTCACAAAATTTCATTAAAGCCTTAAATTCAAGATGTTTCTGAAACTGGTAAAACTTCAAAATGGAACATTATAAAATGAAACAGTTGTCAGTATACTGTCTTTAAACAGTCAAACACAGCCTTGGTATAATTGAAAATAAAAACTTGTAAGTTCTGCTGCGCAGCTGGTAATCACTATCCTTAGTACCACACATAGTATATTATACAATCCTTAGTACCACACATAGTATATTATACATACAAAGGTGACTTTTGTGCATACCCAATAGCAAAAGTGTCTGATCCGTTCAGTGCCCTGCACTTTGAAGATATTTTTGTTAGATAGGTGTGGTATCACATACTTCCAATGTTGTTTCCAATTCTGTGTATGCTTGTTCCAAGACAGACTTTCATGACCCTAACCCATGGTAGCTTCCTGCTTGATATTTATATACATCTGTACTGAAGTTTGGAAAGGTCACTTGAATGAACAATGCTTGACAGTGGTGTCACCAACCTTTCAATATGTATGTTAATTATAAATAAAGGCATATCTTTATACATAAACTTTTTGAGGCAGAGTCTTGCTCTATTGCCAAGGTAGAGTGCAGTGGTACGATCTCAGCTCACTGCAAACTCTACCACCCGGGTTCAAGCGATTCTTATGCCTCAGCCTCCCAAGTAAGTAGAACTACAGGCATGTGCCACCACGCCCAGCTAATTTTTGTATTTTTTGTAGAGATGGGGTTTCACCATGTTGGCCAGGCTGGTCTCGAACTCCTGAACTCAGGTGATCCACCTGCCTTGACTTCCCAAAGTGCTGGGATTACGGGCATGAGCCACCACGCCCAGCCTTTATATATAAACTTTCATGTATGAAATCATAATGTGGTTTCTTTGACGAGTTTTATAACATCACTCATTCTGCATGATTTTAAAAAATCAGCTTTACTGGGTTATGATTTACATTAAATGTACCCATTTACCTGTACAGTTTGATACACTTAGATAAATGTACACACCTGCATTCTGTATGATTTGGGGGAGACAGGTGACCTGAGTTCAATCCTAAACTGATAATTTACTAATCATGTGACCTTGGGCAAATTACCTTAACTTCTGAAAGCCCTGGTAAAAATCCCACTTGATAATAAAATCGAGTCCAGGATAATAAAATAAAAATCAAGTGGGAGTACTTTTCACTCTGTAACCAACTACTGCTGAATTATTCTTTTCCTTTTTTTGGACAGTCTCACCCTGTCACCCAGGCTGGAGTGCAGTGTTGTGATCTCTCCTGGGCTCAAGCGATCCTCCCGTCTCAGCCTCCCAAGTAGCTGGGATTACAGGCGTGCACCACCATGCCCAGCCTGAGATAGCTTCTGTAATTATTCTAGCACAATGCTAAGCACTTGCAGCAGGTGAGTGGTTTGTTTCCTTTACACTCCCTACAAGAAATGTGAATGCAATGCTCTTCAGTTTTGGAGAACACAGGCAAACAACTGTATGTGCTAAATCATCTGACTTCATTTTGATCACAAGGGCTTCCACCAGCCAATGAATACTTGCTGTGAATGCTGCCCAATGTCGGGCCTGAGGAAAACCAGACAGTGGCTTCATGTCATTTTTTAAATCATGTCTGATATATTTCATTGGAGCTTTTCCCCCCCAATACCCAAAGAGATACCCAAAGAGAACTCTGAAAACACCAATACCCCAATTTCCTGCTTTGTGCCTGCATTTCTCTAAATATTTCCATCTGAACTTTGTCTGCGAGTATTAGGTCAGATGTCTACTGTAATTACCAGGCATCCTGGGGACTGTAATTAAAAGGCAGTTTGAAATGACTGACACTTTGATGGTGATTCTAGCCATTTCTATTTTCTGACAACGAATCTTCCTCAAAAATTTTACTGCCCCCTCATGTCCTTGCTCCCTGATTTTTCTTCAGTTAGGCACTCCGTAATTCAGCAGCATTCTTTTCTTTCCACAATTTATCTCCCTACTCCCCTTCTCATCACTTGGGTCCGGCCGGTGAGCAAGGAGGAAGAAACCCAAAGGGATCTTCAGGGTCCGCGCCCCGCAAAAGGTCTCACAGCAGAGACGTACAGGAGAGGTGACCCAACCCCCGGACCTGGATGGGGCCCTTATGGGAAAAACCCCGTGTTTGCTTCAGGCCATTCTATGCGGCATCCACGAGGTCTGTGGGCCAGCGGCACGGCGCGGCCCTGTCCCCCAAAAAGGAGGAGAGGCAGGAGGAAGAGGAAGTGGCCGTACAGGCCGAAGCCTTGTGGAGCCTCAGTGCGGGGCTTGGCCAGGTCCTAGGGGGCGTGGCCTCGGAGGCGAAAGCGCAGGGCGGGGCCGAGGTGTAGGAACCGGGAGGGGCCTCGTGGGGGGAGGAGACTCGTGGGGGCGGGGCCCAAGGGAGGCGGGGTGGGGCGGGGCCGCGGCCAGAGGAAGCCCCTCCCGGTTTCCCTTGACAGGGTCACCTGCCTGCAAGCCACCTGCGCTCCCCTTCCTCTCCCACAGCCTACATGACCAGTGTGGGTCGCCAGCCTGAGCGAGGGTGCTCAGGTGGTTTCTACTCTCATTTTCACTTTCCAGTGCCGCTGCCGACTTGGAGGGGAGAAAGGGGCGGGGCAAACCCTGGTTTCGCCCCCCCGCCCTCAGGCTGGCTGCCACGCGGGGGCGCAGTCAGGGGGTCTGCGCTGTGTGGGTAGGGGGTCTTCAGGGCTGCCCCTCCGCAGTGCCACCCTAAGCCAAGATTCCCACCCCTGAGGCAATCCAGGATGAAATGCACACTGGCTGGGGTCATGTTAAGTAACAGAAGTATTCCCAGGCCCCAGCTATCTAAAAATATTCTTCCAGCTTAACGGGTTAGTTGCCTTTTTTTTTTTTTTTTTTGTATTTTGTTTTTTCCTTTAAGTAGAAAACTGGACCCTGAGAAATACGTACGGCCAGGCTAACCTGTGAGCAGCAGGACATGGCACACCCTGGGAAGCGAAGACAAGGTTCTCCCTCCCTCCCAATTGCTCATATGTGACATGGGTCCTCTCTCAGCGGCTCCCTGCACAGGATTCTTTTTTCAGAGAGGCTATTCCATTTCTCTAGTTTTGTGACACCCTCTTCACTGAATTCCTTCACTTTAGCTTAAGTCTTGATTGTGTCACCTACCCCAATGCTAGTCTAAAGGACTAAAGAGAGTAAGCCTTTCGAGGAAAGAAAGAAAACTATATAATTGCTTTTTATGTATTCGGTTTAACCAGCCAACTTCTGTGCTACACGGTGGGAAAACAAAGACATATATGACACAGAAAAGTAACTATACTCCAGCATTATACATTTAATAACAAAAACATATGGTAGACACAAAGGTAGAATAGGTGAGGGGGTGACTAATTTCATGAGATATGGGGAATGGGAGCCTAAGAAAAAGTTTTGGCCGGGCGCGGTGGCTCGCGTCTGTAATCCCAGCACTTCGGGAGGCCGAGGCGGGCAGATCACTTGAGGTCAGAAGTTCAAGACCAGGCTGGCCAACATGGTGAAACCTCGTCTCTACTAAAAATACAAAAATTAGCCGAGCGTGGTGGCGCGTGCCTGTAGTCCCAGCTACTGGGGAGGCTGAGGCGGGAGAATTGCTTGAACCCAGGAGGCGGAGGTTGCAGTGAGCCAAGATCGAGCCATTGCACTCCAGCCTGGGCAAAAAAGCGAGACTGTCTCAAACAAACAAAAATACAAGCAAGCAAACAAACAGTTTCAACCCGGAGTGAGGCCCATCTGAGGGGGCATTTGAAGCATCAACAGGAGTGTAAGAAAAGAAAGCCCTTGGCCGGGCGCGGTGGCTCACGTCTGTAATCACAGTACTTTGGGAGGCAGAAGCAGGTGGATCGCGAGGTCAGGAGATTGAGACCATCCTGGCCAATACGGTGAAACCCCGTCTCTACTAAAAATACAAAAATTAGCTTGGCATGGTGGCGCATGCCTGTAGTCCCAGCTACTCGGGAGGCTGAGGCAGGAGAATGGCGTGAACCCGGGAGGCGGAGCTTGCAGTGAGCCGAGATCGCTTCACTGCACTCCAGCCTGGGTGACAGAGCGAGACTCCATCTCAAAAAAAAAAAGAAAAGAAAAGAAAAGAAAAGACAGCCCATGAAGTAGATACTAAGTGACTACAGAATGCTGATTGACAACACAGAAAAGAAACGAGGAGGTACAGAATTCCCTTTTTCTTTCTTTCTCTGTGTTTCTTTTTCTCTCATCTTTCTTCTTTTTCTCCCTTTCTTTCTCTTTCCACAGGTCTTGTAGTATCACCCAGGCTGGAGAGTAGTGGCCGTATCATTTAGTTCCCTGCTGCCTCAAACTCCAGGGCTCAAGCAATCTTCCCGCCTCAGCCTTCCAAGGAGCTGCGTGTACAGGCGTGCGGCACCACATCTGGCTAATTTAAAAAATTTTTTCTGGGCGGGCACAGTGGCTCATGCCTGTAATCCCAGCACTTTGGGAGGCCGAGGCGGGTGGATCACGAGGTCAGGAGATCGAGATCATCCTCGCTAACACGGTGAAACGCCATCTCTACTAAAAATACAAAAAATTAGCCTGGCGTGGTGGCGGGCGCCTGTAGTCCCAGCTACTCCGGAGGCTGAGGCAGGAGAATGGATGAACCCAGGAGGCGGAACTTGTAGTGAGCCCAGATCGTGCCATTGCACTCCAGCCTGGGTGACAGAGCCAGACTCCGTCTCAAAACAAAACAAAACAAAAATAAAAATGAGGCCGGGCGCGATGGCTCACGCCTGTAATCCTAGCACTTTGGGAGGCTGAGGCGGGCGGATCACAAGGTCAGGAGATCATGACCATCCTGGCTAACACGGTGAAACCCCGTCTCTACTAAAAATACAAAAAATCAGCTGGGCATGGTGGCACGCGCCTGTAATCCCAGCTACTGGGGAGGCTGAGGCAAGATAATCGCTTGAACCCGGGAGGTAGAGGTTGCGGTGAGCCGAGATTGCGCCACTGCACTTCAGCCTGGGAGACAGAGCAAGACTCCCTCTGAAAAAAAAAAAATTTCTAGAGAGGGGTCTGGATATGTTACCCAAGCTAGTCTGCAACTTCTGGGCTCAAGCGGTCCTCCTGCTTCCCAAAGTGCTGGGATTACAGGCATGAGCTGCTGTGCCTGGCCATTCCCTTAATTTTAAATTGGCAGCAAAGAGATTAGTTGAAAGATGGGGTGAAGGGGTAGAGAATTCCTTTTACTCAAATCATAAACATTACAGAAATAAAAAAAACCCGGTCCTTTATAATTCCCACTCCAGGAAAGACCAATGTTGTCATATTGGCATATATTCTTCCAGGTTATGTATTCATAACTAACATTGTTTTCTATAGAAATGGAATCTCTCTCATATGCTGGAGGTAGTAGAGGAAAGTGGTGGAGTGTTCTGACTCTAGCAATCTGGTGTCACCTGAGCTGGAATGCAGGGTCCACCTCTTCCTAGTTCCATCACCTTGGGAGGTTATCTTCACCTCAGTTTCCCCTCTGCAAAATGGCACCATATCTGTACCAATTGTCAATTGAGATTTTAAATGGCCAAGAGTAATTTTTGTACATGGGAAGGAACTCATAAAGCTGCTTGCATCTCTGTTGATATTTAATTTATTATGGCAGTAAATTTTAAGCCTAGTTGTTATTAAGCATTTAACCACATTTCTCAAATTTATGTATAAATCTATCAATTTATTTGTTTATTTATTTTTTTGAGATGGAGTTTTGCTCTTTTGTCCAGGCTGGAGTGAAGTGGCGTGATCTTAGTTCGTCGCAACCTCTGCCCCCAGGGTTCAAGCGATTCTCCTGCCTCAGCCTCTTGAGTAGCTGGGATTGCAGGTGCCGACCACCATGCCTGGCTAATTTTAGAGGCGGGGTTTCACCATGTTGGCCAGGCTGGTCTCGAACTCCTGGCTTCAGGTGATCCACCCGCCTTGGCTCCCAAAGTACTAGGATTACAGGCATGAGCCAGGGCGCCCGGCCTATCAATTTATTTTAAAATAGAACACTTTCACTTGTACTTTGATTAATGTTCAGTGAGCTTATTAATTTGACATATTAAATTTCCCATTTAAACACTATTTATAAAGGTAATAGAATTTTCTTAAGCATTGTAAATTTATAAAAGCATACAGATTTAACAAATCAAATTCTCTTACATATTTAAACACTGTTTATAAACTTCATTTATTAAATTCCCTTAAAGATGCCAAATCCACACATTGCTGTAACTGATGGTCCCAGGTGCTTCATTCCCCCACCAAGGCAAACTGATACTGTACTCTGTAAATCACCTTGACCCATTCTCAGCCCCGTCCTGAGCACTTATAGACTGAATATTCCTGTAGGAGTCCTCCTGAGCACTGAAAGGGCATTGGTTAGGAGCATAATAAATAATAAATAAAGAGGTGATGAAGAGCCTGAATAGAATTCCTCATACAGGGCAGAGAAGGGCATTCCAGGCAGTGAATATCATACAACCCAAGTTACTAAATTGTTTGGGAAAAGTCACAGTTTACATCTAGCCTCATTCCCCTCTCAAATCATGTAACTGAATGTGAGCCAGGGACTTAGTGAAGTCATAAGATCTGTAGCTTTAGATTTATAAAAGTGGAGAATATACCGTATGTATGGTTTTGTGATCTGCTTTTATTATTTGTTTTTTGAGACAGGGTCTTGCTCTGTCACTCAGGCTGGAGTGCAGTGGCATAATCTCAGATCACTGCAACCTCCGCCTCCTGGGTTAAAACAATTCTCCTGCCTTAGCCTCCCTAGTAGCTGGGACTATAGGCGTGTGCCACCACGCCCGGCTAATTTTATGTATTTTTGGTAGAGATGGGTTTCAACATGTTGGCCAGGCTGGTCTCGAAATCCTGACCTCAAGTGATCTGCCCACCTAGGCCTCCTGAAATGTTAGGATTACAGGGGTGAGCCACCATGCCTGACCTGTAATCTGTTTTTATTTTTATACATTTTAAAACAAGTAAGCACTTTTTACATGAGTAGACTTCTATATTGTTAATAGCTGCAGAATACTTTATATGAATCTACAACAATTTTTTCCTTTTTTAAAAGGAACATTTAATAATGTTCCTTATTATTGAACATTTAGATTATTTGACAGAAAACACAAAGAATATTCCTGTAGCTGAATTTTTGCTTGCATCCTTAATCATTTTTCCAGGATAAATCCCCAGAAGTGGAATCACTGGGTCAACAGATAAATACATTTTTAGAGCTTAGGTTCATACTACAAATTACTCTCCAGAAAGATTGCTCCACTTTTTTTCTTTTCTTTTTTTTGAGATGGAGTTTCACTTTTGTTGCTCAGGCTGGAGTGAAATGGAATGATTCTGGCTCACTGCAACCTTCGCCTCCCGGGTTCAAGCAATTCTCCTGTCTCAGCCTCCCTAGTAGCTGGGATTACAGGCACCTGCCACCATGCCTGGCTACTTTTTGTATTTTTAGTAGAGACAGGGTTTCACCATGTTGGGCAGGCTGGTCTTGAACTCCTGACCTCAGGTGATCCGCCTGCCTCAGTGTCCCAAAGTGCTGGGATTACAGGTGTGAGCCACTGCGCGCCTGGCCAGATTGCTCCAATTTATACTGCCAGCAACAGAGTGTAAGAAAGCACTATTTGTGCTTTTTAAAAATGGTCCTCTTGTTCACAGTTTAAGGCCTTTGGCTGTAGATTTTATTTTTAAATACTGTATTTATTTTTCTGATTACAGTAATAACACATGGATTATACAAATTCAAATATTAACAAATATATGGCTAGGCATGGTGGCTCACACCTGTAATCCTAGCACTTTGGGAAGCCAAGGCAGGAGGATCGCTTGAGCCTAGGAGTTTGAGAACAGCCTGTGACATATAGCGAGATTCCAGTTTCTGCAAAAAAAAATAGCTGGGCATGGCGGTGTGAGCCTGTAGTCCTAGACACTTGGGAGGCTGAGGTGGGAGGATTGCTTGAGCCTGGTAGGTCGAGGCTACAGTAAGCTGTGATTGTCCCACTGCACTGTAGCCCAGGTGGCAGAGTAAGACACTGTCTCAAAAAATATATAAATTAAGAAAAATAAAAATATTTATAAAACCATATGCTAATACTTTGTAACTTTTTTTTTTCAATTAAACATACATCTTGGACATCTTTTTATGTCAGTATAATTAGAACTGTCTCATTTTTTTTCTCCTTCCTTCCTCCCTACTATCTTTCTGCTGAGTCAGCGGTATGCCGGGACCTTCTTGTACAGGCTTGAGAGCGCCAAATACGCACATCTCTTTACAACTTCAAGTTAAGTAACATCATCTTACCTTGGTAGCTCAAAATGGACCATGGCACCAGGCATGATGGCTCATGCCTGTAATCTCAACACTTTGGGAGGCTGAAGTGGGAGGATCACTTGAAACAACCTGGGCATAGTGAGACATGGTCTCTTAAGTAAATAAATAGGGCTGTGGTGAGAGAACATGTACCCTGAAAATTGTCAAACACTACAAATCAAAGTTTTGTTTTTGGACAACTTACCAGCACTCACAGTGGCTAATTATTATTATTTATTTATTTTGAGACGGAGTTTCGCTCTTGTCACCCAGGATGGAGGGCAGTGGCATGATCTCAGCTCACTGCAACCTCCGCCTCCCGGGCTTCAGTGAGTCTCTGAGTAGCTGGGTTTACAGGCGCCCGCCACCACGCCTGGCTAATTTTTTGTATTTTTGGTAGACACGTGGTTTCATCATGTTGGCCAGGCTGGTCTTGAACTCCTGACCTCAGTGATCCACCCGCCTTGGCCTCCCAAAGTGCAGGAATTACAGGTGTGAGCCACCATGCCCAGCTGGCTAATTGTTAATATTAATACTATTCTGTTGAATAGAAGTACCATAATTTATTTATCCAGCCCCTATATTGGAAAATTGAATTGTCTCTAATTTTTTTAAATTATAAATAGTATCTTTTTTTTGAAACAGTCTCATTCTATTGCCTAGGCTGGAGTGTAGTGGCACAATCTCAGCTCACTGCAACTTCCATCTCCTGGGTTCAAGAGATTCTCCTGCCTCAGCCTCTCAAGTAGCTGGGATTACAGGCATGTGCCACCACACCTAGCTAATTTTTTTTATTTTTAGTAGGACAGGGTTTCACCACGTTTGCCAGGCTGTTCTCAAACTCCTGACCTCCAGTGATACGCCCGCCTCAAAGTGCTGGGATTACAGGCTTGAGCCACCGCAGCTGGCCTAAAATTACAAACGGTACTTCAATGAACATCTTTGTGCATGTATTTTTTTATACTTATGTGAGTGTTCTCATAGAATGTATTCCTAGAAGTAGAATTAGTAGGTCAAAGGGAAGGAATATTTTTAAATTTAATAGATACTAAAAAGCCTTCTAATACAGTTTTACCATTGTACATTTCTGCCTAGAGTGTATGAATACATATTTCCCCTGTGAGTTTGTAATTAAGTTAAACTCAATTGGAAACATATGTCAAATTCCATTTCTTTCAAGGAATGGTAGGACTTTCAGCAAATGAGTCTAATCTATTTACTATCCTTTGATCAAACATTCAAAACCAATCATTATGAATGTTAAAAGGAAACTGCATAACAGAACCATAGGGAAAATTAATGTCTTGACTTGCAGCTTGTCAGAGACAGATGTTTTCATAACTGAGTTCATTTCGGTCTCCAAAGTAAATAGGTTTTTTTCTAGTAAATAAGAAATCAATAAATATTTAATTAATAAATGAAGGTTTAATGCTTTGGGGAACAACTTTGTATGGAACTCCTTCACAACATTGTGCAATATTTTCTCAGAATGGATTCCCAGAGATGATATTAGTGTGTCTAAAAGTACAAAACATTTTGGGCTCTTAATACAGATTGCCAAATTTCCCTCCAAAAAGTTATACCGTTTATACTTTCCTTGAGATTTGTCTGCCTGCACTATCTTTTAAAAGCAAATTAATTTGATAGTTGAAAGTCACCTCTATTTTATTTACAAGTATTATTTACTAATGAGGTTGGACATTTTTGGTGCCTTTATTGCCAATTTGTTTTTCGTTTTATCTATTTGTTCTTAGCTCTGTTTTATAGTTGTGTAATACTATTTTTCTTATTGACTGTTAACTATGTACACATTAAGAATATTACCCTTTTGACATATTTGTGACAGATATGTTTTCCTAGGTTGTTTTGGTCATTGTTCTCTTTTCCTGCTGCTTTCTGGCCTATTACTATGCATTTTTCAGCATGTGCATTTGTTTTCTTTGTTGTCTTTTAGGTGATACTGTAGCTAACTTCAGTTTTCTTAGCCCCTATTTCTCCTCTCCTGTCCCACTTAGAATTGCTGATAAAACTTTATTTACAATAAAATCAGGCAGCTGGCCCATAGGCCATAGTTTGTTGATTTGATTTTTCAAAATATTACATTAACATACCATTGATCTTGGCCGGGATCAGTGGCTCACGCCTGTAAGCTCAGCACTTTAGGAGGCTAAGATGGGAGGATCACTTGGTTCAAGACCAGCCTGGACAACATGGCAAGACCACATCTGTACAAAAAATACAAAAATTAGCTGGGTGTGGTGGTGTGAGCCTGTAGACCAGCTACTCAGGAGGCTGAGGTGGGAGGATTGCCTGAGCCCAGGAGGCGGAGGCTGCAGTGAGCTGAGATTGTGCCACTGCACCCCACCCTAGGTGACAGAACATGACTCTGTCTCCAAAAAAAAAAAAAAAAAAAAAGAAACATTTATCTTGATTACTAAAATTTTGGGTGTCACCTTAAATTTTGTGCTTTTCTCACCTCACTCTAGTCCTGTTCCTGCCTGAGGCCCCAGAATGCTTTACACCCAAGTCCATGCAAGTTATGAGGCTTCTGCTATGTTCAGTTAGGTGGAGCATCCTGAAAAAAAATAGTTTATCAAAGCATTTCCAGCTTCAACTAAGGCACAGAATTATGTGAATTTGCTAGTTGCTTAATATTTTTCTGCTCTCCTGAGATGGTTTGTCTCAAGACAAGCCTGGAGCACAAAGTGAGATGCCATCTCTACAAAAAATTAGCTGGGTGTGGTGGTGCACACCTGTAGTTTTAGCTACTTGGTAGGCTGATGCCAGAGGATTGCTTAAGCCAAGGAGTTGGAAGCTGTGAGCTATGATTGCACCATGGCACTCCAGCCTGGGTGACAGGCTATAAATAAATAAATGGAGATAGTTTGTCATAAAGCTCATCATAATTGAAATGATAAAAATCATATTTAATAGTTTTTTGGCATAATGTATATTAAAATGTGAAACATGATAAAAATAAGTTATATACATTTTATTTCATTTGTTTTTTTTAAGAGGGAGTCTCGCTGTGTCACCCAGGCTGGAGTACAGTGGCATGATCTTGGCTCACTGCAACCTCCGCCTCCTGGGTTCAAGCAATTCTCCTGTCTCACCCTCTTGAGTAGTTGGGACTACAGGTGCCCACCACCATGCCAATTTTTGTATTTTTAGTAGAGACAGGGTTTCACCATGTTGGTCAGGCTGGTCTTGAACTCCTGACCTCAGGTGATCCACCTGCCTCGGTCTCCCAAAGTGCTGGGATTACAGGCGTGAGCCACTGCGCACAGCCAATTTTATTTATTATTACTTTTGGGGTGCAGATATTAATAATCATGATCATGTTCTTCAAAATAATAAGCACTGCTGGGTATGGTGTCATGCCTGTCATCCCAGCTACTTGGGAGGCTTAGGGAGGAGGATTGCTTGAGGCCAGGAGTTCAAGAGCAGCCTAGGCAACATAGTGAAACCCTGTCGCTAAAAAAAAAAAAAAAGCACTGCTTTGTATTTCTACAGGTAATTTACACTTACCAGATATGTAAGCAGCAATTCTTTGGAAAAAAAAAATAAAACCAGGGGATTCTAGTAAATTCTCACTGGATACTGTTTAAATATGTTGGCCTAAATTGCCACTTACATTTAAGAGATATTTGCCCTGATTAATATGCAAAAGAACAGTTGTCCTTCAGTCAAAATGCAGATTTGAACTGCTTTATGGTAAAACACTGTGTTAGTTTCCTGTCGCTGCTAGAACAAATTACCAGAAACTTAGTGACTTAAACACAACACAGACATATCATCTTACCGTTCTGGAGTCAGAAACCCAAAGCTGTCTTGCTAAGCTAAGATCAGGTTGTCAGTAGAGGGCTGCATGCCTTTCAAGAGGCTCTGGGGGTGAATCCATTTCCTTGCATTTCCCAGGTTCCAGAGGCTGCCTGCATTCCTTGGCTCAGGGTCTCTTCCTCTGGCATTCTTCTCCACCCTGACCCCTGCTTTTGTTGTCACATCTCCCCAGACTCTGACTCTCCTGCCTCCCTCTTTCTCTTATAAGAACGCTTGTTATTACATTGGTCCCACCTGGAAGATCCAGGGTCATTTCCCCATCTCAAGATCTTTAACTTTCCCATCTGCAAACTCCCTTTTGCCATGTAAGGTAACATATTCACAGATTTCAGGAATTAGAACATGAACATCTTCAAACAGTCATTATTCTGTCTGTTGTGGACCCTATTTCTGAAATTTCTAATAATGAAACCAAAGTTGGCATTATATCTCTGCAAAGGGATGGAGAAAGCATTCTTATTTCACCGTACTTTAGACCTTGGCCAAAAGCTAACAGCATTTGAAGACAAACTCTTTAGCTACTTGTTTTCTTAGAATTTGGGAAGTTTTGAAATCTAAAGGGTTTTGAATACCTTCTAAGATTTCACTCTATATAATACATAATATCTATCTATGCTATGCTAGATCCCTATTAACTTTAACCAGGATCACACCAGGTTCAAGGGGCTGAAGAAGAGACCCAGAGCCAGCAAACAAGACATAGGGTTTTGTTTGGGGGAACTTACATACAGGGACAGTCCAGTGGTGGCCGGCTGGACAGAAGAACTGCAACCACTTGCAAAAGGCATGCAGTGTATGTAGCACCCTCACTCAGCAGGATCCCCCCCGGCAAACCTCACATGGCAAACCTCATTTCTTTCTTTCCTTTTTTTTTTTGGAGATGGAGTCTCGCTCTGTTGCCTAGGCCGGCGT